>NC_000006.12:27332727-27635757 GCF_000001405.40 Homo sapiens
TAGTAATAAAAAAGCATCTCAGCTGAGCGTATGCTTTTGTTTGTCCGACACCTGGGAGGAAAGGAATTTTCCAATGTAGGACGGTGTGGATCAGTGAAGTAGGTGAGTTTTGGGAGAATGGTGAGATTTCAAAGGTGGGAAAGAAACACATAACAAAGAGCAGAAGCAGAAATGAGGGTTTTCAGAAACTGTTGAATGCATGAAAACCTAGGGACTTGGTTTTTGTTTTTTGCGTGTCGATTTAGCTGTAAAACTCATAGCAGAGGATGGTTTCGATCCATCGACCTCTGGGTTATGGGCCCAGCACGCTTCCGCTGCGCCACTCTGCTAAGCGGTTTCTGAAGACCACTGATCTTAATTTCAATCATCAAAATCACCTTTCAGTACCGACAAAATTTTCATTGTCTAATTATTTCATTTTGTATCTGATCGTTTACACTGTCCCTATCTCTGCCAAGCAAGTCGAAGATTCGCTACCCGATAATCAGATGGCCTCAGGTCATAACCTCCAGATCTGTGCTTTTCCAACCTGCCAAAGATCGTCTGAGCCTCTTAGCAAGCACTCGTTTATCATAGCGAGCCTAGGAGGAGGGCGCCAAGCAAAACACTAGGTGTAGTCTTCTCGAGTAGAATCCAGGCAGTCGTGGAGCGAACGCAGCTGCCACCGGAGAGGAATCGTGTTAACAGTCTTATTTGTTTCTGTCAAAAAATTTCATAGACAACCGTAGAAGAGATGTTTTCCCCTTGATGCAGTAAAAATGATTAATTTTATTAAAGTTCAACTCGAGTTGTGTGTGTTCTGTGTGACGAAATGGGAAGTATACATAAAGGACTTCTGTTGCATACCTCAGCACAATGTTATCTCCCGAAAAAGCACTCCTCCAACTTATTCCGTTGCAAGCATAACTAGTGGCTTTTTCAGAAAACACCATTTTTATTTGAAAGAATGATTAAGAAGCTATGGTTATTAAGACTTGGTATTTGACAGACATGATTTTTTTTTTTTAATTTTTAATTAACCAAGTGAGCCTGCCACTTCAAGGAAAACAACTGACAGTATTTGTGACCAATGATAAGATTGGGGCTTTCTAGCAAAAAATTTGAATGTTGCAAAACTTGTATCCATTATCATGAGCTTGACAACTTCCAACTTCTGACTTTAATGAAATTGTTCGTGATAGCAGTGTAATTTTAAGAAGTTTAGTTGACAGTAAGTATTGTACGTATATATGGGATATAGAGTGATATTTCGATACATGTATAAATATGTAATGATCAAATGAGAGTTTTTTCATTTGCTTGCAAAGGCACAAGATTTTAAGCAAAACAAAAACGGTGCCCCTGAAATAAAGAGGATAAACCTGATGTGTAGCTCAAATTATTACATGACAGCTGCAATTTCGATTGGATCCCTTTTGGCGCCGTTTTGACAGAAACACGAAAAAATAATAATAAACTAATAAAGATAAGATCTTCCTCTTCTTGTAGCTTATATCAATCAGGGAACAGAGCTTTTAGGAAGTCCCTGAACACCAGCTCTCGTTTGTAGCTTCCTTTATGATGACGCTAGACAGGGTCATTCTGGAATATTGCAAATGTTTTATCATTAGTAATGTAAGCTTTTGGATGATGATGGAACATGGGCTAAGGCTAGCATGCTCGTATTTTTTTTTTCTCATTTACTCTATCTCCCTGTCCACACTAAGACTGAAGGACTGCCCTCTTTGATTTTCCTTGGTAAAGTGCTCGCCACTCGGGCTTGGAGCCCGAGGACTCTCATCGAATTGCTAGTCACATACACAATTAACCAACTTTTCTTTCACGAATTATTTCTGATGTCATGTCTAAGAACTCTTCAGGCAAGGAGCGATGTCTCACGCCTGTAATCCCAGCACTTTGGGAGGCCGAGGCGGGTGGATCGCCTGAGCTCAGGAGCTGGAGACCACCGAGGGCAACATGGTGAAACCCCGTCTCTACTAAAAATACAAAAAAATTAACCAGGTATGGTGGCGCGCGCCTGTAGTCCCAGCTACTTGGGAGGCTGAGGCAGGAGAATCGCTTGAGCCCCAGAGGCGAAGGTTGCAATGAGCCGAGATGGTGCCACTGCACTCCAGCTTGGGCTACAGAGTGAGACTCTGTCCCAAAAAAAAGATAACTCTTCACCTAGCCCTCTGTTCTCAAATCTTTGCTACTGGCTAAGGTCAAACTCAACTCATTTCTTGATGTTTCCTCACTCTAAGCAAGTAAAAGTTGCATTTTTAGCGCCTGGACAGGGACTTGAACCCTGGACCCTCAGATTAAAAGTCTGATGCTCTACCGACTGAGCTACCCAGGCTCCTTAGGGAACTGTTTCATACAGTTCTACAAATAGGATCAATGATTATCACGGTTCAGTGATCTTACATGCGAAAAGAGTAATTCAGTGGAAGTTCCACAGAATCAGTTCAACCACCATTCGTTTATGTTTTCTTCAGGTTGATAGAAAAGAAATGTAAGCAACATCAAAAAACCAAATTCTTATTTGTGTGGTTCGTGGAAAGAAAAATAAACAAGAAAACAACTGATTGCCCCTAATAAATATTTATGTAATGTTTAGTTAAATCCGTCAGCAGTGTCATATTTACTGCGCAACAAGAAATAACCAAAAAAGACACAAAGAGGAACAAAGAAACAATTAAAAAACAAAAACAAGAGAAGTGGGAAGTTGGCCGGGAGCGGTGGCTCACGCCTGTAATCCCAGCACTTTGGGAGGCCAAGGCGGGCGGATCACCTGAGGTCAGGAGTTCGAGACCGGCCTGGCCAACATGGTGAAACCGCCTCTACTAAAAATACAAAAGAAAAAAAAAAAAAGTAGCCAGACGTGGTGGTGCATGCCTGTAATCCCAGCTACTCAGGAGGCTGAGGCAGGAGAATTGCTTGAAGCCGGGGGGTGCGGAGATTGCAGTGAGCCAAGATCGCGCCACTGTACTGCAGCCTGGGTGATAGAGCGAGAATCCGTCTCAAAAAAAAAAAAAAAAAAAAAAAAAAAAGTGGGAAGCAACCAGTGGAAAGCAATGGTAAGAGCCTGACAAATCTCATAAAATCTCCCATTATTTTTTTCTTGGTGCAAGAAAAAAGCAAGTCATTAAAAAGGAAGAGAATGTCGTGGTGACTGTGATGGGCCTACTTTGTACTTTTCACTGCTCTGGGGTGTTCTTGCCTGTCTAAAAGAATTTTGACAAACGTGATACCTACCACAATTTTTTCAGTGGACATCTAACGTTTTTCATTAAGTTTAAATTTTTCTGAAGGATATAGTGACTTGTATCATAGGAATCTAAAAACCACAGTAATTTAATACTTACCAGCAACCTTTTAAAAGAGAGAGGTGAACATTGCTACCTCTTTAATTGTGGAAGATTTTACATTGATCCTTTATTTCTCTGCATTCATAGTGCCATTGCCTGTCTCTTATAGAATTTTTATCCCAGTACAATGTCATTTTGTAGTTTTTTCTTGATCTTTCTATGATACTTCTTTGGACCAAATATAGGTATAAATATTGAAGTCCATTGTTATTTCCTGTTACCCAAAATGTGTGTTAAAAATAGTTTTTCTGGATTGTGTTATATTTGCATCTACTGCTAGTACATAATCAAAACATAATAGGTAAATAACAATTTTAAAGCCCCTTTACTGAAAGGTGTAATGGAAGTCAATGTGGAATTTGTCATCCCCTTTCCTCCAAGAAATTGTACACAATATGCAAGTCCACCTCGATGGATGGAGGCTCTAACTTAGTATTCCCAATTGTTTCCATGTTGGGAGCTCGAGAGGAGAGAATTTTTAGGCCTGGAGCAATGTGTCATAGGCAAACAACTACCAGAAATTTATCAAGTGATATCTTTCCATGGAGTGCCATCACTGATTTGATTATCAGACTTTTAGGGAAAATACAGAAGTAGATTTAAACTCTGAGTTGCCTGTAGGCCAGGATGGTTTTGATCTCTCAGTCTCTGAGGTCATGAGCCCAGCAGGCTTCTACTGTGCCACGCTGCTTACGAATAGGTAGCACTGCTAATATTCCGTTCAATTTTTACTGTTTTTCCAACATGAAGATGGTTTCATTGTTTTCCTGAGTCTTTTTCATTCCTTCCTCCTTACTCACTCCTCCCTTTTTCTGCCTCTTTAAAATTGGCCCCTTCAAGAAGCAGGTGTCTTCAGTCCCTCCATCTCTACGCAGTCCCAATCTGTCAAATATTTGACCTTTGAAGTCCTTTCTTCAAAAGCTTCCTTGAGCTCAGAGGAGGAACTACAGAGAGAATCCAGGAGGAGCCCAGCAAGCAAAGCCCTCGGGAAACCCTGCTTGAGAAGAACCGGGGGAGCTATGGAATTAACACCTCTGCCTCAGGGAGCAAGTGTCTTAACCACCTCCTATCAAAAATCTCAAAGGGTTTTCTTTGCATGGAAGGGAGCCAGACTTTCAGAATTTCATTTCTGATTGGATAACGTTTGGATCCGTTTTGACAGGAACCAGGAGTTCCTGTGTTTGAAAACCGGAGCTTATTTCAGGCAACTGGGCTTTTGTTGAGGCTGCCTCTGAGTTGGTATGTTCTAGGAGTTACCTGACTATATGCCAAATAATTTTCTTCCACACAGAAGTGACTAGAAGCCACATAAATATTGCCCACCAAACCCCAATTTTAAATCTCTACAATTTAACTTTCCAAAAACTCCTGTAGTCGTTCCTCCGACAGAACAAGTGTGACAGAGAAGTTGAAGTGGAAGGGACAGTGAAATTCCTGATTGTTTCATGTCCTCTCTTGCTTGTGGACTTTGCAGTTGCATTTTCACTGGAGGGTCCTCCCCTTTTCTTATTTGCCAGTTCCTACTTGTCCTTCAGATCTCAGTTTAGACATAACCCATTACCTCTTTCTGAAAGTTTTTGCTGACTCCCCAAGAGTGGTTTTAGAAGCTCCTGGAATATACACAGGATTCCTGAGATTATTTTAGTTATATTAATAGTACTTACTATTATATGCATAAATTAAATGATCGCTTACCTGATCCTACCCTAAATATTAGCATACTCAGGGCTCAGTCCTTAAATACCATATATATACAAATGCTTCTTTCCATCTTGGAATGCTGCTTCACACACCAGACTCGCTACCTTTTTTTTTTTTTTTTTGGGGGGACGGAGTCTTGCTCTGTGGCCCAGGCTGGAGTGCAGTGGCACGATCTCAGCTCACTGCAACCTCCCCTGCCTCCCAGGTTCCAGCGTTTCTACTGCCTCAGCATCCTGAATAGCTGAGATTACAGGCACATGACACCACACTCAACTAATTTTTGTATTTTTAGTAGAGATGGAGTTTCACTATATTGGCCAGGCTGGTCTCAAACTCCTGACCTCAGGTGATCCACCCACCTCGGCCTCCCAAAGTGCTAGGATTACAGGTGTGAGCCTTGGTGCCTGGTCTGCAGCTGCTTTTTTGACAAGCATTTTTTACCTTTCAAAAAAATAAACTCCTGGTTATTCTTCCAGGCTTGCTTCTCAAGAATCTTCCCCATCTCAATAAACAGCCAGTCCATCCGTGCTATCATCTGTGATTGCTCTTTCCTTCAGATCCTATATCCCATCAGCTCTACCTTCAAAATATATCCATAACCTAACCATTTTTTTTTTACCACTTCCATTGCTACCATGCTAGAAAATCTATCATCACATCTCACACAGATTTTCACAATATGCTCTTCACTGGTCTCCCTGCTTCTATTTATCACCGCCCTCTTACTATGTATTCTAAATGCAGCAGCAGTGCCTCTGTTCAAGACTCTCCCAGGGTTCCCTTCTCATTCAATTTAATAGCCAAAGTGCTTCTAGTGGCCTGTGAGGGCTCTTCTCCCTGTTCTTCCCCTCTAGCCACAAGACCCCCTTGCTCTTCCTCAAATGTCAGGCATACTCCTGCCTCAGGCCTTTGCACTTGCTGTTTGCCTGGAAACTCCTTTTCCCAAATATGTGCCCTGTTCCTCTCCTTATCCCCTTTAGGTCTTTTCTTAAATATCACTTTCTCAGTGGGGACTTCTCCTGTTCGACATCTTTAAAAATACAAAACATTGAAAAAAAAAAAAACACCAGCCATTGCTATTATCTTTCCTGCTTTATTTTTCTAAGTAATGCTTATCACTATCTAGTATATTACATATTTTACTTATTCATTTCATTTCTTTGCATTTCACGTTAGAATACAAAATCCATGAGGAGAGGAAGTTTTGCCCATTTTATTCACAGCCATAGCCCCAGTGCCCAGCAGAGTACTTGTGATGTAGCAGCTACTCATTAATAATTTGTTAAATAAATGGTTCACCAGAGTACAAGGAAACACTCAATACATAAGTTTTTCCTGAAAGGGGACAGGAATGGTCTGTTCATTGCTAAATGTTCTGAACTCTGTTTGTATAGCTCCCTGTTGTGATTATGTGTGTAAACCTGACCAAATTGCTAACCACAGGGCTGTTTAATCACATTGATCCACCATGCTGGTCAGTGCTTGTATGAGAAGTTAAAGCTTGACCCTGCAGTAGGACTAAGCATCTGAGACTTACAGTCCCATCTGGGGAGCTGCAGGTATTGATCCGCGTAATCCCTAATTCTTTCCAAACCTTTTCTCTGTCCAGAAACAAACACTGACTCCTGAGCTCCTGGCTCCTAAGAATGAAGATAACACATGAAGCCTTGAGGGAGTGGGAATCTGTTCTAAGAAGACATACTTTTCTCTGAGGTCTCTTATAGGGCTTTAAGAGATTTTGTTTGTTAATTTGGCTTATATTTTGAAAAGGTAATACACTCACAGAGTTTAAAAGACAAATAAATAGTTACAGTGAAAAGTTTCCTCCCATCCGTCACCTACCTACTTGGTTTCTACCCTTTCCTTCATCCTCCAGAGGTTTCTGCTATTATTAATTTCTTGTCTATTCTTCTTTATCTACTTGCATATAAATACAAATATAGATTCATATGTTCTGGACCTTGCTTTTGATACTTCACAATATATTTTGGAACTCTTTCCACATTAATATATAAAAAGCTTCCGTGTTTATGTTTTTCTATTGTGAAATATACAGAGAAGTAAATAAGACCTACGTGTAGAGCTTTGAAAAGTAGTTTTACAGTGTACACATGTTTAACCATAACTCAGGATAAATAGAGCAACGCTGTCATGCCTCTTCCATTCACAACCTCTGCCTTGCACACTCTCTTCACTCCCACAGAAAATCACAATCCTGACTTATGGTAATCATTTATTTACATTCTTTTTTTTTGTTTGTTTTTTTGAGACAGAGCCTCTCTCTGTCGCCCAGCCTGGAGTGCATTGGGGTGATCTCAGCTCACTGCAACCTCCGCCTCTCAGGTTCAAGTGATTCTCATGCCTCAGCCTCCCGAGTAGCTGGGATTATAAGCACACACCACCACATCCGGCTAATTTTTGTATTTTTAGTAGAGACAGGGGTTCACCTCGTTGGCCCGGCTGGTCTCAAACTCCTGACCTCAGGTGATCTGCCAACCTCGGCCTCCCAAAGTTCTGGGATTACAGGCATGAGCCACTGTGCCCAGTCCATTTATTTACATTTTAATACATTTTACCACCTACACATATATCCCTGAACAATACAACATAATTTTGTTTGGTTTGAAATTTACATAAGTATAATCATACTTTCTTTTTGTGTCGCCTTTTCACAAAATTATTTTTATAAGATTCATTCATATTGTACATATCTCTGACCTGTCCGTTGTCATTGTTGACTTGCATTCAACACTATCCAATTTCTGTAAATGAGCACGCAGGTTGTTTCTAGTTCTTGGTTATACAAACAATACTACTATGAACATTCTCGTACATATTTGCACATGTGCAAACATTTCTCTTGGATATATATCTAGGATAATTGGATATGTATATCCTTAACTTACTGAATAATATCCAACTGTTTTCTAAAGTGGTTTTATCAATTTAGATTCTCAGTAGTAGTGATGAAAGTTCTTACTACTTGGGCCGGGAGCAGTGGCTCACGCCTGTAATCCCAGCACTTTGGGAGGCCAAGACGGGCGGATCACCAGGTCAGGAGATCAAGACCATCCTGGCTAACACGGAGAAACTAAAAATACCAAAAATTAGCCGGGCGTGGTGGCTGGCGCCTGTAGTCCCAGCTACTCGGGAGGCTGAGGCAGGAGAATGGCGTGAACCCGGGAGGCGGAGCTTGCAGTGAGCCGAGATGGCGCCACTGCACTCCAGCCTGGGTAACAGAGCGAGACTCCGTTTCAAAAAAAAAAGAAAGTTCTTACTACTTCACATCCTTACCAATAATGATTACTTTTTGTCTTTTTAATTTTAGCAATTCTGGTAGAAGATCAGTAGTATCTAATTACAGGATTAATTTGCAATTTCCTAATTTCTAATACGGGTGATTGCTGTAGTTGTTTTAAAATATGTCCACCAATTATTTGGCATTCTGCCCATCAAAAGGTAGAGTCTAATTCCCCTCTCTTTGACTATGGAGTGGAATTAATGACTTGCTTTTAACAAAAAGAGTGAAGCAGAAGTGACACCATTCCTGAAATCGCAGACTAAATGATAAAAGGCAAAATACCTTCTGCCTGATGCATTCACATATTCATTCATCCCCAATCTCTCTCTCTCAGCTTGTCCTTGAGATCTGGCCACCATGTTGCAAGGAAGCCAAGCAGCAGTGTGGAGAGCCTACATGTAGCTGATCCTATCAGAGTCCAAATTCAGGTTATAGCCAACAGCCAGAATCAACCTTCAGACATTTAATTGCTGGAATCTTCAGATAATTTGAGCCCAACTTCAAGCAGCCATAGCTCATGCACAGTGAATCAAAGACAAGCTGACCCCATGGCACTCAGATCTAATTGCAAGTTTGTGAACAAAATAAATGTTATACTAAGCCACTGACTTTTAGAGTGGTTTGTTTCATAACTAATATATAAACAGAACTTTTTTTTCTTTTTTTTTTTTTGAGACAGAGTCCCACTCTTTCGCCTAGGCTGGAGTGCAGTGGCGCGATCTCGGCTCACTGCAAGCTCCGCCTCCCGGGTTCTCACCATTCTCCTGCCTGAGCCTCCCAAGAAGCTGGGAGTACAGGTCCCGCCACCATGCCCGGCTAATTTTTTTGTATTTTTAGTAGAGACGGAGTTTTACAGTGTTAGCCAGGATGGTCTCGATCTCCTGACCTCGTGATCCGCCCGCCTCGGCCCCCCCAAAGTGCTGGGATTACAAGCGTGAGCCACCGCACCCAGCCAACAGAACTATTAACTTTCAATGTGACCATTTTGGATCTCATCTTGTGGGAAGTCTCTGTTTTTCCCCATTTTTCTATTGAATTGTCTATATTTTTCTCATGGACTGATACAAGTTCTTTATATATTCTGTGTTTTCATGTCAATTCTGGGTAAATTATTTATATTGCAAATAACTTCTCTGACCTGTGACTTTCAGTTTCTTTTGATGAATATAGTTCTTTATTTTATTTATTTATTTATTTATTTATTTATTTATTTATTTACTTACTTACTTACTTTGAGATGGAGTCTCACTCTGTTGCCAGGCTGGAGTGCAGTGGCATGATCTCGGCTCACTGCAACCTCTGCCTCCCAGGTTCAAGTGATTCTCCTGCCTCAGCCTCCTGAGTAGCTGGGACTACATGCGCCTGCCATCACACTAGGCTAATTTTTATATTTTTAGTAGAGATGAGGTTTCACCTTGTTGGCCAGGATGGTCTCGATCTCTTGACCTCGTGATCCGCCTGCCTCAGCCTCTCAAAGTGCTGGGATTACAGGAACGAGCCACCGCACCCGGCCTATTTCATTTATTCTTAACTTACAAATTTAATGTCATTGAATTCATCTTTTCCCCTAATATTTAGTATCATTATGTGTTGTTCCTTGTTTAAGAAATCCTCTCCTATCCAAAAGTCCTGTGGATATTTTCTATATTCTCTTCTAAATGCTGCACCTGAAATTTTGATGTGTGTGATATATTTTCCATAAGGATATCTAATTATGTCAGCATGATTTACTGAATAGTTCTTTCTTTTCTTACACTTCTACAGTATCCCATTTATTATCCACCAAATGTGCTTTTTTTTTTGTTGGTCCATTGGTCCATTTGTCCATCCTTGTACCGATACCACACTGTCAGTTTACAAAGCTTTAAATGAAGTTTTCACACAGGGTTGAACAAGTTTTCTCTTAGTTCCTTCTTCATCAAGAATGTTTTAGCTATTCTTGGCTCTTTACATTTTCATTAAAATATTTAGAAAAGCTTATTAAACTCAATAAAATTTTGAGATTTTAGTTGGAGTTACATTAATCTATTAATTTTAGATGAACAGATATTTAACAATATTGTAGGATTTTACAACTCATGAATATGTACTTTTGTTTCTCTAAGTCTTTTTTTTTTTTTTTTTTGAGATGGAGTTTCGCTCTTGTTGCCCAGGCTGGATTACAATGGTGCGATCTTGGCTCCCTGCTACCTCTGCCTCCTTGGTTCAAGCGATTCTCCTGATTCAGTCTCATGAGTAGCTGGGATTACAGGTGCATGCCACTATGCCTGTCTAACTTTTGGTAATTTTTTAGTAGAGACAGGGTTTCACCATGTTGGCCGGGCTGGTCTCGAATGCTTGACCTTAGGTGATCCACCCACTTCGGCCTCCCAAAGTGCTGGGATTCCAGGCATGAGCCATCGCACCCAGGCCTCATTATTATATTGTATAATTACAATAATAATAAAATACCCACAAAGTATCTGGCACTTTATATCATCTCATTTAACCCCTAATGAAACTCTGTGTAGGTAATCATGCATATTTTACAGATGAAGGAACTACCTCTGAGAGGTTATATTAACTGACCAAAAGTTACTCAGTTGTCAAGTGGAGAAACTGGTGCCCTTAACCATTTTTTTTTTTTTTTGAGATGGAGTCTCACTCTGTTGCCCAGGCTGGAGTGCAATGGCCGGGTCTTGGCTCACTGCAACCTCTGCCTCCTGAGTTCAAGCAATTCTCCTGCCTCGGCCTCCCGAGTAGCTGGGACTACAGGTCCGTGCCACCACACCCGGCTAATTTTTGTATTTTTGGTAGAGATGGAGTTTCACCATGTTGGCCAGGCTGGTCTTGAATTCCTGACCTTGGGATCTGCCCGCCTCAGCCTCCCAAAGTGCTGGGATTACAGGCGTGAGCCATCGCGCCTGGCCTGCCCTTAAACATTTTCTATACTGCTTCTCGCAAATGTGCATTCCATTTAAGATAATGGATATACTCTTCAACATTATCCTGTTGGGGGGGTCCACCAGATTGAGTCTGGTTAACAAGTTTCATGTCTGTAATAGACTGAAGGGAACTGACTTTGATTTCCAGGTAAGTTAGAGTAAAACAAATGCTCCAACGTCCCTGACAGATTTGGGTGGAGAGTACGTGGGTACTTAAGAAAGCAACAAACCTTCACCTTTCTTGAAGCATGATTTAGATTTCCTTTGTAATATGTTTGCTTTGGAGGTGCTCGTATTCGGCTTGCTGCCCAGATTTGGGCACATCACTTGGGAAGAAAGGTCTATTAATAGTTGATAATTTAAGATTAAGCTCAAAACCACGTTTTGGGAAAAGGCCAATCTCCCACATCTTGAACATGGCTGTACCTTCTGAGCATGTACCTGCCCCATAGAGGCACTTTCTCTCAGCCTTTTCACTTCTCCAAAGATTGTGCTAACCTACTGGGACATCTAACCTACCAACCTACCCTCCTGCCTGAATTCATGATCGATGAATTTATGATGAAACCAGATCATTTTCTTTTCACACATCACCACACCCAGCTAATTTATATATTTTTTTTGTAGAGACAGGGTTTTGCCATGTTGCCCAAGCTGGTTTCAAACTCTTGAGCTCAAGTTTTCCACCCTCCTCAGCCTCCCAAAGTGCTAGGATTATATGCATGAACCAATGCACCCAGCTGAAACCAGGTCATTTTCTATTGAAATGTAACTGGTAAGAGATACAATCAATTTAAGACCTCTGCTGACTGCTTATTATCATGCTTCCCTTTAAAGCCATTTGAAACTTTCCTTATTCTCATCACAGGCACATGAGGTAATATGACTCATTTATGGTCAATGGAATATATATTAAAATATTGCACAAAACCTGTAGGTCATGCCTCTAATGGGAAAATGTCATCTTTCAATTCCTGCCAGCTTGAAAACAGGCAAGATGCCTTAACCTCAAAATGGAAGCATAGGTTGAAGATGATGGAGCAATGAGATTGCAAGATCCTATGTTCCTGCTATTATGGACTTCTTATATCTGTGAATTCTGGGTGGCTTATGTCCTTAGACTTTGTGTAACCACTGATATTCTGAGTCTAAGACATATTCCTATATACTAACAACCTCTGAGTACAGAGCCAAACCTGAATGGAAATCAAGTAGGTATAACAAATAACCTCAGTATATTAAAACATGCATGTAAAGAGAAATGGAAGAAGTTATTTTACATTAATAAAGACTAACAGGCTCCTCTCATAAACAGGAAAAACCAAATTGATACTTCATGAAGACCAAACCAACTAAGTGATTCACTATTTCAATGGGAGAGTTATTTCCAAAGTTATTTTTGAATAAGCTATGGAAGAACATGCCAGAATAAATTATGCATGAAGGTCCAGTATCCATAGCTGGAGTTTGGTGGTCAGTTGCTAGAGATAATTGAGCATATCAAGTTAAAAAATTCCAAGACAGTTGTGTTAAGTATAGGAGTTAGAAATTATTATGGAGACCGACATCTATTGTCTTAGTTTATTCAGGATGCTATAACAAAATACCTTAGACTAGGTAATTTATAAACAACAGAAATGTATTGTTCACAGTTTTGAGGGCTGGAAATTTCATTCAAGATCAAGGTGCCAGCAGATTTGGTGTCTGATGAGGGCTTGCTCTCTGCTTGATAGATGATGCCTTCTATGTGTCCTTGCATGGCCCAAATGGCAAACAAGCTCCCCCAGGCTTCTTTTATAAAAGGAATAATTTTATTCATGAGGGTGTAGCCTTCATTAACTGATTATCTCTCAAAGGATACAGCTCTTAATACCATCACATTGGGGATTAGGTTTCAACATATGAATTTTGTATGGATGCAAACATTCGGACCATACCATTTCTGTACCTTAGTTGTCTATTTAAAGAAATAAAAGATTGCTGGATAGCATCAACTTTGATTTGAGTAATCACTGTAAATTTTGATTTAATTCATTTTAAATATATATATAAGTATATATATTTAAATATATAAATATATATATAAGTATATATATTTAAATATATAAATATATAGTGAAAGGTAGATGTGGTTATATATTTGTGGGTTGAACCAAACAGTTCTAAGACTCATCTTGCAAACCAAATAAAGTGCATGCCTTCCTTATGCTCTTGTTATTACAGAACTCACTTTCAGTCAATGTTACTAAAGCATCCTCCCTTATGCAGTTAATATTACAACACTCTTCCTGGGTCAATGAAAATTCACTGAGCATCTACTAAATCTCTACTTTTACCTAGCTTCTGTGAAGTTCTAAAACTCTAACGTATGGATCCTACCCTCAAAGAACTTGTTACTGAACATCACAGTACCAATACGTACTAAACACCATGAGAATATACACTACAGAAATTCAAAAAAAGAAGAGATGAGTGTTGAATGGAGCTGATGAAGGCAAATAATAATAAACTAAAACTATGTATGTGCTAGGCCGGCCATGAGAAGCTTGAAAGAGGTAGGAGTAAGAAAAACAAAGGAGGATATTCCAGTTGCAGTTAGCACATGGTAAAAGTGTTGGGAAGTAGGAGTGAAAGTGACTGAAATGTGTTTCAGTGAGTAGGATGGTATTTGCTGTATGGGGAATTCAGTAAATGAATTTTCTCAGGTTGAAACAGCAACAACAAAAAAGCCATATGATTATAGGTGCATGACAATCTTACATTTAACTAATATTAATACTTTAAAAATCCATTGCATAATAATTCACTACAGTATTCTTATATTCCAAGACCATCAAATTTGCTTAGTTATCAAGTTCCATTTTTTTTTTAAAAAAAGTTTCTTTGCATATAAAACAATACATGTGCACTAAGATTGGAAAATAAAATGATAACCAATAAAATCCCACATTTTGTTGCATATAATTCGAGTGATTATATAAATTATTTATATATATACACACACACTGTACTTAGTTTTAACCTTTTTTTGCTTTATATTAATTTTTACTAAATATTCTATATTATTATTTTTAAAGATTCTATAATATTCCAGCTTATTTAACCAATTTCCCACTGTGAAACACAAATTGGTTGTTTCTAGCTTTTCATCCATGTAGCAAAGTTAAATTAATAATCCTTGTTGTGGCCAGGGGCAATGGCTCATGTCTATAATCCTAGCACTTTAGTAGGCTGAGGAGGGCGGATTGCTTGAGTCCAGGAGTTTGAGACCAGTCTGGGCAAAATGGAAAAAGCCTATCTCTACCAAAAATAAAAAAATTAACTGAGCATGGTGGCACATGCCTATAGTCCCAGCTATAGGCCCAGCCTCCCTGGGAGACTGAGGTGGGAGGGTCACCTGAGCCCAGGGAGGTCAAGACTGCAGTGAGCTGTGATTGCACCATTGCACTCCAGCCTATGAGACAGACTGAGACTCCATCTCAAAAAAAAAAAAAAAAAAAAAAAAAATCCTCATTAAGAGGGGGCTTCAAGATCCCTGACTAGAGGCACCCAGCACTTGCCTCTTTACACAGAAGGATTAAAACAGTGAGTAGATAACAACATATAAAATAACAGCTTCTAAGAGGGAACACTGGAATTCAGCAGGGAAGTGACAGGGAACCTCTGAGGCATGAAAGAAGAGGGAAGGAAAGCAGCTGGCCAAGCTGGATCAGCTCAGAGCCAGGAGGAAGTCCCCATTGCAGGAGGAGTAGGGGAAAGTAAGGGAGAGAATGCCAACAGTCGGTATTCCCACCATGGACTCCTGGAATCCTAACCAGCCACAAGAGAGCCCCTTGGCCCTCACAGGCCCTGAGACTTGTATAGGGAGCTGCCTGGAGTCCACACAATGGCATTGTTCCACAGGAGTTTGTGCTGGGTCCCACCAAGCTTCTGAGACCCAAGCAGTTGCAGCATGGTACTATATTGAGAGCCCAGCCCCCGCTGGACTACATCCTGCCCTGGGACTCCACAGCCCCCGCATCTCCACATCCCTAAAGCCCTGCTAACATACTCTCATGCCCACCCAGAGGGCTTCAGTGTCACTATGCTGGATGGATCCAGCAGTGCAGCCAGGTCCCCAGCACTGTTGTTCACAGTGTCTTACACCCTGGGAAGTGGGCAGTGCAACAAACTAGAGAGAGTGACCCCAGAATAAAAGGAGCGGAACCATGTACTCCCTAGATCATGAAAGCCACCTACTTAGGGCTGCTGCCACTGACAGCAACCCTATCTCCTTCAGGGCTGGGGCACTACACATCTGCATGTACCTTCAAGGGCCCTGAGGAATGGTCAACCAACATACTGTTTTGGGGCCTGAGGACAGGCCAACTCCAACTGTTGCCAACAGTGCCTGAGTGCACCATCTATAGGCCTGTGTATCAAACTGCCGTGCCTACTGCAACTGGTGGTGATGTGTGCCATCCAGGGGCCTGAGGACAGGTCTACCCAGCTGACCACCACCACCACTGGTGCCCAAGCATGTTATCTAAGGGTCTGGAGATTGACCCACCCTGCCTGTCAGTGCTGTCCATGCAAGCTGTCTGGAGGCCTGGAGATAGGCCTACCTTGCCCACCACTACTGGCATACATGTGTGCCATCCAGAGGTGTAAGACATGCACATTTCATCTTCTGCCAGTGTCCACATATGCCTCCCAGGGGCCCAGGGACTAGCCCACCCAGCCTGCCACTACCACAGCCACTGGCAGTCACCCACATGTGCCACCCAGGGCCCTGGAGACTAGATTACCTGGTCTGCTGGTGCCACTGCTGGTGCCACATGCATTGCTTGGGGTCCAAAGATTGGTCTACCATCATTGCCACTAGTGACCCCACGCACACCATGTGAGGGCCCAAGGACCTGCCCACCTAGTCCACTGCTGCCACTGCTAGCACCCAAGCAAGCCAGCTGGAGGCCCAAACACTGGTCCACTCAAGGGCCCATGAACTGGCACACCCAGCCCACTGCCACCAACACTGGTGCTGAAGGACCAGCCCACCTGGCATTCCATCCCTTGCAAAGCCTCACCACAGCCTTCATTAACAACTGCAACATAAGCCACTGAGAAAATCATAGACATTACTGACACTGATTATAGCCATAGAAACTATACTACTGTGCCCATCTAGAATCAACACCAACGCACGATACCCAACCAACAATACAGATAGCCTTTAAAGGAAAAAGTTTTTTTCCCTACAAAAGGCAATCCACAAAATTGGAAGAAGTGACTGTTACTCCAGATGCACAGATATCGACGTGGGCATGAGAAACATAAAAAAAGCAAGAAACATGACATCTCCAAAAGAAAACAGTAATTATTCAGTAATAGTTATCAATGAAAAATCTTTGAAATGCCTAAAAAAAATTAAAATAATGATATTAAAGAAACTCAGTGAGGTTGGACGCGGTGGCTCATGCCTGTAATCCCAACACTTTGGGAGGCTGAGGCGGGTGGATCATGAGGTCAGGAGATCAAGACTATTCTGGCTAACATGGTGAAACCCCGTCTCTACTAAAAATACAAAAATTAGCTGGGCATAGTGGCACATGCCTATAATCCCAGCTATTCAGGAGGCTGAGGCAGGAGAATTGCTTGAACCTGGGAGGCAGAGGTTGCGGTGAGCTGAGATTGTGCTATGCACTCTGGCCTGGGCGACAGAGCGAGACTCCATCTCAAAAAAAAAAAAAAAAAAAAGATGAACAATACAGAGGAATCAGAATAACAGTTAATTACCTGAATGAGAAATTCAATAAAGAGATATCATAAAAAGGAACCAAACAGAAATCCTGGAATTCAATGACTAAAATTGAAAATACAATCAAGGGCTTCAACAACAGATCAAGTCAAGCAGACAAAATAATTTCTGAACTTGAAGACGGGTCCTTTGAAATAACCCAGCACACCAAAAAAATAAATAAATAAAATTAAAAAGAATGATAAGTCTACATAATGTATGGGACACCATAAAGTGACCAAATATTTGAATTCTGGGAATTCTAAGAGGAGAAAACATGGAAAGAGGCACAGAAAACCTATTTAATAAAATAATATCTGAAAAATTCCCAAGTCTTGAAAGAGATATAGATAACTAGGTACAAAAAGAACAAAGATCCCCAAATAGACTGAACCCAAGGCAGGTTATAGTCAAATTGTCAAAAGTCAAAGACAAAGAATTCTAAGAACAGCAAAAGAAAAGCATCGAGTAACATAAAAGGGAATCACCATCAGACTAACAGGGAATTTTTCTGTGGAGAAATTCAGGAGAGAATGGGATAAGAAATTCAAAGTGCTGAAAGGGAAAAGAAAATCCAAAACTGTCAGCCAAGTCTACCATACCCAGCAAAGCTATCCTTAAAAATGTAGAATAAAGAAAGTCTTTCCCAGACAAGCAAAAACTGAGGGAACTCATCAGTCCTAAAGAAATGCTTAAGGGAATCCTACATCTGAAAACAAAAGGACACTGTCTACCATCAGGAAAACACAGAGAAGTATAAAACTCACTTGTAGAATGGATAGACAAATGAGAAGGGAGTCAAAGTTACCACTACAAAAAAAATTGTAAAGGTAAAGAATAAAAGAGAAAGGAACAAAGAATATACAAAACAATCAGGACACAACAAACAAAATGGCAGGAGTAAGTCCTCGCCTATCAATAATAACCTTGAATGTACATAGTTTATATAATTATATAATGATGAAGGGATAAATTCAGCAAAAGGACCTAACAATTGTAAATATATATGCACCCAACACTGGAGCACCCAGATGTATAAAGCAATTATTATTAGAGCTAAAGAGAGAGATCTTAATAAAATAATAGTTTGGGACTTCAACATCTCACTTTCATCACTGGACAGATCATCCAGACAGAAAATCAACAAACATTGGACTTAATCTGCACTACAGACCAAATGGACCTAACACAACATTTACAGAACATCTCGTCCAACAGTTGCAGAACACATGTTCTTCTCATCAGCATCTGGAACGTATGGTCTCCAGGATAGACCACATGTTAGGCCACAAGACAAATCTCAACACATTTTTAAAAGTCAAAATATCAAGTATCTTTTCAGACCACAATGCAATAAAACTAGAAATCAATAACAAGGGGAATTTTGGAAACTAAAAATACATGGAAATTAAACATGCTCCTGGATTACCATTGGGCCAGTGAAGAAATTAAGAAGAAAAAAGATTTCTTGAAATAAATGAAAATAGAAACACAACTGACCAAAACCTATGGGACACAGCAAAAACAGTATTAAGAGGCAAGTTTATAGCACTAAATGCCTAAATAACTGGAAAGATTTTAAATAAACAAACTAGTGGTGCACCTCAAGGATAGCAAATGCAAGAACAAACCAAATCTCAAATTAGTAGAAATAATAAAGATCAGAGCAGAACTAAATGAAATGAAGACTGAAAAAATCACAGGGATCAATGAAACAAAAAGTTTTTTAAGATTAACAAAATTGATAAACCACTAGCTAGGCTAACCAAGAACAAGAGAAGATCCAGATAAATACAATCAGAAACTAAGAAGAAAACATTACAACTGATACTAAAGAAATACAAAGGATCATTAGAGACTACTATGAACAATTATATGCTAATGAAGTAGAAAGCCTAGAGGAAATAGATAAATTTCTGGACACATACAACCTACCAAGATTGAAACAGAGAACCTAAACAGACCAACAACGAGTAACAAGATTGAATCAATAAGAAAAAGTCTCCCAACAAAGAATAGCCTATGAGCAAATGGCTTTACTGCTGAATTCTACCAAATTCATAAATAAGAACTAATACTAATTCTTCTAAAGCTATTCCAAAAAACTGAAGGAGAGAATTCTTCTTAAGTCATTTTACAAGGCTAGCATTACCCTGATACCAAAATCAGACAAGGACACAGCAACAAACTTATAGGTCAATATCCCACATAATCATAGATACAAAAATTCTCAACAAAACACTAGGAAACCAAATCCAACAACACATCAAAAATACATCATAGTTAAATAGGATTTATCCCAGGGATGCAGAGATGGCGGCTCAGCATACACAAATCAATAAATGTGATATATCACATCAAGAGAATGAAGGACAAAAACCATATGATCATCTCAACAGATGCAGAAAACGCATTTGATAAAATTCTACATCACTTCATGATAAAAACTCTCAACCAATTAGGTGTAGAAAGAACATAATTTAACATAATAAAGGCCATATATGACAAATCCACAGCTAACCTTATACTGAATGGGGAAAACCTGAAAGCCTTTCTTTTAAGAACTGACACAGAAAAAGTGTTGGTGGAAGGGCTGAGGCAAGGCTCACTTGTCTGACATAATGTAAAAGAGTCTTGGAACATGTCCTGGGTCCAGGGTCTAAAACCCCTTGTGGCCTTTGGAACACCAAACTCTGCCAAAGGGTGGAAGGCTGCCCTGCTCCACTACAATCTAAGCCCAGGGCATAAAACCCCTTGTGGCTTGGAGAGAACCCAGGGCTCAGGGCCCCTCCTAGCCTCTGGAATGTGTCCAGACTCGCTGGCCCCTTGCTCCTTGCTCTCCCAAGATCATAAATTGATTGTATCTTGAATTAGAAGAACTGTTCTCCCTTATCTCAAGTAGCAGAGCATATGCTAAACTGTCACAGCTACGCTTGATGCACCGCTACCTTTCTACCCCCACGTCCTCACGTCCTCACCTGTCTACCCCCACGTCTGCATGTCCTCACCACCTGCTTCTTTGATTACCAATAAACAGTGTGGGTTCCCAGAGCTGGGGGCCTTCACAGCCTCCATACTTGTGTTGGCCCCCTGGACCCACCCTATGTACTCTTAACTTGTCTTGTCTCATTCCTTTGACTCTGCTGGACTTTGTAGTCCCCATGACCTGGTGTTGGGTCTGATCACCCGAACAAAAAGGTGAGTGTTCACTACTCCTACTCAACCTAGTATTGTTAAGTACTAGGTAGAGTAGCTAGACAAAAGAAAGACAAGTCATGCAAATTGTAAAAGAGGAAGTCAAATTGCACCTCTCTGCAGACATCATGATCTTGTATCTAGAAAGGCCTAAGACTCCACCAAAAAACTTGTAGAACTGATAAACGAATTTAGCAAAGTTGCAAGATACGAAAATTAACATACGAATGTTAGTTGCATTTCCACACATCAACAATGAACTAGCTGAAAAATAAATCAAGAAAAAATTCCATTTACAATAGCTACAACATAAAATATAAACATAAAATACCTAGGAATAAATTTAGCCAAGGACTTGAAAGACCTCTACAAGGAAAACTATGAAACACTGATGAAAAACAACTGAAGAGGGCAAACAAATATAGACTCACTTGCTCATAAATTGGAAAAATTAATATCGTTAGAATGACCATACTACCCAAAGCAAACTACAAATTCAATGCAAACCCTAAACCAATTATATTCTTCAAAGAAATAGAAAAAAAATCCTAAAATTCATATAGAACCACAAAAAAAAAAAAAAAAAAACTCAAATAGCCAAGGCAATACTAAGCAAAATAACAAAGCTGGAGAGCATCACACTACTTGACTTGAAAATATACTATAAAGCTGTAGTAACCAAAGCAGCATGGTACTGGTATAAAAACAGACACATAGGCCAATGCAACAGAACAGAGAATCCCCAAATGAACCCATATATTTACAGCCAACTGATTTTCAACAAAGATGACAAGAACATACATTGGGAAAGAACAACCTCTTCAAGAAATGATGCTGGGAAAACTGGATATTCTTATGCAGAGGAATGAAACTAGACTCCTATCTCTTGCCATATACAAAAATCTACTCAAAATAGATTAAAGTCTTAAACATAAGACCCAAAACTATAGAACTACTAAAATAAATCACAGTGGAAATGCTTCAGGGCTTTAGTCTAGGCAAATATTTTATGGCTAAGACTTCAAAAACACAGGCAACAAAACCAAAAACAAGCAAACGGAACCACATTAAACTCAAAGCTTCTGCACAGCAAAAAATTCAACCAACAGAGCAAAGGGACAACCTGTAGAATGGAAGAAAATATTTGCAAACTATTTATCCAACAAAGGATTAGCATCCAGAATATACAAGGAACTCATATAAGAGCAAAAGAAAAACCACAAAACAATAATCTTATTAAAAAGTAGACAAAGTATCTGAGTAGACATGTCTCAAAGGAAGATGTGCAAATGTGCAGTAGGTATATGAAACGATGCTCAACATCATTCATTATCAGGGAAATGCAAATCAAAACCATGATGTGGTATCATCTCACCTCAGAATTGCTATTATAAATAAAAGTAACAAATGCTGGTGAGGATGCAGACCAAAGGGTACTCTTATACACTGTTGGTGGGAATATTAATTAGTACAGTCATTATGGACAATAGAATGGAGGTTTCTTAGAAAACTAAAATCAGAACTACCATATGATCCAGCAATCCCACTAGTGGGCATTTATCCAAAGGAAAATCAATTAGTATATCAAAGGGATATCTGCACCCTATGTTTATTGCAGTACTACTCACAAAGGTGAAGATATGGAATCAACAAGTGTCCATGAATGGATGAATAAAGAAAATGTGATACATATACATAAATGGAATACTATTCAGCCATAAAAAGAGTGACATTCTGACATTTGCAGCAATGTGAATAGAACTGGAGGTGTTTATGTTAAGTGAAGTAACCCAGGTATGAAAGACAAATATTGCAAATTCTCATTCATATATGGGGGCTCAAAAGGCCAACCTCATAGAGGTAGAGTAGAGTAATAGTCACCAGAGGTTGGGAAGTGGTGAGGCAATGAAGAGAGGTTGGTCAGTGGCTACACACAGATAGAAGGCGTAAGTTCTAGTGTTTGATAGCACAATAGGGTGACTATAGTTAGCAATAACTTATTGTATATAGTCATGCACCACATAATAACTTTTCTATGAATGATGGACCACATACATGATGGTGGTCCCATAAGATTATTCTGGACCTGAAAAATACCTATTATCGAGTGACGTCTTGATGATCCCAAGTTTGTGTCGGCCTAGGCTAATGTATATGTTTGTGACTTAGTTTTTAACAAAAAAGTTTTAAAGGTTTTTTTTATAAAGCTAAAAATAGGAAATAGTTTACAGAATAAGGATATATTTGTACAGTTATACCATGTGTTTGTGTTTTAAGCTAAATGCTATTACGAGAGTCAAAAAATTAAAATGAGTTAAAAGTTAAAAAATTAAAAACTTTTAAGTTTATAAACTAAGTTTAGTTTACAGTAAGATAAGATCAATTTATTATTGAAGAAATTATAAAGTAAATTTAGTGTAGCCTAAGTGTACAGTGTTTATAAAGTTTACAGTAGTGTACAGTAATGTCCTAGACCTTCACATTCACTCACCACTCATTCACTGACCCACACACAAGCAACTTCCAGGCCTGCCAGTTCCATTCATGGTTAGTGTCCTATATAGGCGTACCATTTTTTATGTTTTATACTGTACTTTAGGTGTACCTTTTTAATATTTAGATACACAAATATCACTGTGTTACAATTGCCTACAGCATTCAGTACAGTAACATGCTGTACAGGTTTGTAGTCTAGGAACAATAATATCATATAGCTTAGCTTAGGTGTACAATAGGCTATTTCGTCTAGGTTTGTGTAAGTACATCCCATCATGTTTGCACATCCAAATCTATTTATCAATGATACATTTCTCAGAAAACATCCATGTCATTAAGTAACACCTAACTATATTTCAAAATAGCTAGAAAATTCAAAATGTTCCTAAGACGAAGTAATAAGTGTTTGAAGTGAATATCCTCAATATCCTGATTTGATTACATATTGTATGCATCAAAATATCACATGTACCTCATAAATACATATAATTATTAGCAGTAAAAGTTAATCTAAATAAATCATCATTGGTAAGTCTGTATGTATATCCAAGACTGCTTCCTTAAAATACATTTCCAGAAATGAACATGCTAGGTTAACCAACGTAAATATTTCTAAGTCCCATGTTGCATATAGCCAAACTGCCTCCAGAAATATTGTACCAATAAATATGGGATTCATAACAGTATTAATATACTCAAACCCCACATCTAAACCACGATTTTCTGAAAACAAATTAGGCCAAATATTTTTTCACATTTTATTGGTCACTTTGCATTTCTTCAGTGTGAGATCTTTAACTCTTTCCTTTTGGGGTTTATTTCATTACATCTCTTTTCTATCATATATACGACAGAAAAGTGCTTTTTTCAAACTGTCATTTGATTTTTCAGTTTTTAAGGTATTTAGAAACATAAATTTTAGTGTTTTTTGGTAGAGATAGCTATCAATTATTTTTTGTGAATATTTCAGAAAGCTCCCACAATCCCAAGAGTGTTTAAGTATTTGTGTGTATATATTTACTTCTCTTATAATTTCAATTTTATATTTAATCTTTAACCATCTGGGAAATGTATTTGCTATAACAATTAGCTACTTCTCTGAAAATTTACTGAATTATCCAACCACTCCTCATTTAGAATTTCATATGCTAAATTATTTCATGTACTGAAAAAATTAGTGTTTTCTCTTGTGCTTTACTGATGTATCAATTGTTTTGCAGCTCCCCTGCCATGCTAACTCAGAATTATCATATTTTGGAAATATTTTGCCCACTCATCACCCTTTTTTTCTTTCATACTAAAATTAGAATCATCTTAAATTTAGCTTACAAATATGGTTTTAACTGACAATTGTATTCACTCATCCCATAAAGGTACATAATTCCTCATGTATGAAATCAGCCTTTTCTCATTATAAAAATTTCTAAATAATTTTTGTTGTCTTGCATATTTGTTATTAAACTCATTCCCATATTTCATATTTCTACAGCTATTGTGAATATTTTTTCTATTATGCTTTCAAATTATTAGTACTTATGTGTATATAGTACTACCAATTTTACACATATTCATTTTGTAGCTGTTCACAAAATCATATGAATGTGCCATGCATTATTCCAGTGAGAAAGTCTATGGAAGTAACAGGTTCTCAGAGGGACATATAAATTCACAAAAGCTTAAACACTACTGCTTTAAGTTTTCTCAACGACTATCTAGCAGGTTCATCATTATTTATCCTTATGTGTAAGCAGTTGTCCTGGACACCAAAACCAACTCCAAACTCAGTAAGTCTGCACTAAGCCACACACTGGATAAGTTCCATAACAAGTGGATTTTCCTGTCCCTAGATGATCAATTGTAAATTACAGGCTTCTGAGCTAAATCTTCATATTTTCAGGCCATCGTCTCTGTAACCATAAGAAAAAGACAACAGACTTTTCTAGACATATTAGATCTCAAAATGTACTCTCATTTACATGGCCTTTACATATTTAGGTGTGGAAATAACAAATGCACTTTCCAATTTCACCCTTTCTAGATACTTGATTAAGTCATGTTTTCCAGCCCCTTCTCAGCTGGAACATGATGACTGCCATATTCAACTTAGTAGAGGTTTATATTGCAAGATTGGGCTTGAATGAAATCCAGGTAACTTAGCCTTTATCTATCAACAATTTGATTCTTTTTTTCTCAGTTTTTATCTAATACCATATTCTTAATCAAGAAAAGATCTCAAACCCCTAATGTAATAATTCATAGAACTTATACCACTTTATCTCTTAGTTTTCTTCAATATTTGTGACATGTATTTTAGAAAAGTAATGCAAGGGTAATAAACAGCTACATGACACGTGCTCTATATCATATCTTTATTGACTCCTTAATAACTACTACAAGCTCACTTGTGAATCACACCTGATGTACAATAAATAAGTCACAATTCTGAACCACATCTATAGAAACTTGAATTCCTAGTAAATATAATAATTGAGGATCTTAAAGCTCAACAAGTCAGGCCTTCCAGTTTTTCAGATGAGGAAATTAAGGCCTAAAGATATGAAGTGACTTACCCCAAAGTAAAAGATCTAGTTAGTAATAGGAGCTGAGATTGAGATCCATGACTTTTAAAACCCAGAATCATGCTCTCTCCACTAAACCATGTGATCATTCTAAGTAGTCAACAGTTTTCACGATCCTCCTTCTGTTTCCCTGGGAAGGGTCTCCATATTAACCAAATTCTTAAGGCATTCAGAGAATCTCTCCAGTGTGAGGTTTTTATTGTTGTAAAAAAGAAGAGTTTTGTCTAATGGTTTCCCCACACTCAGTATGTATATTTGATTTCTCTTCACTATGAATTTTTTGGTGTTTTGTAAGATATGTGCTCTGGCTAAAGGCTTTCCCACATTCATTACATTCATAGGGTTTCTCTTCGGTATGCATTTTCTGATGTTTTTTAAGGTCTGTCCTCTGCCTAAAGGCTTTGCCACATTTACCGTATTCATAAGGTTTTTCTATAGTATGAATGACCTGACATTGAATAAGACCAGAGCAGTAACTAAAGGCCTTTCTACATTCATTACATTTATAGGATTTTTCACTAGTATGAGTTTTCTGGTGATTTTTGAGGTCTGTACTCCAACTGAAGGCTTTTCCACATTCAGTACATTTATACGGTTTTTCTCCAGTGTTGAGTTATCTGATGTTGAACAAGTGCTAACCAATCACTGAAGGCTTTTCCACAGTCAGTGCATTTACTGGTATGAAGGTACAGTCAGGGCTTCTTTCTGGTATGAATTCTCTTATGTTGAATTAGGGCTGAACAGAAACTGAAAGGTTTCCCACAGTCATTACATTCACAGGGCTTCTCTCCAGTGTGAGTTCTCTGAAAATGTCCTGAGCAGTCACTAAAAGCTTTTCCATATTCATTATATTTGTAGGGTTTTTCTCCAGTCTGAACCCTCATATGCTGTGTAAGGAATGAACTCAGGCTGAAAGTTTTCTCACATTCATTGCATTTATACTGTTTCTCTCCTGCGTGACTTCTCTGATGTTGAGTAAGGTATGTGCTTCTGCTAAAGGCTTTTCCACATTGCTTACATTCATAAGGCTCTTCTCCGGTGTGAGTTCTTTGATGCTGAATAAGGGATGAACAATCACTAAAGGCATTCCCACATTCATTGCATTTGTATGGTTTCTCTCCAGTGTGCATTCTCTGATGTTGAATGAGGTCTGAACAGTAACTGAAAGTTTTCCCAGTCATGATATTCATAGGGTTTCTCTGCAGTATGGACAATATGATGTTGAATAAGAGCTGAGTGATCATGGAAGGCTTTCTCACATTCATTACATTCATAGAGTTTTTCTCCTGTATACATTCTTTGATGTTGAGTAAGATGTGCACTCTGACTAAAGGACCTACCACATTCATTGCATTCATAAGGTTTCTCTCCAGTATGGATTCTCTGATGTAGAGTAAGATGTGTGTTCTGACTAAAAGCCTTTCCACATTCAAGACATGTATAGGGCTTCTCACCAGTGTGAATTCTTTGATGCTGAGTAAGGTATGTACTACGACTGAATGTCTTGCCACATTCAGTACCCTCATAAGGTTTCTCTCCACTGTGAATTCTCTGGTGTTGATTAAGAACTAAGCAATAACTGAAGGCCTTCCCACACTCACTGCATTTGTAGGGCTTTTCTCCTGAAAGAGTTTTCTGATTATTTCTTAAGTGGGAACTCTGATTAAATCCCTTTCTACACTCAGTACATTTACAGGGTCTCTCTCCACAATGAGTTATTTGATGCTGAACAAGAGTGATGTGGCCTCTGAAGGTTCTCCCACATTCACTATATTTACAAGGTTTTTTTTTTTCCATCATACTTTCTTTGTATAATTAAATCTGAGTTTTGTTTGAGCATCTTTCAACATGTACCATATTTATGACAATTCTCTTCCATAGGATCTATCTGTTCTGCAACAAGTATTGATCTTACAGTAAAATTTTTCACAAATTCATTAGATTCTATGTCTCTTTTTCTGGTAGGAATTTTTGTGCAGGTAGCTATCTCTTGCCCTAGATTATTCTCCTTGTTTAGCTGCTGATTCTTAAACTGGCCTCTAGATTTCCAGATTTCTTCCGGTACAGACTTTCTCTTTGCAAGTTCTTCCATCTCTAATCTTTGAGATTAATCTTCTTTTGAAATGTCCTGCTGCTCTACTCTTGATGTCTTGGCCCCACGTTCAAGCTTCCCATCTAAAAGACATAAAAATATGACTCTACTATGTGCCAAATGTTGGGAGAAAAGAAGCTGGTATATTAGGAATGGAATAATGAAATTGCAGATACTGAGAACATAAAATACTGGGACTATAAGATAGTAATCTAGGGAGGAGTGAGATGGAAATACTAGTGGAGTGAAAGTGTCTGATACAGAGCATAACGCAATCAATGGGAATGAAGCAAACATTCTGTCAGGTGAGAAGAATGATTAGGGAAAAAACTAAATGGCGAATATTAGAAAAGAGAAACAATGAGCAGGGATTAAGAAATGAAAACTGTTATCAGAAAGAAATAGTCTTTTAGAAATTATCCTATGAGAAAACTACTTACTCAGCATTGAAACTATTATCTTAAAAAATACTAAGAGCTTTTTATTTTCAATAAGCTTTTATATTAGATTTTTTAGTACTTGTACAAAGTAATACTTTTAGCTAATTATTCTTTGTCAGGTAACTGCTGTTATTGCTTTACACTTGATATAAAAAGACCATAAACTCTAGGTTTAAGGACAAAGGAAAGGATGAAAAGGGAGAAATTTACTCTTTTGAAATGAAAAAATAATTATTAGGTCTTTCTAATGACAAATCTACATTATTTTTCACTTTCAGTCATGGATAAAGAGGCAAGTAACATAAAGCATAGGGAAAAAAGGATAGCTCTTCTTCATCAGCATGTTAAAAAGTAGTCCTTCACTCTGGATTTATTCTTCAGAGAGAGTTATTGTATTAATATGATGACTGAAAATTGTTTGTAAAGTCATGATTTATAATGGGTTTCATTGCAGGATGACTGGGAAGGGACCTGGCTGATTTATTAGAGGATGCCCAAATATTGGCACCTACAGTTCTTTTATCTTAGGCTGATTAGTTTCCCCAGAATGAATCACTTTAACCTTCTACCTGAAAGGGAGTAGGATGTAGAAGTCCAGTAGAAGGAAAAATTGAGGTGAGGGTCTCTCCATTCAATATGTAGATTTTTACTAAACCATCTGTTTTCAATGTGTCCCCTAGATTCTGGCATATATTACACATAAAAATTAATGATTTTATTAGCTGTACTCCTAACATTCAACACTCATTTCTCATTTTAACTCTAATTTATTTATCACACTGGTCTATAAAAAAAAGAAAAGCAAAAACAAAAACAATAACAACAAACAATACTTCATTATTGCTTCTCCTGCACAAAAAGCCCTTTCTTCTTTCTTTTGCCCATCTAATTCTTGACACTACTTTGGAGCGCCACTCAAATGACACTAGTCCCACAACATTCCTAACTCTCCAGTTTCCCTGATTTCCTACTACTTACTATTTTAACTTCTAATTTTAGCACTTAATAGCAGTGCTGTACATTCTTTATCTATTTTCTCCTGTCTGCACATGTTGTCTTCAAAGTTATCATTTCATGTCTTAGAAAAAGGGAAAGAACTTTGATGAAGTTTTTGGTTTATAGCTAATATTAATTGAGTTTATGCTGGGCTGACTTACAAGATCAACATATCAAATCTTCCTAACAAGCCTATAAGTGAGATAATAGAATGTCAATTTCAAGGGAGGTTCAGAATGCTGAAGTTACTTGTCTAAGGTACACATAAGTCAAACTCCAGAGTCCAAACTCTTAGTCTCTACTGCTGCCCCAAGAAGCAGTCCAATATAGTAAAAAGATAATGGCTAGAGACTCAGAATATCCTGAGCTTAAATCCCAAGTCCTACTATGTGTGTGACATAAGGGGTAGGCTTCTTGTTTGGTGCCTTTTCAGTACTACATACTGCTGACAATGTGATCTTTTTTGTTTTTTTGAGATGGAGTTTCGCTCTTGTTACCCAGGCTGGAGTCCAATGACGTCATCTCGGCTCACTGCAACCTCCGCCTCCCGGGTTCAAGTGATTTTCCTGCCTCAGCCTCCCCAGTAGCTGAGATTACAGGCATGCACCACCACACCTGGCTAATTTTTTGTACTTTTAGTAGAGATGGGGTTTCTCTATGTTGGTCAAGCCAATATCCTATATTTGGAAAACTAAGTGTTTGATAGTGAATATCTACTTTTTAAATAATTATAGACATAAATACTAAGAGGAATATTCAACCTGTAAACTGAAATAACCACTATAGAGATGACATTTTATAGACATCTAATATTAAGAGGCAGGAACAAAAACTATGAAAGGAACCCATGGAGTTCTTAGGAGATTAGATGAATCAGAGCTTTACACTGTCATGCACATCATGAAAAGATGATTTCATAAAAGACAGTGAACTGGATCAATTTTACCCGCAAAGATAAAAGAGGGCTAAGAAGAGGTCCTCAGATTCTCAAAGAAAAGGAGTCATGTCCTTCATAAGTATATTTACAATACAATGGTGAGAGACAAACACAAATTACAGGGTCAGAATTCAGGAAAGTAAAGTAAATCCTAGCAATCACTTTCCAAATCTGCATGGGTCACACCTTTTGTCATAAACAGGGAGGAGAAACAGTTGTTTCTGAACTCAGAAATGAACCTGATCCTTCAAATCCAAGCCAAATGCAGTAAAGTATGCAAATAATAATAAACACAATAGTGGCAATAATAACAGGAAAAGCAGCAACGCTAACATTTACCAAGTCCTTATACTATATCAGGGCTTTTATGCCAACCACTTATTTTATTCTGTCTCTTACAAGAAATCCTGAAGAAACAGTTTTTTTTTTAGGATTTTACAATATTTTATTTTTAGCCCTATTTATATGGCGAATGGCCTCAAAAGGTTTTTAAAACCCTAAGGGTTTTTAACGTAGCAAAGCCAGGACTTGGACTCAGGTCTCCTCTCCAAAACCCACATTCTGAGCCACCACATTACGCTTGCCATGACTATTAACAACTAAAGATGACAAAACACTGCATGAAAATATTCTAACATGCAGAAAGAAAGTAACCTTTAACCTTTACCTAGCAAAACCAGGTTTCTATATTTTTCCAACATGTTTCTGTATATGGACTTCTGAACAGTGTCCATTTGCTTCCACTTCTCCCAGGTGATGTCCATAGCCACCTCTTCCAACGTCTTTGGTAACTAAAAACCAAATATATTTGCATTAACACCAGAAGCAATTATACTGATTTGCATCCAAAGTAATAGATGAAGGTAACCAAATTGGGGGAAATGAAAGAAAGAGTATCAAGTTACATCACATATTTGTTGAGCACTCACTGTGTGTTACACATTATAATCTAATTTTCTTGGCACTATAAAATAAATTTGAGACATTATCCTTGCTTTTTATCTTAAAATTTTGGGCAAAAAAGATTTGTATGCCAGGCATGGTGGCTCACACCTGTAATCCCAGTACTTTGGGAGGCCGAGGTGGGCAGATCACTTGAGTCCAGCCTGGGCAAGGTGGTGAAACCCTGTCTCTACAAAAAATACAAAAAATTAGCCAGGCATGATGGCACACATGGGTGGTCTCAGCTACTCAGGAGGCTGAGGTAGGAGGATCACCTGGGCCCAGGATTTTGAGGCTGCAGTGAGTCTGGGGTGACAGAATGAGACCCTATCTCCAAAAAAAAAAAGAAAGAAAAAAGAAAAACGATTTGTATGCATAAAGTAGGTAAATAATATAATAATATAAACCAATGACAAATAGTATAGTTAAAACAATAAGTGCTAACATTAAAGTAAAACAGCCTGAATAAGGAAAGGTTTCCTAGAGGAAATAGAACACAAGAAGGACTTCAAAAGAGATCATAAGCAGTCTTTTTTTTTGAGTCGGAGTCGCTCTGTCACCCAGCCTGGAGTGCAATGGTGCAATCTTTGGCTCACTGCAACATCCGCCTCCCAGGTTCGAGCAATTCTCCTGCCTCAGCTTCCTGAGTAGCTAGGATTACAGGTGCCCACCACCATGCCCAGCTAATTTTTGTATTTTTAGTAGAGATGGGGTTTCACCATATTGGCCAGGCTGGCCTATTGGCTAGGCTGGTCTCAAACTCCTGACCTCAGGTGATCCACCCGCCTTGGCCTCCCAAAGTGCTGGGATTATAGGCCTGAGTCATTGCACCCGGCCCATAAGTAGTCTTTTTTAAACTTCTAGGGAGACCCATGAAGAGATCAAGAAATCTGTTTAGTGGGTAGTAAACCTTATTTAAGAGTGTAGACTCTAGAGCTAGACCTAGATTCAAATCCCAGGTTTACCACCTACCAACTATAGAATCTTGGCCAGTTAAACTCTGTCTCATCTACAAAATGGGGACAATAACAAGTCCTACATCTCAGGCTTATTACAAGGATTAAATGAGTTAACGTAAAGCACCTAGAACAGAGCCAAGAATATAGAACGCACTATCTAAAAGTTAACATTACTTTTAGTGAAAGAGCAGAATGAATAACAAGAATGTTATTCATATTGAATGATATTATTTGCTATTCATATTGAATTACATTATTTGTCATTCAATAATAATGTTTTGACATGCTTGAGTGCCTGGTACATAGTATGGGTACAATAAGTCATAGATGAATACGTGACTCTTCATTAGTCTCTATTGGGGCAGAAACGTAGGATCTAAAATATGCTGCAAAGCCTTTTCTTTTAAACACAAACATTATTCATGTAATGCAAAAGAATTTACAAAGTATCAGGTATTACATGTATTATATACTCAAATGCATCAATTATTATAAAGCAAATATAAGGTTTGTTAAAGGAAGATAGATCGACAAAGTATGTGAATTATCAAATTTTGAAAAACAGAGAAAAGTCTTTTCCTGGGAAGCATTCTTGAGTTTACAGAGTACAAAGTTGAATAGAGTCAAGTATTTATATTTAAAGTTGATCACTTTTATTATAAAAAAGCAAATTTTACAGTTATTGCAATGCCTACTGATTAGTTTTCTCCCTCAAAGCGTTTTTAGGATACTTTTGTTTTGAATAATACTTTTGTTTTGAACTAATAAACATTTATTCATTCAACATGTATTTATCGAGCACTGTGCTAGGCACTGAAAATACAATGCTAAACAAAAATCAGAAATAGCACATGATTTCATAGAGCTGAGTGTCTAGTAAGTGATAACCAAACAATCACACACAAATATAAAATTGTAACTGTTACAAATGTCTTTTAAAAAAGAGTCACATGGCTGGGCACAGTGGCTCACGCCTGTAATCCTAGCAATTTGGGAAGCTGAGGTGGGCAGATCACCTGAGGTCAGGAGTTCAAGATCAGCCTGGTCAACATGGTGAAACCCCGTCTCTACTAAAAATACAAAAATTAGTCAGGCATAGTGGCGCGTGCCTGTAATCCCAGCTATCTGGGAGGCTGAGGCAGGAGAATTGCTCGAACCCGAGAGGCAGAGGCTGCAGTGAGCCGAGATCGCGCCACTACACTCCAGCCTGGGTGACAAAGTGATACTCTGTCTCAAAAAAAAGAGTCACATGATTTCATGAGAACCTTTAATAAGGGCATCTGACCTGGTCACTGTGTTAGTGGAGGTTCATATCAGAAGGCACTACTTGAACTCATTTCGGAAGGATGAATAGGCATTGCCTTGGTGAAAAAAGTAAAGAAAACCACACCAAGCAGAGGAAATAGCAAGTGTGAAGGCACCATCATGACAGGGGGAATGGGGAGGAAGAGAGATTGAAAGAAGGCCAATGTGAATAGAGCAAAGAAGGTATACAGGAAGAAAGGGGGAAGAACTGAGACTGAAAATTAGAGGCCAGCCACATGAGGCTCACAGGCCATGCAAAAAGTATGGCATCTTTATCCTGACAGCATTAGGGAGCCATTTAAGAGTCGTAAGCAAAAAGGTGACAAAATCAAATTTGAGAGCTGCAAAAGACCCTTCTGGCAGTAGGTGGAGTAAGTAGAAGTAGAAGGGCCAGAATAGACATGGGAAAATATTTGTGTGGATGCTCCAGGAATCTAGGCAAGAAATGATAAGGACATGAATTAAAGATAAAGTGAGTAAATATAGAAAGAAGTGATAGATTTGAAATATATTTTGGAAATAAATTTGACAAGGTTTGATGGCAACCTGGATACACAGATGAAGGGAAAGGGACTATAAAGATGGATTTCTGGACTCTGGCTAGAGTGGCTAAATGGATGGAGTGCCACTGTGAATTTTGTTTGATTAATGCAGAAATAATTAAGAAAGTTCTGGATGAAGGGAAATCACACCAGATAGAAATTCTGATTCCCAAAAAGAAATAAAGAAATAAAGAGCATTTAGAAATCATTGGGCAAATTAAAATTTGTTTTTAAAAGTTTGCTTTTATCTTTATTTTTTTTTCCTCTTTTTCTTTTTTGAGACAGGTTTTTCTCTGTCATCTTGGCTGGAGTGCAGTGGCACAATCTCGGCTCACTGCAACCTCTGACCCTGGGTTCAAGTGATCCTCCCACCTCAGCCACCCAAGTAGCTGGGACCACGGGCATGCACCAACAGGCCTAGGTATTTTTTTTTAAGTTTTAGTAGAGACAGGGTTTAACCATGTTGGCTAGGCTGGTCTTGAACTCCTGAGCTCAAGCGATGCACCTGTCTTGGTCTCCCAAAGTCCTGGGATTGCAGACATGAGCCACCACGCCTGGCTGCTTTTGTCTTTATTTCTTTATAATATATATAACTATTTAAAATATATACATAACATTTTCTTGAACAACTTATAACATATGTAGATGTAACACACAGAACAACAAGCAGAACAAAAAGAACGAGGTGTCATAATTGAACACATATAGTTGCAAGGCTTCCACTTTTTGTGAAGTGACACATTAAATCTAAGAAGATTGTGAAGAAGTAACGATATATATTGTAATCCCTAGAGCAGCTACTAAAAACGTAGTTTAAAAGTCTGTAAGAAAATTTAAGATTTTTAAGAGAAAACCTTAAAATTCAGCCATATGAAGATTAAAATTAATATAGCAAATTAAGTTTTCCACAGAAGTGTTAGGGACTGCCAAGATTATCGAGGAGGCATTTTGAGGTTGGAGAGCATAAACTTTTAATTGTTTTAAATCATTCAACATTTATTCAACACAAGTTTAATGAGTACTATATGCTAAATACTCTAGGCACGGTGATATAACAGTGAAAGAGACTAAAAAACAAAACAAAACAAAAAGAAAAAAACTCTGCCTACATAGAGCATACTCCATAGTAAGAAAGACAAACAATACACTCGCTACATAAATACATTGTATATTATTTATTGGTCTGTTCTTGCATTGCTACAAAGAACTACCTAAGACCAGGTTAATTTATAAAGAAAATAAATTTAATTGACTCACCATTCCACAGGCTGTACAGGAAGCACACCTGGGGAGGCCTCAGGAAACTTACAATCATGGTGGAAGGTGAAGGGGAAGCAGGCATGCCTTACATGGCTGGAGAAGGAGGAAGAGAGAGAGAGAGGGCAGGTGCCACCCACTTTTAAACAACCAGATCTTGTGAGAACTCACTCACTATCAAAAGAACAGCAAGGTGGATATCTGCCCCTATGATCTATCACCTCCTACCAGGCCCCTCCTCCAACACTGGGGATTATAATTCAACATGAAAGTTGGTGGGGCGGGAACCCCACTCTTCCAGGAACAGCTGCAGCTGCCCAGCTGTGGCTGTGAACCTGGGCATCCCTGTGCTCTTGCGGGCCCTGGAAGCCCTGTCCTCCACAGGCTCCAAAGTGCCTGCTCCCACTGCTTGGCATCTCCCTGGTCCTGGCATCCACTCTGATTTTACAGCAAAGTTGAGGCTGAGCCTGGGTGCAGTCACGACCTGACCAGGTGTGCTCAGGGCAGCGCTGACATGCCAGCCCCTGCCACCTTTCCCCCCTCCAGACTTTGGGCACTGAAGAGCATGGGAAGGAGGCTGGAGCCGGGTTGAGGGTGGCTCAGTGTGGGCCTTCAGGCCCAGCACAAACAGCCTGGGCACCATGGAGGACATAATTGATGGTGACAGGAGGCATACAGGCTCCTGGGTGGAAAGGGGTGGGTCCCCTTTGAAGCCCCACCCTCCAGCCAGGGATGGCCTAACACATGGGGGCTGGGCTGTCAGTTCTGGCTGCAATCCACAGCCTGGCCTTAAGTGAGAACTTCTGGTGCTTCTTCCAGCCACCCGTGGCCACCGTGGACCAATCAGCACGCACTTCCTCCCTTCTGAGCTCATAAAAACCTCAGACTCAGTCAGATTCAAACAGACATGGGGAGGACCTAACTGCGGAAACGAGCTACCCACTGCAGGTCTCCTCTCTGCTGACAGCTGGACACTCATGGATACAACCTGTCTGTGGAAAGAAGCCACCCACTTTGGGTCTCCTGAGAGCTGTTCTGTCACTCAATGAAGCTCCTCTCCACCTTGCTCACCCTCCAGTTGTCCACATACCTCATTCTTCCTGGACATGGACCAAGCATGGGCCAAAAACTTGGGACCTGCCAAATGGAAGGACTGAAAAAGCTTTAACACAAACAGGGTTGAAACACGCCTCTCCATCTGCCACATTGCAGGCAATGAAAAGAAGAGCTGTAGCCCTTAAGTGAGCCTAGATCTAGAGACTCCCTGAGCCAGCACTATGACACCCTCTTTGGGGCTCTGTGGCTCCTGGCATCTCCAAGCTTCCAGAAGCCATTGCTTTCCCCTTGTCCAGACATGGGTGCCCACAGTGGAAGTACTTCCATTGCATGCGGTATATCTGTTCCAGCTGCAGCCTTGTGCAGAGCTGCTTGCACCACCACAGCAGCCAGCATGCTTGGTTGTGCTCACTGGCCAGACCCCATGCTCACTTGCCCACACACCCCTTGCTGTGTGGCTCACCCTTGGCAGATGTGGGATCTGAGACAGTAGTGTGAGTTGAGCACAGCCTGCCAGGCTGAGTGGGTGGAACGAGCCCAGTGGTAAAACCAATACTCAATTACTCAGGCAGAAGGAGCTGCCGGCCATAGAGGCTTCTGGCTGGCGAAGCAATAACCCAAGGATCCTATGACATTTTCAACTTGTCTTATTACCTTAACATAATCTATTTACAATGCTAACTCACCCCAATTAGTATCCCACCTATGTCCCCTCCACAGCACACTGGTGTCTCTTCCAAAGCACCTTATTCCTCTTAGATATTCTAGGTTCTCTTAACTGGAGTTACTTTTAATTCCTTTCTCTTTCATCCCCTAAATCTAAACCAAACCATTACTGTTCCTTACCAAAACAAGCTGTGTCATGGCATTTTTTTTCCCAAAGTTTCTAATAATTCACAATCAGCTCTACAACAAAGTCAAACCCTTAGTCCTACTTAGCACAGCAAATTTCACCCTTAAAATTTTCAATATATGGCTACTACCCATTGCCCATAGAAGACACGGTCTCTTCTACCTCTAAGTTTTGTCTTATATTTTCTTCCCTTAAAATCCCTCAGTTCTCCTTTGACAAAATTGCAACCATATCTCAGTGCACACCAAAATTCCACCCCTTCATAAAATCCTCCAAATCACACTCTCCTTCTCTGAACTCCTATGGGATGTTTTCTCTTTACTACTTAAAATGGATGTGTGTGTTTCCTTGAATTCTTCCTTAACTCCTTGGTTAGACAAGGCTGCTGAAGAACTGAATACCACAGACAATGCCTAATTGAGAGCCTACCTGCTATGCTAGTTATCAAATGCTAGTTACTAAATGCTATGCTAGTTACCAGAAACAAACAAACAAACAAACAACAAAAACAAAAACACTATGGGAAGGCAGGTGGCAATAGACAACCAATCTTATAAAATTCATGATCAAAGAGAATAGGCCTTGGTTCCTAGAAAATAAAATATCTGGAATTCAAGTGACTGAATTGAAGTTTTTTTGGGCCCCAAACCACCAGAATGAAAGTAGAAAATATAAGATATTTCAGGAAATGAAAAGAAAATCCAGCTCACCCTGAATCCAGCCATAAAGGGCCTAGCAGTCATTCTCTCTTCTTCTGGGCTCTTCTCTTGAAGAAGGGCAGAGTCTTGAGACAGTGGCTCTGAGGGAAGAGAGAGGAGCTACGAAGAAGTCAGCTTGTGTCTATAGCAACCACTTGATATTCTAGAACTACACTCTCCAATATGGTAGCCATTCCCCACATGTAGCTATTTAAATTAAAATTAAATAAAAGACTTAATTCTTCAATTGCAATAGTCACATTTCAGTGCTCAATAGCTAATGTGGTTAGTGGCTACTGTACCGAGCAATGTATACATCAAAAATATCCACAAAAGTTATATTGCATAGCACTGGTCTAGAAATCCACATATGTGGTATGTTTTTGAAGTCATACCAACTGAATCTTCAGCTCCAGGAAGTAAAGGCAACCAAACATTCCTTGCCACCTCATGACCACAGAAACGCCACAGGCATTGCATTCTCAATAGTTTGAATGTTTGCCTTCCCAAACCTCTTGTTGAAATTCAATTCCCAATGTTGGAGGTGGGCCTAATGGGAAGCTTTGGATCACGGCGGTGAATCCCTCATGAATGGCTTGGTATTGTCCCCCATAGTAAGGTTCTCACTCTATTAGTTCCTGCAAGAGCTGATTTATTCATTTATTTATTTACTTTGGTTGAGGTGGAGTCTCACTCTGTCGCCAGGTTGGAGTGCATTAGCACAATCTTGGCTCACTGCACCCTCCGCCTCCCGGGATAAAGCGATTCTCCTGCCTCAGCCTCCTGAGTAGCTGGGACTACAGGCACCCGCCACCACTCTCGGCTAATTTTTGTATTTTTAGTAGAGATGGGTTCCACCATGTTGGCCAGGATGGTCTCAATCTCTTGACCTCGTGATCCATCCGCCTCGGCCTCCCAAAGTGCTGGGATTACAGGTGTGAGCTACCGCTCCAGGCTAAAGCCGGTTGTTAAAAAGAGCCTGGTCCCCCTCTCCATTCTCGCTTTCTTCTTCTCTTGCCATGTAATCTCTGCACGTGCCAGCTCTCTTTCACCTTCCACCATGAATGGAAGCAACTTGAAGCCGTCACCAGAAGTAGATGCTGGAGCCATTCTTTTTATATAATCTACAGAACTATGAGCCAAATAAGCCTCTTTTCTTTTTAAATTAACCAGCTTAGGTATTCCTTTACAGCAATAGAAGCAGTCTAAGACACCATCCATGGTTTAAGTAGGTTCCAGATAACAAGAGCAGTTACCTAGACTCTATCATAGCATTTACTACCTGTTTTGAAATTATCTTTTGGAGTATCTTTTGCCATCCCCACCCCTACACACGAATCAAGATTTTCCCATCTTTATATTCCTAACAACAAAACTGTGCCTGGCATATATATGTAAGTCTTGATATGTTTGATGAAATGAATAGACGAGGCTAAAATTTGTGTCAAACTCATAATTTAGATTTTAACATATTGAATTCTCACATTCATTCAGCTCTGTGATAAGGACTTTTATAGGCACTGGGGATGCAACAAGTACAAGACAGAATAAAGCCCCTATGAGAGGGCCAGCAAAAAAAAAAAAAAAAAGCAAAACTAAACCAAACCATACAAGCATATATAAACTCAAGTAGTTACAAACATATCCCCAAAAAAGTAGAATAAAAGGATAAACAAGACCTTTATTTTAGATGGCATGGCCAGGGAAAGCTTTTCTGAGAAGGAAACATTTTTATCGGATTTGTGTAAAAAGAGAGAGTAAGCCATAAAGATATCTCTGGGCAGACTGAGAAAACAGCAAGTGCAAAGTCTGCAAACAAAATCTTGAGGTTGGAATATCCTTGTCATGCTCTAAGAACAAGGAGGCCAACATAAGCTAATAGAGTGTAAAAATGAGGAATTTATCATTAAGTGCTATAAAATAATGCTGTCGCCCTTGGTTTTTTCGAGGATATAGGAGAAATTACTTGGCAAATCCTTTCAACATAGGGCATACTGCCCTTATTATCAGAGGCAGTGTTGGTTAATGGAATAAACACTTCACTGGGATTGAAGAACCCTGAATTCTAATATCTGAGTTAGTAAAATGCTGTACAGCATTAAGCAAGTCACTAACTTCCTTGAATCTTTGTTTGTTCGGTAACAAAACAATAGGGATAAGAGTATCTGTTCCTTTTGTTTTACAGAACTTTGTAGGGAATAAGAAAGATGTAAGATTTTAAAAAGATCCTCTGAATTTAAACATTTGAAGGAAGAGGTTTAGGACACTGCTTCTCAAACTATGGTCCGTAGATCAGCAGCACCAGCATCACCCGGGAACTTGCCAGAAATGCAAATTGTTAGGCCCAACCCCAGACCTACTGAATCAAAAACTCTGGTGGTGAGTTTAGCAATGTGTTTAACAAATCCTCCAGGTGACTCTGATGCATACTCAAGTTTAAGAAGCATGAGTTTATAAGAAAATGAAATTGTTAAAGCCAGCTCCTGAAAGACCTAAGCAATGGAGGATGTCCTCTTGGAGGTTTAGAATGTTATTGCTTGCAGCTGCCATGAGCTAGTTATTTTATTTTTATTTAGTTATTTATTTTTTGAGACAGAGTCTCGCTCTGTCGCCCAGGATGGAGTGCAGTGGCACAATCTCGGCTCACTGAAAGCTCCGTCTCCCGGGTTCACACCATTCTCCTGCCTCAGCCTCCCGAGTAGCTGGGACTACAGGCGCCCGCCACCATGTCCGGCTAATTTTTTTTTTTTTTTTTTGGTATTTTTAGTAGAGACGGGGTTTCACCATGTTAGCCAGAATGGTCTCGATCTCCTGAACTCGTGATCTGCCTGCCTCGGCCTCCCAAAGTGCTGGGATTACAGGGGTGAGCCACCGCGCCCGGCCATGAGCTAGTTATTATATTGAATGTTTCACATAAACCAGAGGAACTCAGCAGACAGGACCTGGTCCTTGTATTGAGTGGAAGAAATAACTACTGGCATTTAATTTGTAGGAGTCAGGGATCCCAGATGTCCTTCAGCACAGGACAATCCCAAACAATTTTTTAATGTTTTGCAGGACATTCAGATGGGTAAAAATTCTATTGATAATTATCAGAGACTAGAACCTAACTCTTTTTTTACACACAACCACAGAGTCTTTTTCTTTTCTTTCTTTCTTTTTTTTTTTTCAGTGCTAATATATGATGATTTTCTATAAGGACAACTATGGTCTAAATCAAGGTACTTTGTTCTGAATTTTACTGAGATTCGATCATTTTATCAGCCTGAGTTGCAGTGTATTCTCTTTTATTTCTCCTTTATTGTAGAATTAGGGCATCATATGGCTTTAAAATAGGTAGGTTAAGCTTATTGCCAATTTAATGAATTTTATTTATGGATAGAAATGGGGGCATTACAAAATATTTGTTATACAAAGAGCCCGCTTGGTCTGAAAGAGTTGAAAACTATTGAGATATATTGGGTCGTTTAACCTCACAACAACCCACTATGAAAGTTAAATCCCCCGAAAAGGTTAAATAACTTGCCCAAGGTTACCACAGAGCCAATAAGTTTCAAAGCCAGGATTCAAATTCAGACCTGTTTGGATTCAAAATCCTGGCTCAAGAAAAATGTATGTTCACACAAAAACCTGTAGGTGAACATTTACAGCAGCATCATTCATAATTACTAAAATCTGGAAATGATACAAATGTCCTTCAAAAGGTGAGATTTTTTTTAAAACCTGATACATCTATATACAATATTATTTAGCAATAACAATATTATTCAGCAAAAAAGAAGAAAGTGACACAATAATGTGGCCACCTTAAAGGCTTCATACTGAGGGAGAGCAGCCAGTGTGAAAATGTACATATTGTATTATTCCACTTATATGACACTCTGGAAAACACAAAACTATAGAGATGGAGAACAATCAGTGGCTGCCAGGGTTAAGGGTGGGAAAAGAGTGTAAATATAAAGGGGTAGCACAAGGAAGTTTTCTGGAGTGAATGAAACAGCTCTGCATCCTGTGGTAGTAGTTACCGGAATCTAAACATGTTCTAGAACAGTATGCCCCACCATGCCAATTTTATGTATGATAATTTTAAAATTAACTAAACCAGGCTGTTTCCATTGTACTATGATAGATAAAAGGCTGGAGTGGAGAAAGGGGTACGTACATTTGAAGTGACCCAGAGAGGGGTTTTGGTCGTCTTCATACAGCCCCTACTACACAAGCGTGAAATTTCGCTTTCTTCCCACTTTCTCACACGAAAACTCGTGTGTGTGTGTGTGTGTGTGTGTGTGTGTGTGTGTGTTTTCCTCAGCCTTCAGGTGAGGAAAGGGAAAGCTCTCCTTTCTCAAATCAGTTCCCAGAACACACTCGCTCTTGAGCTGGTCTATTTCTTATCTCTCTTCAGGCAAAGTCGTATCCTCCACCTTACCTGCTCCAGCCGCTGTGACATCACGCAGGTTCCGTTCCCTGCACTACCGCTGGTTATGTTTCCTTAGTGACCCTAGGCCTCTTGCAGGAGAGTCCCTGGTCCCAGCCAGCGGGAGCGGCTTCTCCAGTTTGTGGCTCTCGGAGAGTTCGCCTCGTCCCTCCCTCTCAGATAACCACCTATTTCTGACCTCTGGAGGCCGGGCTGAGCCCGGAATTTTATGACCAGCGCCCGCTGGCCGTCGTCACCCTCTAATTTCTCGCAAAACTCCCGGGGACCCTTCTTAATGTCAGTAGCCACAGTCGCCGCCGCTCCTGCGCCTAGAAGCCTTCCACGACCCTCAACCCCACAGAGCCCCGAGCAGGCTCGGGTTCCCGCAGGATACACTGCCCGCCCAGTGGCCTGGAGGGCGCGTCCCGGGCTCCCCTACGCCTTTTGGAATCAGCGACAGACGCAGGTATAAAAGAGAGCCTCCACTCCCACCTCTCCAGGGCTCCCCACCCGCTCCTTCTGGCCGCTTTCTCCTGAAAGAGCAAGGCACCCCTAGAAGCTTCAGGCTCCTCCACAGGCGAGTGCCTACCCACCTATCAGGTAAGACGTGCAACTGACACTCAGCGCGCGGAGGAGCCCGCTGAGAAAGGGTTTACCTGTCCGAAGAGAACTGCGCTTGCATGGCTCTGGCTGTGGGCCGGCTGGCTCTTGTCCGCAGACTACATTTCCCAGGGTTGTCTGCGGCTGGAGAGATTTAGGGTTTGGGGCGTGGCTAGCACAGGCCTGAGGTCCTAATTGGGAGGTGTAGGCATGGCGGCTGGAGAGTCTGATCTATGTGACACCTCCACTGTGACTAGGGTATAACGTGAATAATTTGTATGCAGTAAAGTTCCTCTGCATTACATCATTGACAGATCTCTAGTAAGCAAAGGACAGAAACAGGTTCTTATTATCTCTTTTATAACACACAAACATTAAACCACTAATTAAAAATCACAGGGTCCCAGAAAAATCAGACACCTTTATTCTACAATAAAAATAGCCAATTAAGCACACACTGTATGTCAGGCTCTCTTCTAAGTACTTTACATGTTTTATCGCATTTGAGAAGGCAAAAATCAGCCCTGCTATTAACCAGACTCAATGACACTGACAGGCTGCTGCAAAGTTAACATCAAGCAATATTTCTACCAAAATCATACTGTAGCAGCTATAAAGTGTCATAATTGTTAAAGGTGGAGGGAGTCCAGGTTCTCGGCGTCTTGAACAAAGAATTGAACAAATCACACAAAGCAAGGAAGGGACAAAGGGATTTATTGAAAGTGAAAGTACACTCCACAGTGTGGGAGGGGGCCGAGCATAGGAACTCAAAGACACCGTTACAGAATTTTTGGGAGTTTAAATACCCCCTAGAGGATTCAATTGGTTACTTCGGGTTCGCCCTATGTAAATGGAGAGGATGAAGTAAAGTTACAAAGTCATTTATGGTGTAAGCCCTATGGAGAAGATATTTCCTGCTATACCTGAAGTGTGAAACAGTTGTATGTTTCCTGCCTCCAGGCCCTATTTTCCTGCCTCAATAATCACTCTCTTTAAATGTTTATTGTTTCCTTATCAATGACATGCCCACCTTTGTCTTGCTACTCTCACTAAAAAAAGATAATATTGTTTGCTGAAATCATAAGATTGTCAAGAATTTTGCTATTTGAAATGAATGAATTATTAATGAATTATTATTAACACATTACAGATGAGTAAATAGTCACAGAGAGGTTAAGTAACTCACCCAAGGTCATTCACTTGATTTGGCTACAGGAGCACATATTCTTAATTGCTGTAGAAACAGGCCCAAGATGTTATTAAAGTTTCACAAGTAGCAAATGGCAAAACTAGGATTAGAATCCCTTTCTATTCCCAGTTCAGTCTTTTTCCTTATACTACCTCACTGTGGTATTTTTTGGATTGGGACGTATGTGTGTATGTGCTCTCTAACTCCTCTGCCTGATCTTGTATACATCTCTGTATTGCAAATGACAACATCTCTGGGATCCAGTCTCTTCATACTTAAAATAGAAACGAAATCAGTTTCCACCCATTGATAAGGTATAACCTTATCAAGACCAGCCTGGCCAACATGGTGAAACCCCATCTCTACTAAAAATACAAAAAAATTAGCTAGATGTAATGGCGAGCCGCTTGAAGCTACTCCGGCGGCTGAGGCAGGAGAATTGCTTGAACCCAGGAGGTGGAGGTTGCAGTGAGCCGAGATTGCGCCACTGCACTCCAGCCTGGGCGACAAAGCAAGACTCCCTCTCAAAATAAATAAATAAATAATAAAATACGTACACATTCTTGTGAAGTTTGTAAAACTAGGTATTTGGGTGCCTCCTGCCTTGAGATTATTCCTAAGTGGCTCCTTCCACCCATTGTTATGAATATTAAATGAGTTAATAATGTAATGGTTGTGAGAACACAACCTGGCAAGTGACACAAGGAGCATCTAAAGGGAATTGTCAACAACTGAGTCAGATGGAACTGAGAATTAAGTACCTAGAACCTCAGTGCTCCAAAACGAAAAATTGCCATGAGGATTCAAATAAAGCAGGATTGGAAAAATATAAACAATTCAATCTGGAAAATTAAAAATTAGAAAATCATTGTCAAATAAACTAGGCAAGATTAATGAAAGACTAGTAGAAAGCAGAAACCTCCTGTAGCTTCTCATTGGAAACAACAGAGGAGACAATTAACCAGAACTCCGACCACAAGGCCAATTTGATGCAACTTGGTGTTGTCAGTCTCATTAACCATTTAGTGCTGTGAAAGGAAAATATCTTGTGCCCCCAATATCACTAAGGAAAACTCAAGCTGGAAACTGCTTAGGGCAAACCTGCTTCCCATTCTATTCAAAGTCACCCCTCTGCTCACTGAGATAGATGCATATCTAATTTGCCTCCTTTGGAAAGGCTAATCAGAAACTCAAAAAATGTAACTGTTTATGTAACACTTACCTGTAACCTGGAAGCTCCCTCCCAGCTTCATGTCTTCCTGACTTTGCTTCAAGTTGTCCTACCTTTCCAGACCGAACCAATGTACTTCTCAAATATATTCATTGATGTCTCATGTCTCCCTAAAATATATAAAACCTAGCTGTGCCCTGACCACCTTGGGTACATGTCATCAGGACTTCCTGAGACTGTGCCACTGGCACATCCTCAACCTTGGAAAAAAATTTTCTAAATTAACTGAGACCTGTCTCAGATTTTCTGGGTTCGCAGTGTTTAATAGCTATCTTAGTCCAAGAAGAAATTCAGTGGTTCCTGCTTTAAGTTCACAACCTTCAATGATGCAGCAAGAGATGGAAAAATATATATACACATATATGTGTGTGTAACGTGTATATGTATATTTGTGTGTGTGTTTACATATATAGAGAAAAATAAATGCTACTGAATTTGGATCTGGATCCTATAGATTTACAAACTTCACAAGACTGTGTACATGTTTTAAAGAAAAATATTGCATAATCTGAAGAAGAAATAATATTGAATGGTCTATTTATATAACTTGTTTCCAAATATTTTAATTGATGTATAACTTTGAAGTATACAGGTGGGTTTTAACGAATATATGTTCCTGAGTAAAAACCACCCCCAGTCATCATATAGAACATTTGTTTCTTCCCATAAAGTTCCCTGGCACCCCTTTTTAGTCAATTTCACTCACGTCAGTGTGAAGAGACCACTAAACAGGCTTTGTGTGAGCAATAAAGCTTTTTAAATCACCTGGGTGCAGGTGGGCTGAGTCCAAAAAGAGAGTCAGCGAAGGGAGATAGGGGTGGGGCCGTTTTATAAGATTTGGGTAGGTAAAGGAAAATTACAGTCAAAGGGGGATTGTTCTCTGGTGAGCAGGGGTGGGGGTCACAAGGTGCTCAGTGGGGGAGATTTTTGAGCCAGGATGAGCCAGGAGAAGGAATTTCACAAGGTAATGTCATCAGTTAAGGCAAGGACCGGCTATTTTCACTTCTTTTGTGGTGGAATGCCGTCAGTTAAGGCAGGAACAGGCCATTTAAATATCACTTCTTTTGTGATTCTTCAGTTACTTCAGGCCATCTGCATGTATACGTGCAGGTCACAGGGGATGCGATGGCTTAGCTTGGGCTCAGAGGCCTGACAGTCAATATTCCTGTATATAACATTTTAGTGATTTCCTATTAAGTATATCAAATAAGAACATTTTTATTAAAAATGTATTTGAAGCTGTGCATGGTGGCATGTGCCTATGGTCCCAGCTATTTGGAAGGATCTCTTTAGCCTATGGGTTTGAAGGTGCAGTGAGCTATAACTGTGCCACTGCACTCTAGCCTGGGTGACAAGAGCACAACTCTGTCTCTAAAAAAAAAAAAAGTGTATATTCCTCTCTCTATATTCATATGAATCATAGATTCTACAATGAAAATTTATGTTGTAGTTTATTTGAACCCTTGCTCTTGGTATTTGTAACAACTGATTTTGCAAATGAAAACCAGCATTACTGACCTTTACATACTCAAACTGCTTCACATGCCAGTTGTTACAGCTGTGCTAAAACTACAAGGTCATTAACCCAACAATAGATGAAATGAAATTTTATTTGTATTTTCCATTTATTGTCACTGTAAATTTTATTTGTATTTTCCATTTATTGTCACCTAAAGTAGAGAGAAATAATTTCAGTATATTATTGCTATGTCTGTTTGGTGGTGTTACACTTGTTGCAGTGCCATATAATTTGGAGTATACTTTGTTAGACTTGAACTTACACTGATTAACAGTCACCTAAAACTAAACAAAAATAAATATAAAGGGAAGAGCACAGTATTTTTTGTGATGGGAAAGCAGAATAAATCAAGTTTTCCAGTTCTACCATATTTAGGTCATTTCTCTTCCTCCTATGTTGTAGGTATCTCAAGGAAACTGATTTATCCTTATCTTACCTTTTAATCTAAAGCCCAGTCAGTCTTTTAAAATGACATGATCTCACTTAATGTGAATAACTACGATTAAAAAACTCCAGGAGAACCCAGTCACCAGGGGACCCCCCCCCATACTTTTGTGAGTTTTACCTCCAGGAATTCAGCAAAATGAGTATCAGAGAAAATTCCTCTCATGCTTCTAGCAGAGGGAATGAGAAAAGGAACCATTTTGAAATATGCCACAGCATTCTGTACTTCTCAACAAGGTCAGCCCTCAAAAACAATCTATTTAACCAGAGCCTAACCTGCTGGGCTTTTATCAGGGCCTAACAGACCTTAGGAAATGGAAATACCCAACTTCAGTCATCTCTAGCCTCCCACATGGAAGAAAGGAAATACCCAACTCTAACCCACTCTAGTCATCCTGTCCCACCAAAGGGGGTAGGGGAAACTGAGAAAGGTGTGAAGTTCCCAATCCAGAGATATAGTCTTGACCAAAAGACTGAGACCTACTCAGAGAACTATAGAATGCTTCCCCTTCCCCTATACCTTGATACCACATTTCTAAAGGCATAGGGATGGTTGCTTGAGCCCAGGAGTTAAAGACCAGTCTGGGCAACATAGTAAGATCTCGTCCATGCAGAAAAATTAGTCAGGTAGAGTGATATGTGCCTATAGTCCTAGTGTGTCTGGAATTGGTGGGTTCTTGGTCTCACTGACTTCAAGAACGAAGCCGCGGACACTCGCGGTGAGTATTACAGGCCGCGTGCCTGGAGTTTGTTCCTTCTGATGTTCCAATGAATTGGGAGTTTCCTCCTTCTAGTGGGTGCATAGCCTGGCGGCTCAGGAGTGAAGCTGCAGACCTTCGCGGTGAGTATTACAGCTCTTAAGGCAGCACGTCTAGAGTTGTTCGTTTCTCCCGGTGGGTTCGTGGTCTCGCTGGCTTCAAGAGTGAAGCTGCAGACCTTCGCGGTGAGTTTTGTAGCTCACAAAGACAGTATGGACCCAAAGAGTGAGCAACAAGATTTAATGCAAACAGTGAAACAACAAACTTCTACAGTGTGGAAGGGGTTGCCACTGCTGGCTCGGGCAGCCTGCTTTTATTCTGTTATCTGGCCCCACCCACATCCTGCTGATTGGTAGAGCCAAGTGGTCTGTTTTGACAGGGCGCTTTTTGGTGCGTTTGCAATCCCTGAGCTAGACACAAAGGTTCTCCACGTCCCCACCAGATTAGCTAGATACAGAGGGTTGACACAAAGGTTCTCCACGTCCCCACCAGATTAGCTAGATACAGAGGGTTGACACAAAGGTTCTCCAAGGCCCCACCTGAGTAGCTAGATACAGAGTGTCGATTGGTGCATTCACAAACCCTGAGCTAGACACAGGGTGCTGATTGGTATGTTTACAAACCTTGAGTTAGATACAGAGTGCCCATTGGTGTATTTACAATCCCTGAGCTAGACATAAAGGTTCTCCACGTCCCCACCAGACTCAGGGGCCCAGCTGGCTTCATCCAGTGGATCCCGCACCAGGGCTGCAAGTGGAGCTGCCTGCCAGTCCCGCGCCGTGCGCCCACACTCTTCAGCCCTTGGGTGGTTGATGGGACTGGGCACCGTGGAGCAGGGGGCGGCGCTCATCGGGGAGGCTTGGGCCGCACAGGAGCCCACGGAGGGGGTGGGAGGCTCAGGCATGGTGGGCTGCAGGTCCCGAGGCCTGCGCCGCGGGAAGGCAGCTAAGGCCCGGCGAGAAATCGAGCGCAGCGCCGGTGGGCTAGCACTGCTGGGGGACCCAGTACACCTTCCGCAGCCGCTGGCCCGGGTGCTAAGCCCCTCATTGCCCGGGGCCGGCAGGTGCTCCGAGTGCGGGGCCCACCAAGCCCACGCCCAACCGGAACTCCAGCTGGCCCCCAAGCACCGCGCGCAGCCCCAGTTCCCGCTCGCGCTTCTCCCTCCACACCTACCCGCAAGCTGAGGGAGCCGGCTCCGGCCTTGGCCAGCCCAGAAAGGGGCTCCCACAGTGCAGCGGCGGGCTGAAGGGCTCCTCAAGTGCCGCCAAAGTGGGAGCCCAGGCAGAGGAGGCGCCGAGAGCGAGCGAGGGCTGTGAGGACTGCCAGCATGCTGTCACCTCTCACTAGCTACTTAGGAGGCTGAGGTGGGAGGATTGCTTGACCCAGGAGGAGGAGGCTGCAGTGAGCCATGACCGTGCCACTGCCCTGCAGCCTGAGTGACAGAGCAAAACTCTGTCTCAAAAAAAGTTTTAGGCAGGGCGTGGTGGCTCACACCTGTAGTCCCATCACTTTAGGAGGCCAAGACAGGCAGATCACCTGAGGTCAGAAGTTTGAGACCAGCCTGGCCAACATGGTGAAACCTTGTCTCTACTAAAAATACAAAAATTAGCCAGGCTGTGGTGGCATGTGCCTGTAATCCCAGCTACTCGGGAGGCTGAGGCAGGAGAATTGCTTGAACCTGGAAGGCGGAGGTTGCAGCGAGCCGAGATCGGGGCCGCTGCACTCCAGCCTGGGCAACAGAGCAAGACTCCATCTCAAAAAAAAAAAAAAAAGGCCGGCTGCGTTGGCTCACGCCTGTAATCCCAGACTTTGGGAGGCCAAGGCAAGCAGATCACCTGAGATCAGGAGTTCGAGAGGAACCTGGCCAACATGGTGAAACCCCGTCTCTGCTAAAAATACCAAAAATCAGCCGGGTGTAGTGATGGGCGCCAGTAATCCCAGCTGCCTAGGAGGCTGATTTATCACTATAGGAGGCTGAGACAGGAGAATCGCTTGAACCCGGGAGGCGGAGGTTGCAGTGAGCTGAGACAGCGCCATTGCACTCCAGCCTGGGCAACAAGAGGGAAACTCCGTCTCAAAAAATAAATAAATAAATACAGAAGTTTTTAAAAAGTGGTCTATTTACAGCAGTTCTTTTACTCAGCACAGCATTTCCATATATCAAGAAAATACAAGAAAATACGAAAAAGGCACAAAATGAAACAAAACAAATACAAATACACACAGACAGTTTGAAGAGGAAGAACAAGCATCGGAACCAGACTCACATATGGTGGGGATGTTAGAATTCTCATACCAGAAATTTGAAACAATGATGATTAAGATGATTAAGATGCTGAAGTCTCTGATGGGTAAAGTAGACACCATACAAGAATAGATAGGTAATGTTAGCACAGAGATATAAATTATAAGAACCAGAAAGAAATGCTAGAGATCAAAAGCACTGCAACAGAAATGAAAATGATTTTGATGGCCTTATTGGTAGACTAGACATGGCGGAAAAAAAGAATCTCTGATCTTGCTGTTTATCCCAATAGAAAGCATCAAAATTGAAAAGCAGGCTGAGCACGGTGGCTCATACTTGTAATCCCAGCACTTTGGGAGGCCAAGGTGGGCAGATCACTTGGGGTCAGGAGGTCAAGACCAGCCTGGCCAACATGGTAAAACCCCATCTCTACCAAAAATACAAAAATTAGCTGGGCATGGTGGTGCATGCCTGTAGTCCCAGCTACTCAGGAGGCTGAGGCAGGAGAAGCGCTTGAACACAGGAAGCAGAGGTTGCACCGAGCCGAGATTGTGCCACTGTATTCCAGCCTGGGCAACAGAGCCAGACCCTGTCTCAAAAAAAAACCAAAACACAAAATTGAAAAGCAAAGAGAACAAATTCTGAAAAAAGAGAATATTTAAGGACTGGGACAACTACAAAAAGTATAACATATGTATAATAGGAATACCAAAAAAAGAAGAAAGACACCGAGAGAGACAAAGACAGGGGGTGGGGAAGGAAGGAATAAAGAAAGAGTAAAAATATTTGAAACAGTAATGACTGAGAATTCTCCCAAATTAATGTCAGATATCAAACCACAGATCAAAGTGGCTTAGAGAACACTGAGCAAAATAAATGCCCAAAAAACTACACCTAGTGGCTTGGTCAATTTGAGTCACTATAACAAATTCTCATAGACAAGGTGCCTTATTAACAAAAGAAATTTATTTCTTATACCTCTGGGTTCTGAAAGTCTGAGATCAGGGTGACAACATATTTGGATTTGGGTGAGGGCCCTCTTCTGGGTTGCAGACTGCCAAACTCTTGTATCTTCACATAGTGGAGAGCAGAGAAAGGAAATAAGCTCTCTCATGACTCTTATAAGGGCACTAATCCTATTAATGAGGGCCCCACCCACATGGCCTCATCTAATCCTAGTTACTTCCTAAAGGCCTCATCTCCTAATAATATCACATTGAGGGGTAGGGTTTCAACTTATAAATTTTGGGGAGACACAAACATTTAGTCCAGAACACCTAGGGATAACATTTTTAAGCTACAGAAAATCGAAATTAAAGAAAAATCCTGGAAGAAGTCATACAGGGGAAAAAACAGCTTATATATAGAGGAGTAAAGATAAGATTTACATCTGACTTCTCAGAAACCATGCAAACAAGAAGAGAGTGGAGTGAAATATTTAAATGTTTAGAGATTAAAAACCACCTATTAGAATTCTATACTCTGGAAAAATCATCCTTCAAAAGTTGAGGAAAAATAAAGACTCTCTCAGAGAAACAAAAGTTTAAGGAATTTGTTGCCAGTAGACTTGTCTTGCATGAAATGTTAATATAACTTCTTTAGGGAGAAGGACAATAACAGAAGTTAAAACTTGGAAATATATATACATAAAGAACATGGGCTGGGTGTGGTGGCTCAAGCCTGTAATCCCAGCACTTTGGGAGGCTGAGGTGGGCAGATCACTTGAGGCCAGGAGTTCGAGACCAGCCTGGCCAACATGGTGAAACCCTGTCTCTACTAAAAATACAAAAATTAGCCTGGTTTGGTGGTACATGCCTGTAATCCCAGCTACTCAGGAGGCAGAGGCACAAGAATTGCTTGAACCTGGGAAGTGAAGGTTGCAGTGAGCCAAGATCACACCACTGCACTCCAGCCTGGGCAACAGAGTGAGACTCTATCTCAAAAAAAAAAAAAAAAAAAAGAGAGAGAGAGAGAGAGAATGAATAAGTAAAGGTAAAATAAAAGCATTTTTCTTATTGTTAGTTGATGTACTACAGCCAATTTTTAATTGACCTAAAAGTTTGCTCAAAATAATAACAATAATGTATTTACTCAATGATATATATATTCAATTACATATACACACACTGTTATGTATTCTTCTGTATGTGCAAAATGAGTGACAGCAATGAACCAAGGAACAGAAAGAAAAAATTAGAATTATTTTGTTATTGGCCAGGTGCTGTGGCTCATGCCTGTAATCCCAGCACTTTGGGAGGCCGAGGCAGGCAGACCACCTGAGGTCAGGAGTTCGAGACCAGCCTGGCCAACATGGCAAAACCCCATCTCTACTAAAAGTACAAAAATTAGCCGGGCATGTTGGCGGGTGCCTGTAATCTCAGCTACTTAGGAGGCTGAGGTAGGAGAAGCCTGAACACGGGAGGTGGAGGTTGCAGTGAGCCAAGATCGCGCCACTGCACTCCAACCTGGGCAACAAGAGTGAGACTCCATCTCAAAAAAAAAAAAAAAGATTTTTTTTATTATAAGGTACTTGCCATACTACCCATGAAGCTTTATAGTGTTATTTGAGAGTGGACTCAGATTAGTTGTAAATATATATTGCAAACTCTAGATTAACCACTTAGAAAAAAGAAGTGTAACTAATATGCTAATAAAAAAGAAAAATAAAATCATATAAAGGGTTCAATTAAAACAAAAAAAGTCAGAAAAAGTGGTAGACAAAAATAAGAACAAGAACAAAGGCAACAAATAGAAAACAGTTAAGCGTAGTAGATATTAATCCAACTATATCAATAATACTTTCAACATCAGTGGTCTAAATGCACCATTTTAAGGCAGAGATTGTGAAGAAATAATATATGTTGTCTACAAGAAACTCACTTTAAAGATAAAGATACATATAGATTAAAAGTAAATCAATAAAGTTATACCATACTAACACTAATCAAAAGAAAGCAGAAGTAGCTACATTAATTTCAGACAGAGCAGACTTCAAAGCAAGGAGAGCTATCAGGGATAAAAAAGGGAATTATGTAATGAGAAAAGGGTTCTCTAAGAAGACATAATCCTTAATATGTATGCACCTAAAAACAGACTTTCAAAATACATGAGGCAAAAACTGATAGAACTTCAAGAAGGAAGAGATGCATCTACTATCACAGAAATCTCAAAAATTCTTTATCAGAAATGGGCAGATCCAGGAAGCAGAAAATCAGTAAGGATATAGTTGAAATCAACAACATCATCAATCAACTAGATATAATGGCCATCTATAGACTTCATCCAAGAACAGCAGAATACTCTTTCTTCTCAAACTCACATGGAACATTAATCAATATAGACCATGTTCTGGGCTGTAAAACATAACTTAACAAATTTAAAAGAATAGAAATCATACAATGATTTATCTCAGATGACATTAGAGTTAACTAGAAATCAATAACAGAAAGATCATTGGAAAATCTCCCACATACTTGGAGATTAAGCAATACACTTCTAAATAATACATGGGTCAAAGAAGAAATGCCAAGAGCAATTAAAAGATACTTCAAACTACATGAAAATGAAAACACAACTTATCAAAATTTATAGAATGCTGTGAAAGCAGTGCTTAGGGGGAATTTATGGCAATGAATATATACATATTAGAAATAGCATAAAAATACCTAGGAATAAATTTAACCAAGGAAGTGAAAGACCTGTATGCTGAATACTGCAATTGCTTAAAGAAATTAAAGAAGACCTAAATAATTGGAAAGACATCCCATGTTCATGGGTTGGAAGACTAACTACTGATAAGATGATAATACAATTTGATATACAGATTCAATGTATTCCTTATAAAAATTTCAACATTTGTTTGCAGAAATAGAAAATCCCATCCTAAAATTCACATGGAAAATCAAATTACCCTGAATAACCAATGAAAACCTTGGAGAAAAGAATAAAGTTTAAAGACACATACTTCATAATTTCAAAACTTTACACAAGCCTACAGTAACCTAAAGAGTGTGGTGCTGGAATAAGAATAGGAATATAGACCAATAAAATAGAAAAGAGAGCCCAGAAATAAACCTCACATATACGGTTGATTGATTGATTTTCAACAAGTGCCAAGACCATTCAATGGGAAATGGACAGTATTTTCAACAAATGGTGCTGGGAAAACTGGATATCCAAATGCAAAATAATAAAGTTGTAGTATTTACACCATCTACAAAAATTAACCCAAAATGGATCAAGGACCTAAATTTAAGAAGCAAAACTATAAAACTCTTAGCAGAAAACATAAAAATCTTTATTAGACAATGTAATTTTCAAGTATTGCACAGGTGATAAAAATAAATAAATGGAGCTTCATCAAAATTAAAAAGTTTTATGCATCAAAGGACACTATCAAAAGAGAGAAAAACTTCACAGACTGGGAGAAAATATTTGCAAATCATATCTGAAGAAGAATATCTGGAATATACAAAAACTCATGCAACACAACAAAACCTAATTCAAAAATAGGCAAAGGATTTGAACAGACATTTCTCCAAAGAAGACACACAAATAAGTACATGACAAGATGCTCAACATCACTAGCCATTAGGGAAATGCAAATTAAAGCCACAATGAGATAAAGCTTATACCCATTATGATGGTTATAATACTACAACTACAACAAAACAGAAGTTAACAAGTGTTAGCAAAGATGTGGAGAACTAGAACCCTCCTGCACTGCTGATGGGAATGTAAAACGATGCAGCCATTATGGAAAACAGTTTGATGGTTCCTCTAGAAAGCTGATTGCAGAGTTACCATATGATATAGCAATTCAATGCCTAGGTGTATACCCAAAGAATTGAAAACAGTGACTCAGATACTTGTACACCAATGTTCACAGCAGCATTATTCACAATGGCCAAAAGGCAGGAACCACCCAAGTGTTCAACAAGAGATTAATGGATAAACAAAATATTATGTATGTATATTTATACACTGTTTGTGTATAAACACACACATATACACGAAGGAATATTATTTAGCCATTAAAAGGCATGAAGGATACATGCTGCAGTATGAATGAACCTTGAAAACTTTATGCTAATTAAAAATAATCCAGACATAAATAGACAAATATTGTATTATTTTACTTATATGGCATATCTAGAACAGGCAAATTCATAGAAACATAGTGTAAAATAAAGGTTACCAGGGACTGTGGGGAGCAGGGAATAGAGACTGCTCAATGGGCATCTTTAGGGATGACGAAAATGTTCTAGAATTAGATAGTGACGGTGCTGTTGTGAATACGCTAAAAACTTTACTGTATGACTTTAAAATGGTAACTTTAATGTTGTGCATAGTTTACCACAGTTTGAAAGTGTTTTTAATTTTTAAAAATAGGAAATGATAAAATTAGACTTTATCTAATTCTTTCCAGCTTTATAATTTGGATCCTGCTCCTTTGTACTTCATGGCTCATGCTTTATACTTACTTGATGTTTCTATGGTACTTGTGCACAGCTGTCATGTATCAGACCTGCAGTTTTGCACATGCTTTCCACTCTTCTAGTTCCTCAACTATTTGTAAGGTTGCCCTCCTTTATGTTTTCCATTAAATCTTCCATTAGTCAAACCACTCCAGTGTCCCTCGTTCCATAAGTTTCCCCTGCTCTGAACTCCCAGGGCACATTGTGCAACTTCATTACCTTATATTAAAATTATCTGGAATTTTAAAAAATCTACTAGATTAGGGTAGTGTCCTGATTTTATTCATTTTTTTCTTTTGGTGAAATTTGAGACATGTCTTGCATTTAACAGTATTTAAGCAACTAGATTGTGCAACGGAGCCAGTTTCTCCAGACAGGCTGGAGAGACCACTTGCATCAGAATCATCTGGGGTGCCCCTTGAAAATGCAATGTTCCGGGCCAACGAGTCAATCTCGGAGTGTAAATCTTGTGAAGCTGTATTTTAACAAGCTCACTTGGTGATTTATTTGTGTACGCTATTTAAAACTCTGTGAACCACCGGTCTAGGCTATACTTTGCAGTGTATTAAGGTGGTCTTCGGCACCTCTCGCAGACCCCCTTCCTCTTGCCTCTAGCGCCAACCTCTCAGCCTCTCGCATACCAGGGGAGGGGCTTTGCAAAACCTTCCACGAAAGTGAATCCCAGCACAGCCCTGCTGTAGCTGGCTCTCAGGCGCAAGCGCAGAGCTGCGACCGCTGCTGATACGTTGCTCAGTCTCAGTGTGGTCTCTGTTTTGCAACTGGTCGTCCGCGTCAGGAGACTTAGGTCCAGGCGACTGCCCAGACAATGACTGGTCCCGCATACCGAGCAGAGCATGATCAGCAGCAGTCTGAGTGGAAGAGTGCCTGTGATCTTAGGGAACCTGATGGGCGTTGGAGCAGCGGTTCGACGCATGGGTTTCTCTTTAATCCTTCCGACTTCCCCAAGCCCAGCGCACTCAGGTTCCGCTCCAAGTGCGGGACCCGCCCGGGGTGTGTCGGGGGTACTCGGCCGGAGGCGGCCGGTGAGTGAGGCTTACAGGGCCCCGGGACCAAGGTGGGTGCTCTTAGAGGTTCTGGAAAGCGGAAACACGGGTTCTTCGAAGGAAACGGGCGAAAGGGTCGCGTGTGGTTTGGCTGCAGGTCGGGTCAGGAGGCACCTCCACGGTTGGGACGCCGCGTGGCGTGGGGTCATGAAGCCCCCAGCGCTCGTCTCACTGGCGGGCCAGCCTAGTCCCTCTGCGGCAGTGACAGCCAGTGGTTTTCCCCGGGTGTATCCCTGGGAGATGAAAAAGAGCAGGGTTGCTCCCTGCTTCCCCTCTAGCTGGGCGAGGGAGGTCTTCGGTACTGGGGTGTTTCCCAGGTGCTTACTGAGTGCAGGCACTGCTCCAAGAGTTTTTACCTGCATTAACTCATTTAATCCTTGCATCAACCCTATGAAGTAATGTACTATTATTATGCCCATGTTACAGATAAGGAAATTGAGGCACACAGAGATGAAGTACTTGCTTGGCCGGGCGCAGTGGCTCACGCCTGTAATCCCAGCACTTTGGGAGGCCAAGGCGGGCGGATCACCTGAGGTCGAGACCAGCCTGGCCAATACGGTGAAACCCGTTCTCTACTAAAAATACAAAAATTAGGTGGGAGTGGTGGCGCGCGCCTGTAATCCCTGCTACTCGGGAGGCTGAGGCAGGAGAATCACTTGTACCCGGGAGGCAGAGGTTGGAGCGAGCAGAGACCACGCCACTGCACTCCAGCGTAGGCAACAAGAGTGAAACTCCGCGCCCCTCCCCCCCAAAAAAGAGAAGTACTTGCTTGAGTGCCAGTCCTTAGTTTATGTTTCTGATGATGAAGGTTGGTACTTGAATAAAGTAGTTGTTAATTATTTGTTGTGGGTGTATTGACAGTTACTGTGGATCATTGAGTTTGTGCTTTATGTGTGAGTTTGTGCTTTGAGCCAATATCTGGGAACATTGTTACCTGAAGATCACCTTTGGTAGGACAAGATTTTCTCTATTCTGTGATTAAACTGAGGCTGCCCAGGCAGTTCTGCTGATTGCTTTGTGGATTGGCAAAGGCTCCAGGAAGCAATCAACCTAGTGCCACAAAACAAAGCACCCAGAGAAGCCCTATTCCTGACCCTTCAAAACCTTCTTCCTTCTGAAGGGGGTAGAAAATAAAGGAGAATTATCCCTGGATCAGGAATTGATTATAGGAGAGACAAGCAATGTCAAAAGAATTTTAGATAATTAGGGTAACTGTGGTGGCCAGCGCTGTTAGTGCTAAAAAGTTTGAGTCACATAAAGGAATAGCAAACCACCAGGTTGGCTAGGGCTGCAGCATGTTGTGACCACTTAAGAGAATAATGATTTTGTAGGGATACAGTATCCAGAGAGCAGTAAGGTGACTCAAATAATGAAAGTATGAGGAAGAAAGGAGAAAAGGAGAGGCAACTTTCCACATTATGGTGGAGGAATCCCTTGGATGGACTCTGGATAAAGGTATAGCCCTAACCTCCTAGCATCTCTGAAATATGTTTGGGGGCTATCCCTGAAACTTTTGTCACATCCGCTAGACTTCCTTTTCCCATCTTACATACATCCTCCAAAGCCAGGAAAAAGAATGCATCTCTCCATGCTCTAGAGCAGCAGCTGCTGAAGGGAGACTCATAAATCCTCTGACAGCATCTTTCCTTAAACATACACCATCACAGTTTTCAAATTCATTGATGTGAGATGAGCACAGCAATAGCATCATCTCCCTTATACTATATATGATATTCTTTATTGTAAATGTTTTGCCATAGTTTAACTTGCAGTATTGATGAAAGTTTTGTAAGAAAAGACAAGCACATGCTAGTAATGGTGTTTTATAATGTGGGACGAGATTTTTCAGAAAAGTGACTTGACCAAGGAAGTGCAGCTGTAAGCAGTGTCATCTGTCTTCTATTTTGACCCTCAGGAAGAAGTAAGGGGACTAGTGCCATAGTGTCTTTGAACTCATACCCCATATGAAGAGAACGTCAAAGAGGCTGGATCACCTAAAGGGTTTAGAGAAAGTTTGGAATTGGCTCAGATCTGTCTTTTATCATAAAAGATGAACTTGAAACCCAGACATAACTGTCCATTGTCATTTTCTTTATATCTGAGAGGAGATGGGATTACTTTGGGGCATTCATTGTACTTTTTTTTTTTTTTTTTTTTGAGACAGAGTTTCGCTCTTGTCGCTCAGGCTGGAGTGCAATGGTACTATCTTGGCTCACTGCAACCTCCGCCTGCTGGGTTCAAGCGATTCTCCTGCCTCAGCCTCCTGAAGTAGCTGGGATTACAGGTGCCCACCACCACGCCCAGCTAATTTTTTTGTATTTTTAGTTGAGACAGGGTTTCCCCATGTTGGCCAGGCTGGTCTTGAAATCCTGACCTCAGGTGATCCACCTGTCTTGGCCTCCCAATCATTACTTCTTAATCCTTAGGGTTGCATTCAACAGGCTAGATGTGGACATTACTAGACAGAGGTTCTGGATGCCTTGGACTATGACCTTTGCCCATTTCTGCCTTTCATTAAAAATAAAACCAAGAGGAGGCAGAAGATGGAAAGGCAACTGTCTACCTCTCCATAAGATCCATATTCCACATGAGTTAAGTATTCTTCCCTCTTTTCTGAACGTGTGTTTCATCATACCAACCAGAGACACATTTATTTCTCTTTTAAAGGAACTTCCGTTCTTAGATGAGTCTGCCAAATTTTGCCAAGGGGACTATTCTTCATTTGCCTGTTGACTGTCCTTAATATCTTCAACACTCCCTCACTCTAATTCATCATTAGATGATTAATGAACACAGGCTTTTTTTTGGCCTATTTCTTGAATGGTTTCATCTGAAACACGGACCTTGAGATCTTACATGTCTCCGAGGATTTGAAAAAGAGTAGATTCATTCTAGTTCTCTCCCCTTAGTCTAAGCAGATGGCTATGTGCCTCAAAGTTTGGGATCTAAAGTTAAACTACTAGGTATCCGATAGCTTTGGACCAATCAAGTCCAGCATCTTCATTTTGCAGGTGAGGAGACATAAAACCAGATTGTTTATTTTTCCCTGGTTTCTATATAGCTACCAATGGAGCTATAACCAAAATCCAGATTACCTAGTCAGTGCCTATAGCTCTGGGCCTCTATCTGATGTTTCCCTGAATTGTGCTGAGGATGCCACTTGCACTTCAGTGGAGGCCAGAGACTTTATTGATTTTATTTTTTTTGAGATGATGGAGTCTTGCTCTGTCGCCCAGGCCAGAGTGCAGTGGTACAGTCTTGGCTCACTGCAACCTCTACCTCCCAGGTTCAAGCAATTCTTCTGCCTCAGCCTCCTGAGTATCTGGCACTACAGGTGTGTGCCACCATGACTGGCTAATTTTTATATTTGTATTAGAGATGGGGTTTCACCATGTTGGGCTAGTCTCGAACTCCTGACCTCAGGTGATCTGCCTACCTCGGCCTCCCAAAGTGCTGGGATTATAGGTATGAGCCAAAGCCAGAGACTTTACTCCATCGGTTACATAGATAGGGCTGTTAGTGAGGCTGAGATTTACTGCAGCCTTTCAGGGACTGGGTCTGGGAGGCAGTCACTCTCTATACCCCTACAGCACTCTGAAGTCAAGATCATGCTGATAACCTTCTGACATCAGTGGAGTTTAGTTTCTTGGCCATTTACAGGCCGCTAAACAGAAAGTGTGATTCAGGCATTCTTTCCCTGTCTGTTGAGAAGCAACACATACTGTATAGTATAATGAGTTTGAATCTAGGATTTATTACTTGGCCTTGTGCCAAATTACTTAACTTCTCTGTACTTCACACTATTTTTTTGTATTGCAGGAATAATAATAATTCCCCTCAGAGTTATTGTGAACAATAAATGAGTCAATATTCATACAATTCTTAGAATAGGCAGGCCCAAAGAAAGACCATTTCTGGAGACTACTTCCAAGTTAGATTCCTTTCACAAGTTCTTTTTTCATTTTTTCTAGGTAGAAAGTTTCCCTAGTGGAGTTTGTATGTGTCTATCATATGTGTCACATGCACAAACACATCTAATGCATAATACAGTTGTATATATAATGAGCTTATTTGAAATGAAAAAACAACTACACTTTGAGACTCTTGCACTGTACAGTATGATATGGCTTGAATATGTGTCTCCACCAAATCTCAAGTTGTATTGTAACCCTGACAATGAGGTGATTGGATCTTACAGATTGATACCTCAGAGCTTGGTGCTGTTCTTGTGATAATGCATAAGTTCTCATGAGATCTGGTTGTGTAAAAGTGTGTGGTACCTCTCCACCTCTTCTCCTGCTTTTGCCATGTGATGTGCCTAATCCCCCTTTGCCTTCCACCATGAGTAAAAGCTCCCTGAGGCCTCCCCAGAAGCTGAGCAGATGCCATCACCATGGTTGTACAGCCTGAAGAACTGTGAGCCAGTTAAACCTATTTTCTTTATAAATTACCCAGCCTCAAGTATTTCTTTATAGCAATGCAAGAATGGCCTAATACAGCAAATTGGTACTGAGGAGCTGGCTTGGCTATAAAGATACTTAAAAATGTGAAAGGAACTTTGGAACTGGGTAACAGGCAGAGGGTGGAAGAGTTTGGAGGGCTCAGAAGATGGGAAGATGAGGGAAAGTTTAGAATTTCTTAGAGACTGGTTAAATGTTTGTGACAAAAATGCTGATAGTGATATGGACAGTGAAGTCCAGGCTGACAAAGTCTCAGATGGCAATGAGGAACTTATTGGGAACTAAAGCAAAGGTCATGTGTGTTATGCCTTAGCAAAGAACTTGGTTGCCTTGTGCCCCTGCCCTAGGGATCTGTGGAAGTTTGCACTTCAGAGTGTTGATTTAGGGTATCTGGCAGAAGAAATTTTTAAGCAGCAAAGGAAGATGTAGCCTGGCTCTTTCTAACAGTCTATCTGTCCTCAGATGTAGAAGCAAAGAAATGATTTAAAGTTGGAAGTTATATTTAAAGGGGAAGCAGAGCATAAAAGTTTGGAAAATTTGCAGAGGAAAGAAAAAAAAAGCTTTTTCAGCAGAGAAATTCAAGCAGGCCATGGAGCAACCACTTGCTATAGAGAGTTGCATAACTAAAAATGAGCCAAGTGCTAATAGTCAAGAAAATAGGAAAAAGGCCTCAAAGGCATTTCAGAAATCTAAGAGGCGATGCCTCCCATCATAGGCTGAGAGGCCCAGGAGGACTTAAGGATTTCAGAGCCAGATCCTGGGTCCCACTGCCCTGCACCACTCCAGGAGGCTGCTCCTAAATCCTGGTTGCTCAGGCTCCAGCCATGGTTCCAATGGGCCCAGGTACAGCTCAGGCTGCTGCTGTGGAGGGTAGAAGCTGTAAGCCTTGGTGGCTTCCATGTGGTGTTAAGCCTGTGGATATGCACAGTGCAAGAGTGAAGGAGGCTTGGAAGCCTCTGCCTAGAGTTAAGAGGATGTATGAGAAGGCCTGGGTGTCCAGGCAGAAGCCTGCTGTAAGGGGCAGAAGCCCCTTTAGAGAACCTCTACTAGGGCAGTCCAGAGGGGAAATGTGGAGTTGGAGGCCCCACACAGGGTCCCCACTGGGGCACTGCCTAGTGGAGCTGTAGGAAGGGGGCCACCATCCAGACCCCAAAATGGCAGATCCACCAGCAGCTTAGACTCTGTGCTTGGAAAAGCCACAGGCATTCAACAACCTGGGAGAGCAGCATGGGGCTGAACTCTGCAAAGCCACAGAAGTGGAACTGCCCAAGGCCTTGGGAACCCACCCCTTGCATCATTGTGCCCTAGATGTGGGACATATAGGAGCTTATTTTGGAGCTTTAAGATTTAATGACTGCCTTGCTGCATTTCAAGCTTGAATGGAGCCTATAGCCCCTTTCTTTTGGCTGATTTCTCCCTTTTACAATGGGAGTGTTTACCCAATGCCTGCACCTCCATTGTATCTTGGAAGTAAATAAATTGTGATTTACAGGTTCATAGGTGGAAGAAATTCATCTCCAGATGAGACTTTGGACTTGGACTTGGGACTTTTGAGTTAATGCCAGAATGATGTAAGACTTTAGGGGACTATTGAGCAGTCCCCTAAAAATACTGATTGTATTTTGCAATGTGAGGACTTGAGACTTGGGGGCCAGGAGCAGAATGATATGGTTTGAGTATATGTCCCCATCAAATCTCATGTTGAATTGTAATCACCAATGTTGGAGGTGAAGCCTGATGGGAGGTGATTGGATGGTGGAGGTAGATCCCTCGTGGCTTGGTGCTGTCCTTGCAATAATGAGTGAGTTCTCATGAGATCTGTTGTGTAAAAGCGTGTCATCTCCCTGCCTGCCTTGCTCCTGCTTTCCCTATGTGATATGCCTGCTCCCCTTTCACCTTCCGTTGTGAGTAAAACCTCCCTGAAGGCTCACCAGAAGCTGAGAAGATGCCAACACCATGCTTTTACAGCCTGCAGAACCGTGAGCGAATTAAACTTCTTTATAAATTACCCATCCTCAGGTATTTCTTTATAGTAATGCAAGAACAGCCTAATACATAGTATATACACATTAGTTGATTATAGATAATCTCATATCAAATTGGCACAGTTTAACAATCATTAAAATATTAATAAGCATGAGAGTGAACTTCAAATTGGCCATATCCAAGAACTCTGTCATAGTTCTTTCTCTTGTCAGGATATTCTGCCTACTTTTAGATATCCTATATTTCAGGGTTCTTCTAGTGAGACAAGTTGCAAAAATCTTCAAATTTTGGATCTCCTTGGTTTCATAATGCCTCCAAAAACTAAATATTTCCTAACAATCTCTCTTCTCCAGAATGGGATATAGTATTTAATAATGTAATAATATTCCACTAAGTACAACATTCCCATTAGTTCTCATATTACCTTATGGCAGTATGGGTATTCTCAAATCTTCAGAGACTTCTGTTGGGGACAAGAACTTTTGCTTTAGTAGCTTTAGAGGCTTTGTAACTTACCTACTGGGAGATGCAGTATTCATCTGTCATGTAATTGTCAATATTTTAGTTCCACTGCACTAGAGAAGTATTTCTCTACCCTTCAGACCTACTATTCCCTTTACTATTCTGAAATAAAATTCATAGATAATACTACCTACCTACCTATGAAATAATTTCAAAAGTATCAATATGTTACCTTAACTATAATATGAAGGAGAAGGAAAAGGAAAGTGATTTATAATCGAATAATATGCATTTCAGCATGTAAATGACTGGATGAAATAGATGCTTACACCTATTAGAATCACTGAATACAACTACAAATGCAGCCTGATTTATGAATTATATTTGTGAATCTAATACCATAAGTGGTTTTATTTCCCTGAAATGGTGAAAAATTCCTAATAACATTGAAACAAAAAAATGTATATTTTGGCTGGACGTGGTGGCTCATGCCTGTAATCCCAGCGCTTTAGGAGGCTGAGGTGGGCAGGTCACTTGAGCCCAAGAGTTTGATGCCAGCCTGGGCAACCTGGTGAAACCCCATCTCTACAAAAAAAATTAAAAGTTAGCCATACATGGTGGTGTGTGCCTGTAGTCCCAGCTACTTAGGAGGCTGAAGTCAGAGGATCACCTGAGCCTGGAGAGGTCAAGGCTGCAGTGAACTGTAATTGTACCGCTGCACTCCAGCCTGGGTGATAGAGTGAGACCCTGTCTCAAAAAAAGAAAGAAAAAAAATGTATATTTCCTTGATTTTCCAATACATATAAAAGCTATGCAAAATACTTTGTATGTATGCATAAAGTGTTACTAGGTTTTAGTTTCAGGTAATTATTAACAACTTTTTTGAAAGTCAGGTAGGATAAATGACAGTTCTTTGTTCTGCAGGAATGTCTATCATCCCTGGCCCCCATTAAATTCTAATAGTACTATCCAATCATTGTGACAACCCAAAATAACCTCACAAATTCTCCAGAGTCTCCCTAGGATGCCATCTTGAGGAGCACTGTAATAAAAGAGAGAGGTTATAGTGAACTGACAATAAAATAATGTGTTAGGCCATTCTTGCATTGCTATGGAAATGAAATACCTGAGACTAGGTAATTTATAGAGAAAATAGATTTAATTGGCTCACAGTTCTGCAGGCTGTGCAAGCATTTCTCCAGCATCTGCTTCTGGTGAGGGCCTCAGGAACTTTCCAATTATGGTGGAAGGTAAAGGGGGAGCAAGCATGTCACATGGTAAGAGCAGGGGCAAGAGACAGCAAGGGAGGGGAGGTCCCAAACTTTTAAGCAACTAAATCTCACATGAACTAACTGAGGAAGAACTCACTTATCACCAAGAGGATGCTGCTAAACCAATCAGGAGGAAACTGCCCCCATGATCCAACCATCTCCCACCAGGCCCCACTTCCAACATTGGGAATCACATTTTTTTCTTTTTTTCAGGGGAGGCTGGGGAGGAATCACATTTCAGCATGAGATTTGGAGGGAACAAATATCTAAACCATATCAAATAACAATGGAGGAGCTTAAGGATCTGAGCTACAAGAATGGAAGCCAGCCAAGGTAGCAGTAAGGCCAATTCCTATTAAGGAATGTTGGCATCATAAAGTATGCAATTGGATCTTTTTTTGTGTGAGACGGAATCTCACTCTGTTGCCCAGGCTGGAGTGCAGCGGTGCGATCTCGGCTCACTGCAACCTCTGCATCCCAGGTTCAAGCAATTCTCCAGCCTCACCCCCCCAAGTAGCTGGGATTACAGGCATGCACCACCATGCCCAACTAATTTTTGTATTTTTAGTAGAGATGGGGTTTCACCATGTTGGCCAGGCTGGTCTCAAACTCCTGACCTCAACTGATCCACCCGCCTCAGCCTCCCAGAGTGTTGGGATTACAGGCATGAGCCACTGCGCCCTCCAGCAATTGGATCTTAATTTGAGATTCTACAATAAGAAATTCTGACTCCTGCATCAACCCAGTAGCAGGGCTTTTTATCTTCCCTGTTTTCAGTTGAAAGCCATGTTCTTGGCAAAGCTGAACACAGACAGCATCATCCTGTTACTTGAGGTTCTCCATGCATGGCTTCTTGGCACATATCCTCCAAGGCTAACCTCCACATCTGAGAGGTCCCAGTCTATGAGAAAGGAAAGATTTTTATGAAGCCAGATTAACTCCCTAATCTCATGGATATCAAATTATGCTGTGAGCAGAAATATTTGGGGAACTGTTATACAGTTCATTGCCTCCTTTAATACACAAGGACTCCAAGTGAATTAACAAGAGGAGGGGTTAAACAAGCTTTAATGAGGAAATTTAGAGTCCAGGGATGGGCAAGAAGAAAAGGCACAGGTTCCCAGATCTTCCTATTTTCCTGACAAAGGCTGCTGGAGCCAGGGTACTCTGCTGGACACTCTGATAGGTTGGTGTTCCAGGAGAGGTCCTTGCTGCCCTGTTGCTCTCCCTTCTTATAATACAAGTGAAAAACAACATTGTCAGTGTGGACATAAACACACTACTTGGTGCCAGGCAATATGAATGTGAGGTGTTTGCTTTTTAAACAAGAGTTGGCCAGGCGCAGTGGCTCACGCCTGTAATCCCAGCACTTTGGGAAGCTGGGGCGGGTGGATCACGAGGTCAGGAGATCGAGACCATCCTGGCTAACACAGTGAAACCCCGTCTCTACTAAAAATACAAAAAACTAGCCGGGGTGTGGTGGCGAGCACCTGTAGTCCCAGCTACTCGGGAGGCTGAGGCAGGAGAATGGTGTGAACCCGGGAGGCGGAGCTTGCAGTGAGCCGAGATCGCGCCATTGCACTCGAGCCTGGGCAACAGAGCGAGACTCCATCTCAAAAAAAACAAAACAAAACAAGAGTCATCTGGGAAAGCTAGCTGTCTAGTACCTGGGAAGCTTGAGATCTTTGGTAAGTTTCAGCCCCTCTGTAGAGAGAAGGGGCCTCCTGTCCTATGGAAAGCTGAGTTTCTGTTTTATACCCGCCTGCTGTGAGAAGAATGTTAGGGGTCAGAAGATAGTCCAAGTTAGCACTTTGTTCAAGCAACCTAGACTGTATTTCTAAGGCTCTTTCTGGACATTCAACTTGTCAAGTCACATGAACGTATTAAAATACAAATGCCTGGGTCCCATCAGACTTGCTGGGTCCAAAGCAAGGTTCAGATATCTGGAGTAACAAGTGTCATAAGTAATTCTGATGTGTATGTGTGTATGTATGTAACCTGTGTGTGTGTATGTAACCCGTCTTTTGGCATCTAATTTTAGTCCCTTTTAGAGACTCATTTTCTCCAGCCCCTCCTGCCATAGACCCTGTGAAAGCTCACGCTACCTTTTCTATAGATAAAAACACTGAGATTGAGCTCTGAATAGCTCTGTGTCTTCAGCACCAGCAGCCTTGTGTTAAATCATTTCTAATCTGCAGGAACCCCAGCATGTTAATTGAACTTGATCACCCAGTTGAAGGAAGAATAATAGTAGATGTTGGATCTTCAGGAAGCTGAAGAGGGCAGTGCCCAGAAATACCTGTCTTGGTGAGTAGTGTCATAAGAAGACCAGCAATTTGATGTTGAGAAGATGAGATCTAGTCCAAGCCCTTGCAATTTGTTGGGTCATGTAGGCAAGTGACTCAATCTGTTTTCTATCTGTCAGATGAGTGGGTTGGCCTAGATGATGTCTAAGTTCTGCTAAATCTCTGATAGTCTAGGACTGTAGACTTCTTTAGAAGAATACCTGAAGTATAATAATTGGAAGAAGGGTTGAGAGGCAAATGGGGATAGCAGTGTGGTCGTTACTATTTCTGAAATTTTTATTCTCTTTCAATCCCAGGAAAATGGTTGCATTCAAACTTGATCAAGTCATCTTTCTTTTTTCCATTTCTTTTTTCTACACTTGAGAGTCTTGATTCTTCTCATCCTTCTCCTTGCTCTCATTTTCCATGATTAATCAACTACCATAATAGGTCATTTTACCTTTTAATCCCCAACTCTCTGTCATCAGCTGGTACACCTGCTCATTTCCATTTGTTTGGGTTAGCATATTACCCAATAACTCTTTCCCTATTTCTTGATGTCTCTGTGTTCACCATGCCCACTGCAAAAATTCTGCCTGTTATCTCTTCTGGCTTTGTTCTCCTCCACTATCCTTTTTTGTTTACTCCTCATATAAAGTTGCTAGTATGCATGAATTCAAATTAGTTGTCTTTTCTCTGCTGGTTTATTTTCTTTGCTCTCCATAGTAGATACAGATGACATTTACACTTTAAATGTCTTTCAGATAGGGGGATTTGAGCTGAACCAAAGCATCAACACCAATCAGACTGTTTCCGAAGAACTAGAGTTTTCTGGGTCAGCAATGGAAAGCCTCAGAGGGAATACTGCTCAGGGTCCTACAAATGAAGAAGACTATAAAAACGAAGGCCAATTATCAAGGCAAACAAAATGTCCTGCACAGAAGAAATCCTCTTTTGAGAACACAGTGGTCAGAAAAGTGTCAGTGACACTCAAAGAAATTTTCACAGGGGAGGAAGGCCCTGAATCCAGTGAATTTAGTCTAAGCCCAAACCTTGACGCACAACAGAAAATTCCAAAGGGACATGGATCCCCAATATCTAGGAAAAACTCCAAAGATAATTCAGACTTAATTAAACACCAAAGACTTTTCTCACAAAGAAAACCTTGTAAATGCAATGAATGTGAAAAAGCCTTTAGTTACCAATCAGACCTTCTTGTACACAGTAGAATTCATGGTGGAGAAAAGCCTTTTGAATGCAACAAATGTGGGAAATCTTTCAGCCGAAGTACACACCTTATTGAACATCAAAGAACTCACACTGGAGAGAAACCTTATGAATGCAATGAATGTGGAAAAGCTTTTAGCCGGAGCACACATCTTAGTCTACATCAGAGAATCCATACTGGAGAAAAACCATATGAATGTAGTGAATGTGGAAAAGCCTTTAGCCGAAGCACTAACCTTAGTCAGCATCAGCGAACTCATACTCAAGAAAGGCCTTACAAATGTAATGAATGTGGGAAAGCCTTCGGTGACCGTTCAACCATAATTCAGCATCAACGAATACACACTGGAGAGAATCCCTATGAATGCAGTAAATGTGGAAAAGCTTTCAGTTGGATCTCATCGCTTACTGAACATCAGAGAACACACACTGGGGAGAACCCCTATGAGTGCAGTGAATGTGGGAAAGTGTTCAGTCGAAGCTCGTCTCTTACAGAACATCAGAGAATCCACAGTGGAGAAAAGCCTCACGAGTGTAGAGTGTGTGGAAAGGGCTTCAGTCGAAGCTCATCCCTTATTATTCATCAGAGAACTCATACCGGGGAGAAGCCGTACAAATGTAATGACTGTGGAAAAGCCTTCTGTCAGAGTTCAACTCTGATCAGACATCAGCACCTTCATACTAAAGAGTAATATCTGAGCTTTTATTAATGTTAGCATAAGAACACATATACCTAACCTCCCACCACTGAAATATATATATTTCAAGTATATATATACTTGTTCTAATTTTCTTTTATTAGATACCTATACCCGTTTTAAGCTTTCATTCGTTCTTTCCATCCATCTATCCTTCTTTCGTCTCCCCTCCCTTCTTCCCTCCTTCCCTCCTTCCTACTTTTTCTCCCTCTCCCTGTTCTTTCTTTCTCTTTTCTCAAATAAGTTCACAATAAAACAAAGGGATGACTCAAAAAACATAACATATGAAATCTAATATTCTGAAGGGCTCCAACTTTAGAGTATAAAGCTATCTGACACCTTGTAGTTTCTCTGCTAATCTATTCCTTCAAGCGTGGGTCCCCGAACCACCAGGTTCTCCTCTGTTTTCTAACCACATCAGCCCCTGCACATGAAGAGAAAATCCTGTGTGTGTGTCTTCATACTTGCTGGCTCTAGTACCAGAAGAGAGGGATCTGGCTTCAGAGCAGGACTGAAAACTTCTCACCAGTCTGGGGATAATAGTGTTGAGGCAAATTCATTCTCTTGACTTGCAAAAACAGATTTTTCTCATCTTCCTCCTTCTCTCACCTTTTTTGCAGTAGCATTTTTCCTCAAAGTACAACTCATTTTTTTACTAACGCCTAACTAATCCTAGTGTTATTTTATCATATTTTTACCAAGAATGTTCTAAAAATCTTGGAGACGTTCCTCCATGATCTTGGGAAAAAAAGTTGCCAAATGCTGTGCTGTTTTTTTTGTTTGTTTTTAATTTTCTTTCATTTACAGATTTCATGAAACTTATATTCTGTGGCTTTGACCCTCACCAATCTTGGAAGATTGATCTCTCAAGGACAAACCCAGTGCCTATTTCTCAGTCCTTTTTCTACTTGACATTTGCAGAATTGGCACTTTTTGCCACTGTTATGCCTTAAATCTTGAGCTTCTTTCAGGATCCATGATTCTGTGCTGATCTACACTTTTCCTACCTCTCAGCATTTCTTTGATTGTCAATGATCAGCTCTGTGATTTGGGGCAAGGGTTAGGCCAGAATTATCTCATTTTATCAAGTTATAAAACTTGAGGTAGTGCAACTAGATTATACACTTCTTGAAGACAGAAATCTTGGTTTGTTTGTTGTTTTATTTTTGAGAGAAGGTCTTGCTGTGTTGCCCAGGCTGGAGTGCAATGGCACAATCATAGCTCACTGTAGCCTTGAACTTCTGGGCTCCTGCCACAGCCTCCTGAGTAGCTAGGGCTGCAAGTGTGTACCACCACACCCACAATTTTAAAGTTTTTTTGTGGAGACAGGATCTCACTATATTGGCAAGGCTGGCCTCCATCTCCTGAACTCAAACAATTCTCCCACCTCGGCTTCCGAAAACACTGACATTACAGGTGTGAGCCACCACACCTGCCAGAAATCTTGTTTTTGATTGATATAAAACATCACAAAGTACTGAGTAGACACTAAATGCTCTGTAATTATTGCTCACTGATTCCTCTTTATCTGTAATCAATCAACTTGACTTTATTTGATATGGATTAATAATTGATTTCTTTCTCTCTTTCTACTGCTGCTTCCAAGTTCTTGGTACCTTGTGCCTAGATTACTAAATTGATCACTGTTGACTCACTACCATTATCTAGCTCCTTACTAAACTACTACTTTGTTAAAAAAAAATAGTCGTTTCCCAGTGACCTCTGCCCCAAATGTAAACTTCTTTAACCTAAAGGTCTTTCATAGTTTGATCTACTTACTTACTTCCTTTCTCTTCTCAAAGATAATACATGCGGGCAGGCCTGTTTTGTCCCTACTATACCCTCTTCTCACACTTTTCTTCTTTTCAAACTGTTCCTTGGCACTTCTACATGTCCTACTTTCTTCGTTGTATTCCAGAAACCCTATCCACCCTTTTTTAAAGGCCATGCTCATATCCTGGCTCTGTGACACTTTCAGTCCCCTGCCTTCTTAGAAATCCTTTGTAGTGATGGTTTGCATTATTCTCCTGTATTAGACACCTTCTTTACTGTTTTCTGGTTCTTTCACAAGTACTTTTTTACATAAGCTGTTTTGAAGTTGTAAATCATCCTAAATCTTTTATAAGCCTCATATAATACATAGTACAATGCCAGCCTGGACTCTAGTTTTAATCTAAATACATAGGGTTTAATTTAGCAGCATAATCTTTTTAGTCTTTTGAATGATGAGGTAACCTCATAGGTATTTTGGCCCATTTTGTTTTTCCTTGAATTACATATATAACTGACTATTTAGACTGACTCCTTTAGATCTCCTGGGATGCTGACCTCTTGGCTTTCCAATTCATGAGACTATTGTAAAGAATAAGTGAGTTCATTCATGTAAAGTAGTAAAACAGTGCCTGACAAAAGTAAATGCTCAATAAATTCTAATTGTTATGATTCTAGTGATTCACATCTGCCTATAGCTTTTTATTTTATTCCCTGCAGAGCCTTTAACTTCATTACTAGAAATGGAAAACTAGGATCACAATCAAATAAGCTAGAAGGTATTTCTTTTATCATAATAGGCAATAGCTATTTTATTATAACTCCATTGTGTGTAAAAAAATGACTCAAGATGGCGAACAAGATACAGTAAAATAGAAAACAACACATACAAATGAGCACTAGGAGATCAGGACAAGTTATGATAACCTACACAGGCAGTCAGTTAGGGATACAAACTGAGCATTCTGGCAACCAAAATGAGAAGGTCATTTGCTTACATTGTTTTAGAAGGAAAAAAATATGTCCATTCTTCAAGGAAAACAAAGCTTTTCTAATACTTAGAATTAAGATGAATTACTCCATTGGTCTTCATGTAATTATACAATGTCTTTGATATAAAAAAAATTATATTTCATAACACCTAGTATACAGCAGTTTCTCTGGTGAATAAATATTTAGTTCATAGCAGAAAGTCCAGAAAGGCAGATGCGAAGATTGTTCTTAGGATGGAGTGAGGTTCGCAGGAGCAGGGGGGAGAGTATATTAAGTAATGAAATATTTACTGGGTACCAGAAGAAACTCTCTTTGTAGATATTTGAGTACAGTTATGAACCACACAAGGACATTTTGGTCAATAATGGACTGCAGAAATGACAGTGATCACATAAGATTATAATGGAGCTGGAAAATGCCTATTAACTAGTGACATCATAGCACAATTATATGTTTGTGGTGATACTGGTGTAAACAAACTTACTGCACTGCCAATCATATAAAAGTATAGCACTAAAGGCCTAGTGTGGTGGCTCACGCTTGTAATCCCAGCACTTTGGGAGGCCAAGGCGGGTGGATCACCTGAGGTCAGGAGTTCAAGACCAGCCTGGCCAACATGATGAAACCCTGTCTCTACTAAAAATACAAAAATTAGCCAGGCGTGGTGGCTCACACCTATATTCCCAGCTACTTGGGAGGCTGAGGCACAAGAATCGGTTGAATCCGAGAGGCAGAGGTTGTCGTGAGCCAAGATCATGCCACTGCCTGCATTCTGGGTAAAGAGTGAGACTCGGTCTCAAAAAAAAAAAATAGCACTATATAATACCTGATAGGAAAGTACTATATCACTGGTTTGTGTATTTACCTTACTTTTTATTGTTATTAGGTTGGTGCAAAAGTAACTGCAATGGCAAAAACGGCAATTACTTTTGCACCAATTTAATATTTTAGAGTGTACTTCTACTTATTTAAAAAAAGTTAACTGTAAAACAGCCTCAGGCAGATCCTACAGAAGGTATTCCAGAAGAAGGCATTGTTATCATAGGAGATGACAGCTCCATGCATATTACTGCTCCTGGAAGGCTTTCCAGTCAGCTAAGATGTGAAGCTGTAAAACAGTGATATTGATAATCCTGACTGCCCCGCTGTCTACACCTGGTTTCAAACCATATGGTGTCAGTACTAGGCTGGACTGCACCAGCAGTCCAGGCAGCAGTGGCACCCCAACTAGACATAGCTGTGTACCATGTCCTATTAGGAATGGAAGAACACCCTTTCTAACAGTGAAGGCTCGGGGTCTAGGGGTGCCCCAGGCCCCATGGCCTTATCTTGCATTAGGACTACAGGTTCCAAGACCTCTTGCAACTCTGCTGCTAAGGGACTTATACTTAGCGTACTCCACTGCTCTAAGTAGGTGCCCCACTTCGCTAAAGTGGATGTCTGTGCTGTCCCAGTCTGGGGGGGTCATTGCTCATGAACGCACCCATCCCACTATGGGGTAAGCCATCCACACGACTGTAACCCATCCAGCCACGCTCTTATGAACCTGAAGGGCAGCATATATGGTTACTAACTGCTTCTTTATTAATGAACACTGGGGCTCAGCTCCCTTCCATAGCTGGGACTAAAAGCTGACTGGCGCTTCCAAGCACTCCATATACTGCCATAGGCCCTAGCCAACTCTATTGGTGGTTACATGCACATCTAGTTTAAATGGGCACCCTGGTTAACCACCCAGAGGGCTTATGTCATCAGAAGGGCTGTTTCAGCCTCATCATCCCAATCCCAGGCAAGAGGGGTGTTGTGGCCTCCAAACCAGCAAAAGAACTAGAGGTTAACATAACATCATTAATAAGAAAATGATATATAATGGGGCTATACATATAGCCCTGCAGCAACACTATGAAAGTCCATTGTCGCCCTCCCATGAAGGCAAACTGTTCCTGGCTCTCTGGAGCAATGCTGATTGAGAAGAATGCATTGGTCAAGTCCACCACACAGTGGCACCATCCCAGTTCTGTTGTCAAACGGTCCATCAAGTCCATGACAGGTGGCACAGCTGCCAAGTCTTGCAAAACATCCACCCCCAAGAATGTCCTCAGGCATGCAAGAGACATACACAGTGCATAAGTGGAGAGCCAAGCAGCTGATGCCCAGGTGCAAAGACACAGGTTTCACTTTCACTGACCAGCTTTCATAGCTGTCTATGCAGCCTTCCCTGGAAACTTATCCGGGTCCAGGGACCAGTGGATTGCCAAGTCCATATATGGCCTTTGGTTGTCTGGTATCCCCTACCAAGCCGGGCACCTTGGCCAGTTCTCTTATCAAACAGAAAATGCTTTATACTTCCACCAACTGCAGCAGGTACTCTTTGAACTGGAACACTCTGGCAGGACCAGGTTGCGCAGCAACATCCTTCTCCCAAATGACTTGCACCAAGTCTGTACAAGAGTGCCAACATTACTTGCTTAACTCCTACAACTTAGCAGGGGCACAGACAACATAGGAAGTGTGCTCCACCACAGTAGGGGGTCTCTGGCCCACCCTTGGGGCCCAACAGCTGCTCATGCTCTATTTTCTGGCAGACCATTGGGTGAACCTGTAACGGAGGTTCTTCCTCCCTGTGTGCATCCCTCAGGGACTGGGCAGGCACTTCCTGCAGCAAAGTCACAAACATCCATCTGACTGGCGGTAAAAGCATGCTGCATCTCAGTGCTGTGCATTTCCAGGTGCTTCAGCGCCTTCTCCACACTTGCGGGGGACCCATCCACTGCCTCCCATGTTTCCACTGAAGCCCATCCTCGCAGCACAGCTGCCACTGGCTACCACAGCCCATGCTGCAGCCACATAGCCAACCCAGGAACCCTCAGGGGCTGAAGACCTACTCACCTCATCCCATTCTCATTGCCAGTTGTTAGGTTTAGGGTTCGGGTCCAGCCCATGCTGAGGTACAAGGGAGTGGGTCCCTGGGCAAATAGATAACAGAACACTTGTGGGGGACGTAGGCAGGTGAAAGATGATTTTGTTCAGCAGCAGCTCTCATCATCAGCTTACTCACATAGCTCACTTACACCAGGTCTCTCACACTGTCCACCCTGTCTCGGCTGCTTGAGCCAGCTGCTCCCACACACAGCTGCAGGGCTGGCTCTTCCTTGCCTTCAGAGTTAGCAGCTTAACTCTTTCTCTCTATGGGCACGAGCTGGTTCCCGGCTCCCCCTGCCCATCTGCCAGTTGGTCATTCTTCCTTACAGGGGCCAGTAGCTTCACTCTCTCTCTGGGCAGCAGCGCCTGCACAAGAGCCATGTCAAGCTAAGCCCTATGCACAGTGTCAGCAGGACAATTATACCTTTTACAGACAATAGTGGCTCAGAGCCAAGTATGAACTTACACAAACAGGTTATATAACAAGTGGAGGTGTGTGCCTGCACGCCAAACTTGCTGAGTCATGCAAGCCTGGATGTCCACCTTGGCCTATTCCTTGACCCAAACACATCCATGTACCTTACAGAAGATGTCATCAACAAACCAGAGGCGGAGATGTCACTACAAGATTTGCAGCTCCATTACTTCAAAATGCACGATTATGATGGCAATTATTTGCTTGATGGTTTAGAAATCTCCACAGCCATCACTCATATCTATAAGGAGAAAGGGAGTGAACAGGCACCACTAATGAGTGAAGATGAGCTGATTAACATAAGAGATGGTGTTTTGAGAGATGATGACAAGAACAATGATGGATACATTGACTATGCTGAATTTGCAAAATCACTGCAGTAGATGTTATTTGTTCATCTCTTGGTTATATGCAAATGTGACCTGGGATAATGTGATTGAATACTTTGATAATGCAAATTAACTCATTTCTAACTACTGCTGCAGCATTTTGGTAAAAACCTGTAGCAGTTTGTTACACTGGGGTGAGAAGGGATCAAGAGAAATGAAAGAGAGGAGAAATGGGACATCTAATAGTCCCTAAGCACTATTAAATACCTTATTGGACAAGGGCTTGCTTTTTAAAGCATCCTTTCAAGAATATTGAATAATTGGAGCTGAGAACTCAGGAGCTTCACTGTAGTAGAATACTGCTAGTTTCTTAATTTTAATTCATGTTACCTTAAAAGTAAAACAACAGGCTTTGCCAATTGGACGTTTTTCAGTAACAGTGAAGGAGTGGAGTGAATGCCAAATATTTGCCCTGGTGGTTCCTATCTCTTCAGTTAAACATGGTCAGTATTCTCTAAAGTTCCCCTGTCCTAAAAGACTACTTGCTCTGGGCAAATGGATATTTATTAGACTATTTCAAAGACACAGCATAAGAAGAATATCAAATATTGAGTTCAGCCTAGCCACAGAGTCTAAGATTCTGTATCCTCCAGCCCTCTAGCATTTTGGAAATGATACACTGCTAGCTTAAGTGATTAATCTTTTTCAGATTTTCAGTATTTTATACAACTTACTGCCATATCCTTATACTTTATTACTTTTCTGTCGTCTTCAACCTGGGAGAGATCTTGAATTTAAATGTTTTCTAATCAATAGTATTTTAGCTTTCTTTATATTTCTATTTCACTCTTGTTTCTAGGGTTTCCTTTTTTGCAGTTTAGGAACTTTTAGGAATGTCAGGACTTTATCAGCAGGGGTAAAACTACCAACTAGCCTAGCCTAAGTAGGAAGTGAAAAGATAATTCACCAAACAATGATTAACCTGATAGAAGTTCTATTCAGGAGGAATATTGTTTAAATTACCTCTTTTAGCCTGAATACATGGATTCTTTTCAAATCAGGAAAGATTAGAAAAGGAACCCTAAAAATCTTTTAACAGTGTGAATCTTAATAGTATGTGAAAATGAGAAGAAGTAACAGATGGTAATTTGGTTTATTGGATGTGATGGACATGCTGAAAGGATGATCGAATGGGAAAAAGAGACTGCATAAAATTTGCTATAAGATAGATAGAGACTTATTTTCTTTCTTAAAGTATTCTTATAAGAAAACATGGCTGAGCGCAGGTGGCTCATGCCTGTAATCCCAGCGCTTTGGGAGGCCGAGGCGGGCGGATCACAAGGTGAGGAGATCGAGACCATCCTGGCTAACATGGTGAAACCCTGTCTCTACTAAAAATACAAAAAATTAGCCGGGCGTGGTGGCGGGCGCCTGTAGACCCAGCTACTCAGGAGGCTGAGGCAGGAGAATGGCATGAACCTGGGAGGTGGAGCTTGCAGTGAGCCGAGATCGCACCACTGCACTCCAGCCTGGGCGACAGAGTGAGACTCCGTCTCAAAAAAAAAAAAAAAAAAAAAAACACAAAACAAACGAACAAACAAAAAATATATATATTTGTAAAAATGACCAAGTGTCAAGTATTTGTACAGTCAGAGCTAACTTGTAAACTATTCTTGTAATATCTCATTATTCTGAAAGATTTATGTAATGAATTCTGGATATATGACCAATAAAAATGATGAAACAAAAAAAAAGTTATAGTAAGTTAAGATTAATTATTGAAGAAAAATACGTTAAAAATAAATTTAGTGCAGCCTAATGTACAGTGTTTATAAAGTCTACAGTAGTGTAGTCTTCATGAGATGAACTATAATATCCTAGGCCTTCATATTCACTCACTACTCATTCACTGATACCTAGAGCAACTTCCAGTCCTATAAGCTCTATTCACAGGAAGTGCCCCATATATGTGTGCCATTTTAAAATGTTTTATACTGAATTTTTACTATACCTTTTCTATGTTTAGATATATTATGATACACAAATATTTACCATTGTATTACAATTGCCTCTAGTATTCAGTACAGTAACGTGATGTACAGGTTTGTAGCCTAGAAGAAAGAGACTATGCCATATAGTCTAGGTGTGTAGTTGGCTATACCATGTAGGTTTGTGAAAGTATACTCTATGATGTTACAAGGACAAAATTACCTAATGATGCACTTTTCAGAACATACTGCTTTCATTAAGTGACATGACTGTAATTTAATTCACCACATTATGGGAAGAGGAAATTAAAATATACAGATGTTGAATGACTTACACAGGGACCAGGATTTTACTCCAGTTCTGCCGACTCCAGTACTGGATCTCTTAAGCTGGATCCTAGCAGATCTGAGAAAGAAAGGGAACTGTGTAAGGAAAGTCAGAGAGGTGGGAAAATGTTCTCAGTTTAAGTAGGTGAACTGACTTGCTTATGGCAGAGGGTTCGTTGAAAAGAAATTGGTGATTTGGAATTTCATAGCTACATGATGGCAGCCTTTAGTATTAGGTTGCATTTGGATTTCATCTTTTAAGCAATAAAGGAATTATGGGAGGTTCTTTTTTTAGACAGAGCCTTTCTCTGTCACCCAGGCTGGAGTGCAGTGGTGCGATCTCAGCTCACTGCAACCTCCCCTTCCCGGGTTCAAGTGATTCTCCCTCCTCAGCTTCCCGAGTAGCTGAGACCACAGGTGCGCACCACCACGCCCGGCTAATTTTTGTATTTTTAGTAGAGACGGGGTTTCAGCATGTTGCCCAGGCTGGTCTCAAACTCCTGACCTCAGGTGATCCACCTGCCTTGGCCTCCCAAATTGTCGGGATTACAGGCATGAGCCACTGCCCCCAGCTATGGGAGGTTTTTGATCATGGTGGTTAAGTCTGGCTTGAGGGTGAAGATTAATCTGGTAGAAGAGACTGTATGGTTCAGAAATGAGAGATGGTAGGCAGAAACTAGGTGGGAAGCTGGGGTTCTTAAAACAGCGGTATTGGGAAACAGAAGTGGACAGATGAGGAAACTGGTGTCTTTGTGCTACTACAACAAAAACTTGTGTGGAGTAATTTATAAAGAAATTTTTTTCTCACAGTTCTGGGGGCTAGAAGTCCAATGTCAAGGCACCAGACCGGTTGGTATTTGGAGAGGGCTTCTGTGTGCTTTCAAGATGGTGCCTTGTTGCACAACCTCCAGAGGGGACAAATGCTATATGGCCTCACATAGGGGAAGTGACGGAAGGGCAAAAGAGGCTTAAAACTCCAGGCCTTTTATGAGGCACTAACCATTCATGAGGAATGAGTTCTCATGATTTAATCACTTCCCAAAGACCCCACCTCCTACACCACCACAATGGGGATTAAGTTTCAATATACGAATTTTGGGGATGTTCCGAAAGCAAACAGAAAAAGAAAGATCCAGTGAAACTGGTGACTAGATACGGGCAAGGGACCAGTGGCTACATTCCTTAAAGTGGTATTGTTACTTAACTTACATGTAAGCTATTAGGGTGTGCAGAGGGGGATTTCTGACATATACTCAGCAGTCATGAACACAAAGCATAATGTAGGTTGAATGTCTGATGAAAATAGCCTATATCTTTAATACAAAGTCAATAAGTAGAACCAGAAACTTTGGGGTTTGCAGTGAGGAAGTCCGGATAGAAGGCCCGAGGGTAACAGTGATCCAGAGAAGTCAGACCTATTTTGAGAAGAAATTAAGGGTCTTTTAATGTGGCCCAAATTACTGTGACTTGGCTCTCACATTTAAGTAGAACATCTTCAAAATAATCTCCTGTTTTACAAGGAGGCTATATCTAGGTGCTTGGCATGGGCCCTTACTTTTCTGTCAGCCAGCAGGTGGAGGAAGAGAAAGGCCCCTGTGGAGGCCAGCCGCCCTCCCTCCTCACTTGCCCAGGGCCCCTAGCCCATCCCTTGGTGGGAATCCCAGTAGGTGAGGAGGGGCATGACAGCTAATACTGCGGGGTGGATGAGGAGCCTCTGGGCACTACTCTCTGGACGTGCTCCTGGCCCGTCACGCCCCCAGTAGGCTGGCTGGGACCACCGCAACATGGTGGCTGTGGGCACTCCTAGAAGATGAGGGCCGGCAACTGCCACAAACTCCATTTGACAGCTTTTGGGTGGAGCCGTGGGTGTTGGGTGGGGCGGTATTTAAAATAAGATCAGCCAAGAGCAAGAAGAGCTTGGTGTCCTGGAACTGGCCAGCATCTCCTAGGAAACATAGTCTGCGAGGTTGCACGCTCAGGGCCACACGGTTCCACAGTTGGTAGGAGTTGCCCCAGGCCACCATCAGCGAGGTGAAGCAAATGCTCAGAGCAGAGAGCTGGGCCAGTTGGGTCAGCACGCCTTCCCTACTGTCAGGAGCAGTGTAGGGTTAGAGACAACCAGGTCCATGCATGTGTGTCTTTCCACAATGTCAGGCTTTTACTAATGCTATTCCAGTCACAAAAGTCATGAGCTACATGCAGTTCCCAAGGTGGCAATTCTCCTTAGTACTTCCCCTTCACTCTGTAGTCAGAGCTATGGGCACACAGGCATAAGCCACTCCATAAGTCAGTAAATATTGTAAATATTGACGAAAAGAGTCAAACTCTAAAATATTTGAAGAGATTTATCCTAAGCCAAATATGAGTGACCATGGCCTGTGACACAGCCCCAGGACATCCTAAGAACATGTGCCCATAGCTTGGCTTTATACGTTTTAGAAAGACATAAGACATCAATCAATACATGAAAGATGTACATTGGTTTGGTTGGGAAAGGCAGGGGCTTCCAGGTCATACATGGTGAGAGAATCACTTGAGCCCAGAAGTTTGAGGCTTCAGTGAGCTATGTTTATGCCACTGTACTCCAGTCTGAGTGACAGAGCAAGACCCTGTCTCTGAAAATAAATAAATAAAAATTATATGGCAAAGGATATGAAGGAGATAGAAAGTATAATCATAGGATAATAAGATTTAAGAGGCTAGGCGTGGTGGCTCATGCCTGTAATCCCAGCACTTTGGGAGGCCGAGGCAGGCAGATCACCTGAAGTTGGGAGTTCGAGACCATCCTGACCAACATGGAGAAACCCTGTCTCTACTATGGAGAAACCCTGTCTCTACTAAAAATACAAAATTAGCCAGGCGTGGTGGCACATGCCTGTAATCCCAGCTACTCAGGAGGCTGAGGCAGGAGAATCACTTGAACCTGGGAGGTGGAGGTTGTCGTGAGCCAGAGATCGTGCCATTGCACTCCAGCCTGGGCAACAAGAGTGAAACTCTGTCTCAAAGAAAGAAAGAAAAAAAAACAGATTTAAGAAAATGAGTTTGAGGGAACTCAAGACAGTTAAATCCATACCTTTTATGGTTTGGGGAAAAGCTTTAATTTTTATCTCAGATTATAAAACCAGTCAAATTCATTTTAATATTCTCTCAGAAATATTTAAATTGATAAAACATAATGTTCACTCATTTTTAATTATGACAAATTTAAAACATACACAAAATTAGAGAGACTAGTAAAATGGACTCCTCTATGCTCATTGTTCAGGTTTAACAGCTATCAAAATTTTGCCACATTTGTTTTATTTGTCCCTTTTTTCTTCATTTTATTCTTTTGATATTTTAAATAAAACTGAGACATCATGTAGTTTCATTCCTACATATTTCATTATGCATTTCTAAAAACCATGGACAATTTCTTACCTAACCAAAATGCTACTATCATACTTAACAAAATTAACAGTAATTCCTGGTATACCCTTCATTTTGTAAATAAAACATAACTTGACTTACATCTTCTGTTTGGGAAATTTGGAAGAAACAAAGGTAGCCCTGGGTCTGGATGTGGATCCATGCTAAGTTTAGGGTTTGAAACTGGACCTTTCTTCCATTTGACTCTCACCTTTTCTATTCAGATCCTGGAGTAGAACTGCATTAGCTGAACTCAATGGATCCTTCAGAGCATTGGCTTCCTGCTGGGGAGCTGGAGATTTGAGATCTCAAGAACTACTTTCTAATAATCTTGTTCACTATGCATCTTCTCTGATAAGCCTGGTGCCATCATTGATAATTTCCTCACAACTTCATAGTCTAAAATTACTCATTGAACAATGAACATGTGGAAACCAAAATTAAAAATATCTAAACCATCAGCAAATCCTGTTGGCTTTACTTCAAAATTGTTCTAGAATCAAACCATTTGCCACCATTTTCACCCTGAACTAAGCTGCTACCATATCTCTGCTAGACTATTGCCTAACTTATCTCTTTGTTTTCATCCTTGTCCCTTTTAACCACCCCCATCGCTCATACAGCCTATTTTCAACACAGTAGCCAGAAGAATCCTTTTTAATTGTTCGTTAAATCATGCTGCTCCTACTCAGAATCTTCCGGTAGCTTTTCCTCTCACTCATAGTAAAAGCCAAAGTCCTTACGGTGACCTACAAGGCCCCACATAGTGTGGTCCTTCATGACCTCTTGAGTCTAATCTCCTATTGCTCTATTCTCTTTCACTTTACTCTAGCCACACTGGCCTCTTTGTTATTCTTAAACATACCAGGCCACTCTTGCCACAGAACTTTCACATACGCTATTCCTTCTGCTTGCAGGGCTTTTGCTCAGATATCCAGATGGCTCTTTCTTTCTCTCACCTTCTATGACACCTTTTTAATAAGCTGTTTCTTGTTACCCTATTTAAAATTATGATACATATCCCATTGGTGTTTTGTATCCTATCTTGCTTTATTTTTCTTCATAGTATATACTCTATACTTTTTAAAGATTTTATTATCTCCCCCTTCAGTGAGACACAAGTGAGAGTTCCCCAAAAGCAGGAAGGGAGGTTAGCAAACAATAGTGTTATCTAAATGCAACTTTAAATGATCTCTCCTGGCCTTTACCCTTTGGAAGTGAGTAAGGTACAGGAAAATTACCTAAAACACCCATGGGCTCACGCCTCATGATAGTATGTGACCCTGGGCAAATCATTTAATCTCTTTGAGGCTGTTTCCTAAAATGTAAAATGTTGTTAAAAGTATCTTCCCTTCCTACCTCACAGGGATATTTTGAGAGGAATATGAAATGACAGGAAAAGTCTGTAATGAGCAGTAACCATCTGTAATGAGTATACAATGGGCTGGTTGTAATCTCAGGCTATTGATGAGCTGGCTATAACTCAGTGGGGGCTGTTGGTGGGCTGAGCTACTCTACAGTTGGTTCAGGAAGCCCAAAGAGAAAAGGACTCTTACATAAGTCCTGAGTCAGACATCAACTTTATGCTTCTAATGAGTAATCGTTGCTTAGAAAGGTTATATGATACTCTATTTTTCTCTATCTTGGTTTTCAGCTAGCCACATTTTAGTAAAAAAAAAATTATCAAAGAAAAATTTTAATGTAGAAAACCTTCTGTAATTATATTTCTGTTACTGGAAAAGACTGACACTGTTGGAACTTTCAAGAAAAAAATGCTTTTCTCTAACTTTAGGAACTTCAGTGTTCTAAGGACATGAGTTTGAGAATTATTGGTATAAGAGTTTAGTATATGAGGAGAGGAGGTTTTTCTTGGATGCAATAAGGAATTAAAGAGACTGACTGTAACATGGAGTTAGTCTCAGGTTGCCAAGGTCTACCATATACTTTATGTTTTGGAACGTTTCTTACCTCAGAAATCCCATTACTTCCTTTGAAATACAGGGACTAAAAAGCTGTTCCAGGCTTCTCTTATCATGTAAAATGAGTCAAGACATTATAGCGGTTGAAAAAGTGGGCTCTGAAGTTGGAATCCTGGTTCTGTCATATATTGGCAGTGTGACCTCAGGCAAGTTATTTAATCTTTCTGTGTCTGTACTAGTTTGCTAGGGCTGCCATAACAAAGTACCACAAACTGGGTGGCTTAAACAACAGAAATGTATTGTCTCACAGTTCTGGAAACTAGAAGTCCCTAATGAAGGTGCCATTAGGGATGCTTCCTGCTGATGGCTCTGAGGGAGAATCTGTTCCAGACCTCTCTCCTAGTTTCTGGTAGTGTCAGTCATTATTTTGCTTGTAGATGGCATTCTCCCCGTATCTTCACATTATCTTGCCTCTTTACTTGTCTCTTTCTGTGTCCAAATTTTCCCTTTTAAAGGATGAGTCATACTGGATTAGGGCCCATCCTAATGACCTCATCTTAACCTGATTATCTGCAAAGTCTATTTTCACCATCTTTTGGGGAGGACACAATAAAACATATAACAGTGTCCTAGTTTCCTTGTCTATAAAATGAGAATGGTGATGGCTGCCTGATAGGACTATCGTGAGAGAATTTTGAGTTAAGAGATGGCATATGTTTAGAATAATTTCTAGTCTATAACAATTACCCAAAAGGATAGAGGGTAAGGTTTACTTATGTAGACTTGGGAAAATGAATAAACCTAAATTGAAAGGCAGATCATCTAGCATGGATATCTGTTACCAGGGCAGATTTGGCTCATCATGCTTCCTAGTCCTTTCTATCTTCTGTGGAACAAGCCTACTGCCCACTTCTCTGGTATCATGACAATATCCTAACAACCATGAGAAGGACTTGCCTTTAGTTTCGGGTATGAGGATAAGTATACGTCTCTGTTTGAATCTCTCCTCCCCTTATTTTTCCCAATCATGGGACAATATTCAAAAGGCATCAGGTCCTTCAAATATCATTGGGTATTTTAGGAGAGCTGAGTGTCAGCCTTTGCCAGTCATTCCCAGGGTGACCCTAGACAACTCTTTCTCTTATTTGGATCTCACTGACCCCTGCTATAAGAGTTTCATTATTCACATTTACATAGCACTTTGGAATTTTTAAAGTAATTTTGTTATGAATTTGTCTTATTTAAGCCTCACAGCATCCTATTGCAGTAGGGTTATTATCATTCCATTTTATAATAATATTGAGGTTTAGAGAGATGATTTAGTTGAACAAGATGACACAGATAGAAAAATCCCAAATTATCAAAATCTAGTCCCTTGACTCTTGAGTAGAGTGCTTTTTGCATTATCCTGCTGTGTCTGAGGGTTACTTTGTCTTCTCATTTGCCTAAGACTGAACTAGTGGAACATCCCCTTGTTAGAATGGGAAGACCAATCCCCCAGGCATTTAGTCCATGCCTATCCCAATTCTGGGGGTCATGAAAGAGTTAAGGCAGTATAGCAAAAAGAAAAAAACACTTCCAAAATGCTTTGAAAAATAAGTATTTTCTAGTTTCAAAGTGACTCTAAGAGGAAATTACTGCACATTGCAAAGCAAAAATGTCAAAAAATATATTTTTTCACACCTCTTTCTGATTTTGATCCCCATTTTTCCTATCTCCTTCCTAAACTCTTTATCAAAACCCTATTTCAGCCTAATTTTTCATTTGCTTGCTCGTTCCCTTTCTCTCTAGACAATTCTGGTTTTTTTTTTTCCTCAATCCTTTCAGGGTTCCAGGGATGTTGGACTTTTATCCCCCATTTTCTGAATTCCCATGTCTCATGAGACTGCCTCCCAAACTGGTGTTGGACAGAGGAGGGAGACTGGCTTTCCACTTCTTTTTCTGACCTTGGCTCAGAACTTTGAGAAATCCTGGAGAAGAGTCCAGGACAGCCTCTGCTTGCCAAACTATATAATCATGCACACATCCTTTCTTTTCTGGTTCTCAATTTGCCCATGTGTAAATAAAGAGATTGGATGGACTTCATTGCTTGAGGCCGATTCTGATTCTGAGAGTCTAAGCAGGACAACTTCCTCCAGACAAGCAGGGCTTTAATGGTGAAGTGAGAAAATGCTCATAAGAATATTGTTAAATAGAAAACCTGAACACTAAACTATGTATGTAGTATAATTTCAGCTATGTAAAACAAAATAATTTACTAATTCAACTTATATGTACTGAGCACTCCACAATCTACAACCTTTTCATTTTGCTTCATGTTGACACTATAGGAGATGCCTCACTAGTGTCATATGGACAGGGGCTGACCAACTAAACCAAGTTTCGTGGGCTGTGAACCTCAGCCCCGTAGGTCCAGAAACTGGGTATTTTTCAGGGCACTGATGTTACAGAGTCTCTTGGGGACAACTCACAATAGCAAACCTCACAAAAGACAGTTCCTAAATATATTTTGCTGAATGCTAATGGAGGCTGTATCTTTCCAGTGAAATAATTCATGGGTTCCATGTTTTAAGGTGTCAGAGAGAAGACTGCTTGTTGATCCTTGAGTCAGAGGCCAGGGAAAAGGTAGTCATGAGGGAGAGCCTATTCAGGCCACAGGGGCATGTTTATGTGTCCCCGTGCCATAACACAGTGCACGTTGCTAGTGACTAATATGCTCCTGGGTGGACTCCACATCTCTCCAGCCCTGGATAGGACCTGGCAGATCCCAGTCCTTGAGTTCCAGGGTTTTTGGCTCCATGATGACCATCTCCATTTGTTTAATATATTTTGTCCTGAGATTGGCACATTCAACTTTTCATTTTTATTTCAATTCATTGATTAGGTAAATTTGTATTCGACTTACAGTATGTATTTGTGCCTGTTTTCCTCCATACTTGTTCACATTTGATATTGACAATAATTTTAATTTTTTCTGCCTAATAGGGAAAATGGTATTTCATTGTAATTTTAACTTGCATTTTTCTGACCCTAGGGAGTTGCACATCATGGTATAAATTTACTGCAGATTTTTTTCTTTTCTGAATTTTAATTTATATTTTGTATTCTTTTTGCTATTTGGTTATGTGCCTTTTTAAAATTGATTTATAAACATTACTTATATAGTCTGGGTATTATGCCTTTATTTGCTCCACATTCTCTTCACAGTCTGTAATATATGCTTTAATTTGGCTTCTGTCATTTTGTATACAAAGGTGCTAAATTTTAATGTAGTCATGAGTGTTTTCAACTTTTAATTCATGAGTATTTTTATTTTTTTTGGTCTCATGGTGTCTTCCCTACCCCAAAAATGTAAATCTAGTGTCCTATATTTTAAAATATATTTTAAGTTTGTTTCTTCACACTTAGAACCTTTAATCCATCTGATATTTATCTTGTTAATTGAGTAAGGCGATGAACTTTTTTTTCTATATTCACGGCTAATTTTTCCAACCACTTTTTAAATTTTAATTTTAGTATATATTTATTTATTTTGAGACAGTCTCACTCTGCTCTGTTGCCCAGGCTGTAGTGCAGTGGCACAATCTCGGCTCACTGCAACCTCTGCCTCCCAGAGGTTCAAGCTATTCTCCTGTCTCAGCCTCCCAATTAGCTGGGATTACAGGCCTGCACTACCACCTTGGCGAATTTCTTTCTATTTTTCAGTAGAGACAGGGTTTCGCCATATTGGCCAGGCTGGTTTCAAACTCCTGACCTCAAGTGATCCACCCACCTTGGACTCCCAAAGTGCTGGGATTACAGGTGTGAGCCACCACACCCAGAGTTGCCTACCACTTTTTTAGAGATATTCATTATCTTCCTAAGATTTGAAGATCCTAATTCAGACCTTGTTTTGTGATTCTGTATACTTTCCCTGCAGGGTACATATCTATTTTCAATATTCAGATAGATAGATAGATAGATAGATAGATAGATAGATAGATAGATAGATTCATAAATAGATAGATAGATGATGTCTAAAGCTTTCTTAAGCCCAGGCTAGTATCTCCATACCTTCAACAGTGAAACCCAAAATCCTTGATTTATCAGTGACTCATCTCTTCTCATGCTCCACAACAATCTTACAGCAAATCCACTAAAATATATGTAAAATCTGACCACTTCTCACCACTTCCATTATGACTACCTCTGTCTGGGCCACTGTTATCTCTCACCTGGATTCCTGCACTGCATTTCTCCCAGCTTTCTCACTTCCCCTCGTGCCCCTCCACAGTCTCATCTCAGCTAGCAGCCAGAAAACTCCTGCTAAAACTGAGTCCGATTGTGTCACTTCTTTGTCCCAAAGCCTGCACTGGCTCCACATCTCACTTGGCTATGCTCACTCCTTGGGTCCCGAAGCCACTATTCCCTTTGTCTGGAATCCTTTTCCCTTTCACATGTGCATGGACAAATGCTTTATTGCCTGTCAATCTTTGCTCAAATAGCATTTTCTCAAGAAGCCTACACTGCAATTGCAACCCTGGTTACTCTCCACAACCAGTCTTGATACTCTACATATTTTCCATAGCATTTATTGCCCTCTAAATTACTAAGTATCCGATAAATGCTTCTATGGATTATAATATTCCCAGGTACCCAACAAACATTTGTTTAATGAATGAAGCAACCACTACTAAATACTTCCTTTTGTTTCTCAGGCATTTCACATTCAGCCTGTTCAAAATTCATTAGTTTTTCCCCAAAACTGTCTATTCCTCTATGCTAGGTGGCTAAGAGTCAGTTTCTTTCAACTCCCCCTTACTCTCACCATGACAGTCTTCTCTGGCCACAACTGTGCAGTCTGTGAGCACCAAGCCCTGCTCCTTAATCCCTCCTCTCCCTACTGTCTCTCCATGCCCAATGTTAGCTACCCTGGTTGAAAGGCACATCATTAATAGTTGCTGGTGTCTGTGAAGAATGTCCCGCCACACCATATGTCCTCAGGGGAATATAAATTAAAATAATAATGAGATACCATCATACATCTATGAGAATGGCCCAAATCCTGAACACTGACATCACCAAATGCTGATGAAGGATGTGGACAAATAGGAGCTGTCATTCATTGCCGGTAGAGATGCAACATGGTACAGCCACTGTGGAAGACAGGTCAGTGGTTTCTTATAAAACTAAACATACTATACAATTCAGCAATCGCACTCATTGGCATCAATACAAAGGAGCAGCTTTATTCACAATTACAAAAACATGGAAGTAACCAGTATTTCCTTCAGTAGGTGAATGTATAAACAGCAGTACATCCAGACAATGGAAGATTATTCAGTGCTAAAAAGAAATGAGCTATCAAACAATGAAAAAACATGGAGACAACTTAAGTGCATATAAATATGTGAAAGAAGCTAATCTGAAAAGACTGCATACTGTATGGTTCTAACTATATGACATTCTAGAAAAGGCAAAAACAGACAGTAAAAAGATCAGTGGTTACTAGGAGTTAATGAGGAGGGAGGGATTAACTGGTGAAGCACAGAGGATTTTTAAGTCAGTGAAACTACTCTGTCCATACTCCAGTGGTGGATACATGCCACTATACATTTGTTCAAATCTGCAGAATGTACATCAAAAATAAATCCTAATCTCAACTATGGACTGTGAGTAGTAATATGTGTCAATATAAGTTCATGAATTGTAACAAATGTACCATTGAAGGAAGTTGATAATGGGAGAGGCTATGCCTTTCTGGGAGCAGCTGGTATATGGAACATATCTATACCTTCCACAGTTTTTTCATGAACCTAAAACTGCTATAAAAAATAAAGTCTATATTTATCCAATCTTAGGACCAAAAAGAAAAAAGAGATGAATTAATTAATCAAGGCAATAATCATCAAGGGATGACAGCATAACCATTACATACCTCCCAATATTAGTATATGACACCACCTATGAAGTATCTGTCCACGTACAGATATATGACGCTAATCAAGCCCCTTGAATTTATTAATTTATAGGAAACATGAACAAAGATATATGTTAAATGACATTGGAGGAATATAACTAACAAAATACAGTACAGCTATAGGAAACTATATGACAACCCAGCTAATTCAACAAAAAACTGAAAGATGGAGTTTGGTGATTGCGTGGTCCCCTTGAACCGTCCGAGGCAACTATGCATTTTCTCTAGAAATTCAGAGAGCAGGCCTGGTGTGGTAGCTCACGCCTGTAAATCCTGGCACTTTGGAAGGCTGAGCGGGAAGTGATCGCTTGAGCCCAGGAATTTGAGACCAGCATGGGCAACACAGGGAGACCCTGTCTCTACAAAATATTTACAAACTTAGCCAGGCTTGGTGGCACATGCCTGTGGTCCCAGCTACTCAGGAAGCTGAGGTGGGAGGATCGATTGAGCCCAGGAACTTGGTGGCACATGCCTGTGGTCCCAGCTACTGGGAAAGTTGAGGTGGGAGGATCGCTTGAGCCTAGGAGGTCGAGGCTGCAGTGAGCCATGGCTGTGGCACTACACCCTAGCCTGTGCAACAGGACGAGGCCGTACCTCAAAAAAAAAAAGAAAGAAAGAAAGAAAGAAAGAAAGAAAGAAAGAAAGAAAGAAAGAAAGAAAGAAAGAAAGAAAGAAAAGAAAAGAAATTCAGAGACCACACTGGCACATACAGCAGAGTCTAACGACAAATGGTCTGGACGACCTGATGTTGGGGGTGACTGTATAGATTCCACACATTCCACTAATACCCCAGCCTGAAGCAACAGAGATGTTCCTTTTCGATGCTCTTTTCAAGGATTCTGAGATGTCTGTTTTTCGCTTTTTTGCCCTTTGAAGATTGATTTCTTCTTCCCTTTAACCTTATCTTTCTGTAATCCATATCCTTCTGTGAGGCTTGGAAACAAAACGACAAAAAAAAAATCTACCACTCACCACCTCTTTGATAATTATGGAGGATTTTGCCGTTTTACCTTAATCCTAATCTTCCCTGGTAAAGCAATCAGAAATGGCTTCAATACCAGCAGTTTTTGGATATGTTCCTCATGTGATTCTCCTGTTTCCCAAAATCTCAAGCTGGAAAAGCTCTAGGTCAGGTCTGTTTTTCCTGGAAAAGATTCCTGTTTCCCAGAGGCAAATCAGCACTATGAACGCCATACAGTTACTATCTGTTCCCCGCAGTATCGCCCAAACCCGATACACTGAGCTGCACTTTTCCCCATTGTCAAACAAGGGCTCCAAACCTAGTTTCAGAGTCTGACACACAGGAACTTTCGTATACAGCACCCGGTTATACACAGCTTTCTCCCTCGTCCGCCGGATTCAGTGTCTGTCGTTATTGGGTTCATAATCGAGATCCTAGGTCCCGCATCCCCTTTAATAGCAGGCAAGGGCGCGCAGAGACTCAGGTCCCTTCTCCCAAAGTAGAAATGGCCTTGAAAAGAGGCTGAACTTCGGAAGTGGCCTCGGAGGGAGGCCTAGCAACCGCGTCCTCCTCTTTGCGCTGCCTCTTGGATGCTAGTCGCGTACGCGGCCTCAGTCTGCGAACTACAATTCCCAGAAATCTCCGAGCTGCTTATCGTCACAGTACCTTAGACTCAATTCCCCAGAAGTCTTAGGATTTCCACGCGCCTTAGAAACCCCGTGTGAGGTCATCGGCTTTCACCCTAAGAATCTAAAGGCTAGCTGGGTGGGTAAAGTGCTGTCTCTGTAGTGGGTCTCGTTTTGCGGGGATTGTCCAACAGGAATAGCTTCTTTTCATTTCTTTTTCTAACAAAGTGATAATTCAGAATGCTACCTTTGTCCTTTTTTTGTTAGATTTTATTCACATGTATTTTCCAAGCCTATTACATTCGTCTACATTTCTGATTTGTGGGCTGTGAGTTTGAAGAAAGATGAGCCACTAGATAAAGGTTTTCACTATCATTATAATAATTCAGCCCATCAAAGGCGGCTTGATCCTTCCCCCAACATTTTCCTTGCTAACCCCTCCCTTTCTCTGTTCTCAGCAATACGCACAAATACACACCCTGAAAAGCATAAAGGGATGAAAAGCCAAAAAAACAAAAAACAAAACACCGCTCAGATCATCCCTGGGCATGTTAGTATATACTTCCAGCCCTTTTACAATTTAGATATTTATATATCTATATACAAAGAAAGATTATGTGTATTAGGTTTATGCTTAACAAAAATGTTATAATTTATACTTAACAAAATGTTCACATATTCATTTTAAACTTTTTCCGATGTTAATATTCTTTTACAATGTAATTTTGAATTCTTATACCACGTATCAGCATTTCTTTGCAGGCTTTCTGTTTATTTGGAATCTCTAGCAAATGCTTGAGTCTGCTCTTGTTGAAACATTGTAAAATTATTTTATTAGTTGTTGTGTCTGGAAATGGTGGGTTCTTGGTCTCACTGACTTCAAGAATGAAGCCACGAACCCTCGCGGTGAGCGTTACAACTCCTAAAGTGGCACGCCTGGAGTTTGTTCCTTTTGATGTTTAGATGTGTTCAGTTTCTTCCTTCTGGTGGGTTCGTGGTCTCCCTGGCTCAGAAGTGAAGCTGCAGACCTTTGCGGTAAGTGTTAGAGCTCTTAAGGCACCGCGTCTGGAGTTGTTCGTTCTTCACGGTGAGGTCTCTGGTTTCAGGAATAACGCTGCAGACTTTTGTGATGACTTTTACAGCTCACAAAAGTAGTGTGAGCACAAAGAGTAAGCAGCAGCAAGATTTATTGCAAAGAGTAAAAGAACAAAGCTTCCACAGGGTACAAGGAAAGCCGACAGAGTTGCCACTGCTGGCCCCGCAGCCTGCTTTTATTCTCTTATCTGGCCCCACCCACATCCTGCTGATTGGTAGAGCCGAGTGGTCTGTTTTGACAGGGCGCTGATTGGTGCGTTTATAATCCCTGAGCTAGACACAAAGGTTCTCCACCTCCCCACCAGATTAGTTAGATACAGAGTATGGACACAAAGGTTCTCCAAGGCCCCACCTGAGTAGCTAGATACAGAGTGTCGATTGGTGCATTCACAAACCCTGAGCTAGACACAGGGTGCTGATTGGTGTGTTTACAAACCTTGAGCCAGATACAGAGTGCCGATTGGTGTATTTACAATCCCTGAGCTAGACATAAAGGTTCTCCACGTCCCCACCAGATTCAGGAGCCCAGCTGGCTTCACCCAGTGGACCCCGCGCTGGGGCTGCAGGTGGAGCTGCCTGCCAGTCCCGCGCAGTGCGCCCACACTCCTCAGCCCTTGGGTCGTCGATGGGACTGGGCGCCGTGGAACAGGGGGTGGCGCTCGTCGGGGAGGCTCGGGCGGCACAGGAGCCCATGGAGGGGGTGGGAGGCTCAGGCATGGCGGGCTGCAGGTCCCGAGGCCTGCCCCGCGGGAAGGCAGCTAAGGCCGGGTGAGAAATCGAGCGCAGCACCGGTGGGCTAGCACTGCTGGGGGACCCAGTACACCCTCCGCAGCCGCTGGCCCAGGTGCCAAGCCCCTCATTGCCCGGGGCCGCCAGGGCCGGCCGGCTGCTCCGAGCGCGGGGCCCGCCAAGCCCACGCCCTCCCGGAACTCCAGCTGGCCCGCAAGCGCCGCGCGCAACCCTGGTTCCCGCTCGCGCCTCTCCCTCCACACCTCCCTGCAAGCTGAGGGAGCCGGCTCTGGCCTTTGCCAGCCCAGAAAGGGGCTCCCACAGTGCAGTGGTGGGCTGAAGGGCTCCCCAAGTGCCGCCAAAGTGGGAGCCCAGGCAGAGGAGGCGCCGAGAGCGAGCGAGGGCTGTGAGGACTGCCAGCACGCTGTCACCTCTCACTGTGACAATGACCTCATAGTTATGTTTAAAGGAAGAAAAAATCCTTACATGCTAACAAGTCAAATAGTAAAATGTCTGGAACTTTAAAATACTTCAGGAATAAATGAAAGTGGGAAGTAGGGGCAGGGACTGCTGAACAAGATTGGCAAAGTATTTATCATTGTTGATGTTAGTGAAGGATACACAGGAGTTCACCATACTGTTCTATTTTGTGTCTATTTGAAATTTTCTGCAATAAACTTAAAAAAAATGTATACCAGCATTCCTCTTAGAACAAGTGAAACCAGCTAATTCTTTCCTGCCTCACGTTCAGGTCGTTCTTGGTCACTGCTCAAATGAATTTTCACCTCCGCTGTCATCTTCTTACTACTCAGTGATTCTTTTCCCTGGGACCCATCCTCTTCCTAGTGTTTCCACAGTACCTCTGAAACTATATAAATCTTAACTCTTCCCAGAACACCGTTTCTATCTTCGGGCTGTCTCCCAGATCTCACTCTCTTCAGATACTGCTTCCTTATCAAGATCAGAGTTCTTATTTTCCTGAGTCCAAAGACTGTGGTGGTATCCCATAGATTGCCTCTACCAATTTCAAGCACACTGGTGTATTTCTACTACAGGTTTCTAAAACCACATCTCCTTTGAGGTACAAGGCACAATAAGGAACAAACCATCTGGCTCTTGTACCCCTTATCTCCCCTTGTCACCATCACCTATACAACTCCTAATCCCTCATACATACATCTAGCATACCTCTGTCATCTGGCTTATAGCCTTCCACTCTATCTCATGTCTCAGTTAATCCTGAGTGACATCAATGTGCCTGACAGAGTAGATGCCCAGTAAATATTGAATCAATCAATATCCACGTGTATGAATCATCCAGCAAACATTCGCTTTTTATTTGCATCCCTGGGATCTGGCAGGCAGGAATCCCCACGCCTGTGAGTGATGCAGCATCTGCGGCCTGTGCTTTTCTCCTCCCACTGGTGAATCTAATCCTTCTCTTTTTAATTCTTGTTCCAAAAGTCCTCCTCCTCCTCTGCCTTTAGAAGGTGCCTGCCATCTGCTCCCCACCCACAACCTTCTGTCCTTCACAGTGTTCACACCCACCACTTAGCTCCTATCCATCCCAACTGCCAGAGATACCATTTCTTTCTGCCTCCTGTGTGACTTTGCCCTCAAACTCTACAATTTTCAATCTCTCCTTTTCTAGTGACTTATTTCATTATCATTTTAAGCAGGTCTAGATAAGTCCCTACTATTTAAAAACATCTTCATTAAACCCACACGCTATTAGTCAGCAAGCTAATTCCTTTTAATACAGTCAGATTTCAGTTCCTTTGGACTATTACTATTTCCTTCATTCTCTTCCTTGCCATCCACTTATTCCATAGCCTCTTAAATTTGACCTATTTCTCTGAAACTCAATTATGTCCTATCTTAGGGAAAGGAAAATTAAAACTACACTGATAACATTTCACCAGTCAGATAGGCAAAGATTCCTGAATATGACAACATAGTCTTTGTCAAGACTGTGGAGAAAGAATTTCATGTGTTGATGGTAGGGGTAATAAGCCCATGAATATCTGGCAAACTTACAAATTTCTCTACAGAAACCTAAATGGCAAACAGCTAATGAAAAAGAATGAAGCAACTCTCTATATGAAAAGATTTCTAGAACGTATTATTGAGTGAAAAAGAGCCAGGTCTATAACACTCTATGTAAAAAAAAAAAAAAAAAAAACAATTAAAACAAGAAAGTGTATTTATATTTGCTTATGTCTTTACCAAAGCTCTGGAAGGATGAACAAAATAATTAAAGTGGTTACTTGGGGTTCTTAGACAGATGGAGAACGGGGTAGGAGTGACAAATTTTTCGTTTTTGTACTTTATGATTTTTGAACCACATGACTGTTCATATTTATTCAAAAACTTAACTTTTCTGAGAACTGCACTAACGCCTAGTTGGTAAAGCTATTCTTCCTGGTACAAATTCTAACTCAGTAGCATGCTATACCACCAATCCTTCCTTGGAATTTCCTCATCTAGCTTTTGAGGGCTTTACCCTCCTACTTCTCTGACTTACCTTACTTCTCATTCTTTGACTCTTCTGTTTCTTGAGTGCAGACATTTTCCAAAGTTCTGTCTTTAGCATCTTTCATCTGTCTCTCTCTAATCTCTTTCTGCTGCAACTTAAACCATTACCTCTGTGTACTAGGTCTACATCTCTGCACAGGGCCTTCCTCCTGAGCTCAAGACCCACATTTCCAGCTACTTCCTAGTTGTCTCCAGATCCATATCAGCATTCTGTTGGCACCACAAACTAATGTGTCCAAAAAGGAGCTAATCATCTTCAATCCAGCTTTTTCTATTGGCTACCACGTTTGGTGGTGTCACCTAACCAAAAGAGGGCATTTTGGTGGTCACAATAGCTGGGAGTGCCACTCAAATTTAGTGGGCAGAAGTCAATGATGATAAACATCCTAAAAAGTCTGGTAAATGCCAATAGGGTAATTACCTCACCATCTATACCAACCTCTTGGTTCAAAATCTGATGTCATTTACAACTCTTCTCTTTTTCTTACCCACATATTTAGTTGGTCATCAAGTCCCATAGATTCTATCTCTGAAATATCTCCTCCCCTTTGCTCCTGTCACTGACTTAATTCAAATATGAGCTCTCAGCTACAACTTTGTCAAAGCTTTCTAAACTGGCCTCTGCTTTGAATCTTCCTTTTCCTACTTTCACATTGCTGTCAGAGTTCTCTTCCCCCAAAACATCTGATCATGACCCTCTTCAATAAACAATATAACCCAAGCTCTAGCATGAAAGCCCAGTTTTTCATCTTTCTCTCCACTTCTAATCTGTGTGGGCAAAGCAGTTATTTCCACTGTCTCTTTACTCTCTTCTGGAAAGGGATGAAGTCATGAGAAATAACTGGTCCTACTCAGGATTTACTAGGATTCCCATGTAAAAAATCACCATGCACACGTTTATTGGAATCTCCCTTTCTTCCCTACAAAGATCAAGGTTCACCTCCTTCTGGGACTTAAAGATGGACCAAGGACATAGCATCCAGCGTCAATGAATAAAGGTCAAGTCTGGGACACAAGACATGTCTGCTGAATCTCTGTATCTATTCTCATCCGACCCAAACTCCACTGGTAAATGGAAGACACTCTTTCCTAAAACCTCCCTGACTCAAGAGACATTTGAGGAAACCAAATGCTAAGTAACTTACTAATTAGGTATGTGAAACTAAAATATGAGTTTCACCAACTGGCATGGTCTGGAAAAAGGCCGCAGGCTCAGGAAACCCACGTTTCTAGTTTCTGTGGTACTACTAACCAGTTATAACTAGTGATACGATATTACATAATGAGACCTGAGCCTCAGTTTTTCTCATCTGCAGAATTGGAGATAATACTCCAAGTCTTCCTGTGGGAATATGAGAAAATGAATAAAGTTATGATATACTGATAAGGCAAACACTCCCCCAACTTTCATTTAAGTCATAAAATCTGGCTAAGTGTTGGTGAGTGAGCAGGCTGTGTACTCCTTCCCGCCTCAGCAGCAGACACAAAGGGTCTCTTCTTCTCAAATTTCAGGAACTTCCTCACATAAGGGAGAACTTGCCGGGAAAGCCTGGACTGGATACTGGAAGAATAATATTAGCTAAGTCTGTGACCTCAGAAGCTAAGTCATAAAAGGTGTTGTGGTTTCCTCCTTGCTTTCTTTCTTGGTCACTTACACAGAATACCTCCATCCATTGGTTATTGTGGTTATGAATGCACACACTTATGTACATGAACCTACAGAAGTAATAGGGTTAGGATCTCTGTCTCCACAATTACACATTAGAGGTCACATTCTTTGCCTCTCTTCCTTTTGCGACAAACTTGCTTCTACTTTGTTGTATTCATCATATTGGCAAGAGCCTGGCAGTCATTAGAGAAGCAGCCTGGTCTAAAGCATTCTTTCTCAGCTTCACTGCAAGTTCTTCCCCTCTTTTCTGCACTCAGCAATGTTAACCTATGTCCCTCTCTGGATGCTTATTATCCTCTATCTTTTGGTGCCCTGTGTTTGTGCTTATCTTTTTCAGATTATGTTGTTAGCTTCTTGCGGGCTGAGCTCTCATCAGTCAGTGGTGCTCTGGTGCCTGGTGCCCCCAACCTGAAGGTTTAATAAATATTGTTAAGTAAATGAGTGAATGGTTGATGGATGATTGCCTCCTGACACTCCCACTGTGCCTCATTTCCTTACACACCCAGTTACAGCTTTGCACTATTCTCTTCTTTTTGCCCCTCCATGTGCATTCTTTACTCTCCTCTGAGCCCCAGCAAAAGGCTGATCTCTATGGACTCTGTGGGCAGGGGGGCAAACTTTTACTTCTATTCTCTTAGTGTATTTGTTTGTTTGTTTGGCTCGGCCTAAGAATTAAATTGACATAAGTCAGATCAATGGAGAAAAACATACAAGCTTATTTAATACAAGTTTTTTGTGGCACAGAGCCTTCATAAGGAAATAAAGACCCAAAGAAACAGTTAAAGTTGAAAACTTATATAGTGAATTGGACAAAGAGTAGTAACTTGTGAAAATGTGACAAGGCAAAGGGGGTTGGGCTAGAGAAGTTAATTGGGTGGAGAAGTGACTAGGAAGATAAGAGTTAATTTAACAGGGTTTGTTTGTACAGATTTCCCTCAGCCTCAACTTCTCATTCTTGATGACAAGAATTAAATTTTCCTTCCTGTATAGGGAGGGCATCTTTCACACGGGGATTTTATCTTCTGCATTTAAGGTCAGAGTGATCTTATGCACCTGCTGTATTTCAAATGCCTTTAACTCAAAATAGTCAATATCCCAGAGTAGCATATTTTAGGATGGTATGTTCTGAACTGTTTTAACTGCATAGGTGGGACAAGAGACAAGTCATGGTATTATTCCCCACCCACCCACCCCCGGGTCTGCTTACACTAACCCCTGGAACCCGTGAATATTATTTGTCAAAAAAAGGACTTTGCAGGCATGATTAAGTCAAGGATCTTGAGATAAGGAGGTTATCCTGGTTAGCAGCGTGGACTCTAAAAGCAAGCACATGTATTCTTGTAAGAGGGAAGGCAGAGAGAGATTTGCTGACAGACACAGAAGAGGAGGGTACAATGGAGGCAGAGATTGGAGTGATGCAGCCACAAGCCAAGGAATCCTGGCAACTACCACAAGCTGGAAGAGGCAAGGAATAGTCTTCCCTGGAACTTGCCAACACCTTAATTTTGGCCCAGTGAAACTTAATTCAGACTTCTGGATTCCAGAACTAATGAGAATAAATCTCTGTTGTTTTAACCAAGCATATTTGTGGCAATTTATTGCAGTGTTCATAGGAAACAAATATACTCTTCTTTTGCCCTTGCTCTTTCAGGGTCAGGAGTGTTCATGTTTTACTACAATTGCTAAAAGTTCGCGTCCCACTGACCTTTGTTTATACTTTCTTCAATTAATGTAGTACCACTTTCTTGCTGGGACTCTGCCAAGAGATGCAGTGAAGAAAATAAAGGCACAAACAACAAGAGGTCCCTGAAAATACCTTATTTCACCAATAGACCCATCCTTTAATTTTCATTCTTGCTGGGACTCTGCCAAGAGATGCAGTGAAGAAAATAAAGGCACAAACAACAAGAGGTCCCTGAAAATACCTTATTTCACCAATAGACCCATCCTTTAATTTTCATTCTTGGGCAGTGCTGGGGCCATCAGCTCCTCAGAACTGTTGTTCCAGATTTCCCTTGGCCCTGTATATTCTCCTCAGAACTACATTTCTCAGAGGCCACAATCAAGATGAATCCCCTCACCTCTATTCAGGGATGGGTTCATCCATGACCTGGAGGGGCCTATCTGAGGCAAAGGATGTGTTCAAGACAGGATCTAGATACAAGTCCCATCCCACTGTGAGGTCATTCATGTTGGTCCCCCATTCCCTCCCCTCACCACATTATCTTCACAGCAACAAATCCAGAGATAGATACATGTCTCTGACCTTTCTTTTGTATCAAACTATTTTTCCTGGGAACAACTCTCTACCATCAGTTGGACAGAAATAAAAATTTAATAATTATAGTTGACAGGAGGAAATGTTAATGGATTGATTTTTTTCTCAGCATTAACTTATTCTGCAATATTTCTTAAACCTTTAGCAACTGCCAACACTCTCTAGTACTGATAGACCACAGAATAAAAGAACAGGAAGCATAAGTAACAGTATGTCTTGTTCCAATCCAGCAAGTAGGCATGGTTTTAATTTTACACTGTGCTTTCATAGTAGAGCCAGAATTTCTATAGGGAAACAATTTGATTCCTAACATCTGTGTGTGAAGATTTCCAGTTGAAATAATGAGTTGTGCTTAATCAAGGACTCACATTGGGGTGCTGGGATGGCACCCCACAAAGGCACGATGGATGCCCCACAACCACCCCAAATTTGGTTTAGATGTCAAGACTGATGACTCCACACACACTAAAGGAGTAAGAAGGTTTATTATTCACACAATGAGACTCACAGGTAAAGTATGGCAGGCTCCCAAACTAGTCCGAAAATGTATTGAGAGAAAGCAGGGAGAGGTTTCTAGCTTGGAGTTTTATGGTGGTTAGGGGATGGGACTGGGATAAGGGTTTCCCATGCAAGGCAGGGCTTACATAGTTTGAACAACTCCCACCCCCACCTTGCTAGGACACCAAGGGAGAGAGCATCCAAACTTTCTTATCAGCTGTCCAGATGTGGTACAGAAAGGAAGAAGGGTTGGCTTGAAAGCTGTCGGCAGTCAACTATCATAAAAGGAAACAGACAATTACAGGTAGTTTCTGCATGATGGGCCAATAACTTGTAGAAAAGACGTGAAAGTGGATTTGTAGCAAGTGTGAAGGACAGAGGGCCAGTAGCTGAAGTAAAGCATGATTTTGAATATCCACATCCTGTTTGATATTTATACAATCCTCTTTCTCAGCTGCCTGAACTGCAGAAAGAAGGAACAGTAATAAAGACTAAGGAAAATTTCTTAATTAAAGAGCTGCTTCTTAAAAAAAATCTCTATTAGCCGTTTAAGGCAAAGGGAACATCCCTGCTTTGTAGCACAAGTAACAAAAGATCTCAAGAGATGATGACAGGCCTTTTCTGAGATAGGAGAGGCTGCAGGGAGAGGGGTCTTTTTTGTGCCTTCTTCTTGGAACGCTCTTTCTCCCAGATCTTTCTGTGGTTTCCTCTTCTCATCCTTCAGGACTGTGGGAGATTCTACTTTCCAAAAATGGCCACAGCAATATTTGCAGTCCCAAATGTTCTTCCAGAACCTTGCTAGTCTCTGGTAAGAAGTGAAGGCTATTCTCCCATTCCACCTCCCAACCTGGGTGGGATATTTTTACTGCATCCATGAATAGTATTTGACAGAAGTGCCAGTGAGTGACTTCCATGGCTAGGTTATAACAAGTGAGATGTCATCTGATACCTGACTCTCTCTCAGGATGCTCACCTTTGGAACCCAGCCACCATAACGTGAGAAAGCCCAGGCCATCTGGAGAGACAACCTGTGAATCTTTTGGCCTATGGCAAAACTAGGGACTCAGCAGATAGCCAGTGTCAACTGCCAGATATGTAATTGAGTGAGCCTATAGATGACTTCAACCCCAGCCTTCAAGTCTTCCAACTGAGCACCAGACAGACATCATGGGACAGAGACAAACTATGCCCTCTGTGCCCTGTCCAAATTCCTGACCCACAAATGCATGACCATAATAACTGATTGTTTTAAGCCACTATGTTTTGGGATAATTTGTTATACAGCTGTAGTAAGTGAAACTCAGTTAAGATGTCACCTCAGAGGCTTTCTTGACATTGCTCACCAAAATCACATGCACCAGTCATTCTCCATCACATTACCCTATTTCATTTTCTTTATATTTTTTACTGTGGTAAAATATACATAACATAAACTTTCCTATTTTAACCATTCTCAAGTGTACAATTCAGTGGCATTAAGTACATTCACAATGCTGAGCAATCACCACTGTTCATCATTCCAAACAGAAATTTTCTGTCTATTAAATAATAACTCCCCATTCCCCTCTCCTCCTAACTGCTGGAAACTGTAATCTACTTTATGTCTCTGTAAGTTTGCTTATTCTAGATACCTCACCTAAGTGGAATCATACCATATTTGCCCTTTTGTGTCTGGCTTATTTCACTTAGCATAATGTTTTCAAGGTTCATTCATGTTGTAACATGTATCAGAATTTCCTTCCTTTTTCAGCTTGAATAATATTCTATTGTATGTGTATACCACATTTTGTTACCCATTCAATTATTAATGGACAATTGGGTTGCTTCTACCTTTTGGCTATCATAAATAATGCTGTTATGAATACGGATGCACAAATATCTCTTCAAGATCTTGCTTTCAATTTTTTTCCTTCCTTCCTTCCTTCTTTCCTCTTTCTTCCTTCCTTCCCCTTCCTTCCTTCCTTTCTTTCTCTTTTTCTTTCTTTCTTCTTTCTTTCTTTTTCTCCTTCCTTCCTTCTTTCCTTCCTTCCTCTCCCTCCCTTCCTTCCTTCCTTCCTTCCTCTCTTTTCTTTCTTCCTCTCTTTTCTTTCTTTCCTCTTTGTTTGAGACAGGGTCTTGCTTTGTCACCCAGGCTGCAGTGCAGTGGTGCAACCATAGCTCACTGCAGCCTCAGTCTCCTGGGCTCAAGTGATCCTCCCGCCTCAGCCTCCTGAGTAGCTAAGACTACATTTGCTTTCAATTCTTTTGGGTATATACCAAGACATAGAGTTGCTGGATCATGTGGTAATCCTGTTTAACTTTTTTGAGGAACTACTGAATGGTTTTCCACATAATCTGCACCATTTTACATTCCTACCAACAAAGCATGGGTTGCAATTTGTCTGCATACTAGCTAACACTTGCTATTTTCCTTTGCTTTAATAGTAACCATCCTAATGGGTGTAAAGTGGTACCTTGTTGTGGTTTTTATTTGCATTTTCCTAATGGCTACTTATATTGAGCATTTTATTATGTGTTTATACAGTATATCTTCTTTGGAAAATTTTCTATTCAAATATTTTGCCCATTTTCGAATTGGGTTTTTGTTGTTGAGTTGTAGGTGTTCTTTATATATTCTGAATATTAATCCCTTATCAGATATATGATTTGCAAATATGTTCTCCCTTTCTGTGGGTTGCCTTTTCACCTTCTTAATAGTGTCCTTTGATGCACAAAAGTTAGAAACTTTGATGAAGTCCAATTTACCTATTTTTTGTTTCCTATGCTTTCAGTATCATATTCAAGAAATCACTGCCAAATCCAATGTCATGAAGATTTTCTTGTAGGGGTTATGTTTTCTTCTAATGGTTGTATATTTTTACATTTAGGTCTTTGATCCATTTTGAGTGAATTTTTTAGTGTGGTGTAGGTAAGGGTTCATCTTCATTCTTTTGCATATGAACATGCAGTTTTCCCAGAGCCATTTGTTGAATAGACTGTCCTCTGCCCAGTGAATGGTCTTGGTGCTTGCTCTTGTTGAATATCAATTGGCCATACCTGTGAGGGTTTATTTCTTTGCTGTCTAGTCTCTTCCATTGGTCTATATATCTGTTTTTATGTCAGTATCACATTCTTCTGATTACTGTAAATTTGTAGTAAGTTTTAAAATCAGAAAGTATTACAACTTTGTCTATTTATTTATTTATTTGCTATTTGGGGTCCTTTGAGATACCATGTGAATTTTAGGATGAGTTTTTCTTATTATCTAGAAAAAAAACACTATTAGGATTCTTACAGGGATTACATTGAATCTGTTGGTTGCTTCGGATGACGTTTTTCTGTTAGCAATATTAAGTCTTCCAATCCAATGCAATGTCTTACCATTCATTTATGTCTTAATTTCTTTTGGTAGTGTTTTGTAGTTTTTAGTGTACAAATCATTCACCTCCTTGGTTAAATTTATTTTTAAGTATTTTATTTTTATGCAATTGTTAAGTACAATTGTTTTCTTAATTTCCCTTCTGGATTGTTCCTTGTTAGTGTATAGCAATGCAACTAATTTTTGTGTATTGATTTTGTATTCTGCAACTTTGCTGAATTCCTTTATTAGCTCTAGGTTTTTTTGTGGAATCTTTAGAGTTTTCTGCACATAAAATCAAGCCATCTTCAAACAGAGATAATTTTACTTCTTCCTTTTCAATTTGTGTAACTTATCTTTCTTTTTCTTAATTAATTACTCTGGCTAGAACTTCCAATAATGTGTTGTAAATTCTGATGATTTTATGTTGCATGACCTCGGAACTCTTACCTGCTTGTTTTAAACCCATCAGTTAAAACTCCCTGAGAGAAATCTGTTTCAATAATGCTGTAGACCCAGTAAAGGTATTGGCCCAAGGGTCCCTCTTTCTCTCCCGCTACCTGCATTCCCTGACCTTCATATGCCTTCAGTCATATGGTATGGCCTTCAGTCATGCCATGTACCTGTCAGGACCTGCAAGAGATAAAATCTTTATTTCCATCTTGTGTCTCTCTTAATCATTGAAGGGGGTGCTCTCCAGCTTAACGATCCTAAATTAAAGAATATGCTAAATAGATAGTGGGCCCAAGTAAGCATCCTTATCTTATTCCTGTTCTTAAGGGAAAGGTTTTTGGTCTTTCACCATTGAGTATGACGTTAGCTGTGTGTTTTTTATGTATGGTTTTTATCATGTTAAGGGAGTTTTCATCGATTCCTAGTCTATGAGTATGTGTGTGTTTTTTTTGTTGTTGTTTTTTTTCTGAGACTGAGTCTCACTCTGTCACCCAGGTGGCACGATCTCAGCTCACTGCAACCTCCGCCTCCCAGGTTCAAGCAATTCTTGTGCGTCAGCCTCCTGAGTAGCTGGGACTACAGGCACACGCCACCACCCCCACCTAATTTTTGTATTTTTAGTAGAGAAGGGGTTTCATCATATTGGCCAGGCTAGTCTCGAACTCCTGACCTCAGGTGATCTGCCTGCCTTGGCCTCCCAAACTGCTGGGATTACAGGCATGAGCCACTGTGCCCGGCCTTATGAGTTTATTTTATTGTGAAAGTATATTGAATTTTTCAACTGCTTTTTCCTGTATTAAGGAAGGCGATCATGTAATTTTTTTCCTGCATTCTATTAATGTGGTGTATCGCATTAACTTTCAGTTGTTAAACCATTCATACATTCCAGGAATAAATTTCACTCATTCCTGGTGTATAATTCTTTTAATATGTTGCTGAATTTGGTTTGCTAAGTTAGTATTTTGTTGATCTTCATAATTTTTCTCAGTATTTGCATTATCTCACTTATATATGTATGTGTCACTTGAGAATGTAAGCTCCTTGGAGAAAAGGAACACTGCTTTGTTTATTACAACTAGGATCGTGACCAGCTCAGTACATTTTTCTTGACTGCCAAGAAATGGCAATTTGGCAATGAAACATCTGAAAAAGGAGGACATGAAAAAGGCATTTGTGGGTACCTTTGGAGGCACAAATAAAATTCTCCCTAAGGAATCTCAGAGGTAGGAGGAATTTGAGAAGATCATAGTTTTCACAAAGTAGGTAGAGACAGGACTATATAAACATTCTGTGTTAACCTTCAGGTTTTTGTGGCCTGATAAAATATATTATACAAGTGTATGTCAATACTCATAGTCAACTATTGTGGTAGGAAGAATTGTCAGATGATTCCCATGGACCCTTCCGTTTCTAGTATTACTTACATAATTATGCTAGGTTACATGGCAAAATAAATTTTGTAGATGTAATTAAGATTACTCATCAGTTGACTTTAAAATAGATTATCCTGCTGGGCCTAACCTGGTCAAATGAGCCTTTTAAAAGCAGAGAGCTTTCTCCAGCTGGTAGCATGAGAAGGATCTGACTGTGGTTCATAGTTTTGAAGATGAGGAGGACTCCGTGGAAAGGACCTGAAAGGGGCCTTTAGAGCTGAGACCAACCTCTAGTCAATAGCCAGCAAGAAAATGGGGATCTCAGTCCTTCAATTACAAGGAAGTGTATCCTGTCAATGATCTGAATAAGCTTGGAAGCAGATTCTTCTACAGATCCTTTAGATGAGAATGCAGCTTGATCAACACCTTGATTTAAGCCTTGTAAGACCCTACAAAGAGAAACCAATTGAACCTACCCAGACTTCTGACCTACAGAACTGTGAACTGTAAATTTGTGTTGTTTTAAGCCACAAAGTTTGTAGGAATTTGTTATGCAGCAATAGAAAGCTATTACAGCTGTCATCTGAACTGTCTTGACTTACATTATTTCTAGCTTTGGTGTCTTTGCAACTAAATCAGCTTCTTTAACCTCTTAAAAAATATGAAGCAATCTTCAAGGCTGAGAGAAATCAGAATCAGAGGCTGTGTCTTGCAGTGGCCTTGGGCTTCTACTTATCCTGGACATTTTGAACAAGGAGATCAAAAGAGTAATTTTTATTCTCTGTAGGAATAATTATCTGCTGGTATCAATGTCCATTTTATTCCTAGGTAGTTAGGTCAAATCCACTTACACAACATCATCTTCTATCACTCTATGCCATGTATCCCACACAACAGCAATTATAAGACTACAAACTCTTTGGGAATTCACCATAAACCTTCAAACCTTTTATCATGTTGATTTATATTCCCAGAATGCACTTCCTTCCTTTCTTTGCTTGAATAGTTTCATCAGGGCCCATATTAAAATGTTACCTTTACTGGGAAGTTTACCATGGAGTAAAATGGCTTGCTGTTTCTTAGCCAAGTACATCACTTTGTTTACATCTTTAGTACAGGTGACATTTCATTATATAATTTTAATTGTTCCATCTATATGCATGAATAGATTGTGAAGTCTTGAGAACTAATTATATTATATTTGTATCTGTAATTTATAAGAAATATGAGTGCTCAATAAACATTTGTTAAATAAATAAGAAAAACTACAGGAAAAGGAAATACTGGATTTGTTCTCTGAGGAGGAAGTGATAAATTCCACTGTAGGAGTACTTAATTGGACATGCCAGTGGAGCATTGGACATGCTTTTTTTAATTGGACATGCCATCTGAGTAGAAATGTCCAGTAGGCAGCTAGGAGTACAGGATGGCAGCTCACAAATGAGGCAGTACAGATCATACTGTCCTTTAAAGTAATCTCTTCTAGGCATCATGACTTTGTTTATACTGCTTTCAGTAATTTTATTCTTCCATGTCAGATCTTTCTGCAAACCAAGTAACTTGAAATATCCCAATATTAGCAAATTAAAATGAAAATTATAGAGCTTTATAATTAAGAATTTGGGGGCCATTTCTTTTCTGTTTTAGATGCTTCTAAATATCACCTTTTAAATATAATGTTAGTTATTTTTAGTACTTATTCAATTCCTCAAATTTTGTATTTCTAGCAGCCAAAATTATAAATTTTAGCATTCTATGTGTGATGGGATTTCTTTGGCCAATTTTGAGTTTTTTTACAAAGTTATTTTTCATTTTGCCAATCTCTAAAAGCTTCACTATTATTTTATCAATGTCTTAAATGGCACATTCGCTTTAATTTTTTATTTCTCAAAATTCATAGCCAAAACTTCGTTATTTCATATTGAAGAAGTCACTGTAGTAACTAGTATTTTAGAGTGTAGTATGCAGATCAGCAGCATCACCAAGAGCCTATTAGAAATGCTGAATCCTAGACCTCTTTCCAGACCTCCTAAACAAGACCCTGAATGATTCATAAGTACTTTAAATTTTGAGAAGCAACGCCCTAGAATGTTTCTTGGCAAATTTATGGTCCATGTCTACCAGATTTGTACAGTAGCCCCTGCACTATCTGTAGTTTCCCTTTCCAAGGTTTCAGTTACCTGATGTCAACTACTGTTCGAAAATATTAAAAGGAAAATTCCAGAAATAAACAATTTGTAAATTTAAAATTGTGCTTCATTATGAGTAGCATGACAAAATCTCATGCCATCCGGTTTCATCCCCCCGGGACATGAATGTATTTGTCCAGCACATCCACGACATTGTCTGCTCCTGACATCCAACCATGGACATTGCCATGGCTTCATGATCCAGGATCACCTGAAGCAGATGAAACTCCTTCTGAGGTATTGTCAAAAGGTCAAGAGTAGCCTAGCACTGTGTCACAATACCTACATCATTCACCTCAGTTCATCTCATCACATAGGTATCTTATCATCTCGCATCATCACAAGAAGTATGAGCACAATACAGTAAGATATTTTGAGAGACCACACATAACTTTTACTACAGTATACTATTATAGTTGTTTTATTATTGTTGTTAATCTCTTTCTGTGCCTAGTTTATAACAATTAGACTTTATCATAGGTATGTATGTGTAGGGAAAAGCAGTACAGTATGTATAGGGTTCAGTATAATCCACAGTTTTAGACATCCACTGAGGGTCTTGGAATGTATCCTCTGTGAATAAGAAGGGACAACTGTAATACTAATCTTGTATGAAAATTTTTTTGTTACTGAGTGCAATTTTACTTTTTGCATTATTTATTAGGAGATGAAACTGACTTCTTATCCTTAACTTTCTCCAAGTTGAACATTTCTTTATATGCTAAAAAAAAACTGGGCAGCTGAAATTTTAAAGAAATGTTTAAAACTATCAAAACTCATGTATCCAATATTTTCACTCTTATCATTGCCTATTTTCTCCTTTTGCCCATACTTTCCAGTTAAAGAAACACGTTTTTGGTAAATCGATAAAGTGGATGAACTGATTTTTAGCTAATTGTTCATTCATTGATTTTTGTCTAATTGATTTATGGATTTTACTGATTCCACAAAAGTGAAGCTCTATTGAGAGGTAGTGTAAAGTTGCTCAAGCACCCAAGAGAGTCAGTTTTGGAGAGTCTAACAATATTCATTTTATAATTCTGTAGCTCTCTGATGTACAGAGAAGTTAAAAACCTAAAGTTTCACTTATGGTAAGCGGTAGTCCTGAGATTTGAGCCTGGATGTAAACAGCAATGGTACTCTGTTCATTTCATCATGATCACTACATTACAGACACTCATTAAATAAGCAGTGATCATTTGCTTTTTTAAATTAATTGAGGGTACACTGGCAATCCTCTGGTATACTGACACAATGAAGAAATTTTACCTTGATCATGATAATGTGATCTGTTTAGATTTGTAAAGGTGTTGACAAGGAACTTCACCAAAGTTATGATTTTCTTAAGAAAACGACACATTGGGTTTGGGGGGAGCTTTGTAACAAGGGAAGTTCAGTGAGGATAGAACACTGGGTGTATAAAAGAGAAGGTGCAGGCCGGGCACGGTGGCTCACTCCTGTAATCCCAGCACTTTGCGAGGCCGAGGCGGGCGGATCACGAGGTCAGGAGATCCAGACCATCCTGGCTAACACGGTGAAACCCCGTCTCTAATAAAAAATACAGAAAAATTAGCCGGGCGTGGTGGTGGGTGCCTGTAGTCCCAGCTACTCGGGTGGCTGAGGCAGAAGAACGGCATGAACCCGGGAGGCGGAGCTTGCAGTGAGCCGAGATCGCGCCACTGCACTCCAGCCTGGGCGACAGAGCAAGACTCTGTCTCAAAAAAATAAATAAATAAAATAAATAAAATGAAAAAGAGAAGGTGCAAACTATCATGAAATTTAAAAGAGGCACTTGGCTATGTGTCCTTGTTACTAAAAGAAACCCAGTTGGCTGACCACTCAGGATATAGCATTACCTTTGGTGATTTACTGATAGGCATTGTGATGAGGTGGAAAAGCATGAACTCTGAAGCAAGTCAGAACAGAATGTGGTTTTTCTGTTTGTTTTTCTTTTCAGACAGGATCTTGCTCTGGAGCTGGAGTGAATGACACAATCTCAGCTGACTGCAACCTCCACCTCCCAGGTTCAAGCAATCTGCCCGCCTCAGCCTCCCGAGTATCTGGGACTACAGCCCTATCACCACGCCTGGCTAATTATTTGTAATTTTTCTAGAAACAGGGTTTCATTATGTTGCCCAGGCTGGTCTCAAACTCCTGGGCCCAAGCAATCCATCTGCCTTGGCCTCCCAAAGTGCTGGGATTACAGACAAGAGCCACTGTATCTGGCCAGAACAGAATCTGAATGCTGACTCTACCACTTTCTATATGATTGACCTTAGGAAAGTTACTTACCATTTTAATTTCAACTTTGTCACTTATAAGAATAGGTATGGTGACACAAATCTCCTAGGATTCTTATTTTAAAAATGAGATAAAGCATGTTAAGCTTACTGACATGTTGTTATTTAATAAATGGTAATTGTTATTGCTATAGTCATAATCCAGGGCCTTGAAACTAGATGTTGTCAGAAAATAATTGATAGGCTGATTCACATTAACCAAACTCACTTGAAACTGATGTATAAAACAATGCTAATTTATTAATTAACAATGAGAACTGCAACTATTATGAAGACTGAAATACTTAGTGAACACAAACATTGCATTCTCTTTTCGTAGTCATACCTATAGGGTAAACCAACTTGTTATCAGAAAAGAAGGGTGTATAGGAGAAAATCAGCCTAAAAAATGTGAAATTAGTGCAAGGGAAGTTAGATGTGTGATTCAAATTATTTTGATCATGCTAAAATAACCTGATAGAGATCACACCAACATTGTCATATGTGCCTCTAATTCTTTAAGCCTCCTAATTAATCTAGGCACTGTTCCTTCATGGGCCCCGTGCCCTTCTATTTTCTCAGCCTCTTCTTGGTTTCATTTCCTATTCTCTACAGCCTGGATTCTGTATATTACCTAGGGACTTGGGCCGTGATTACTTTCTCCTAAAACAATAGGATAATTATGATGAAAACTGAAGTCGTTTCCCCCAATAATGTATTTGCCGTACTTACCTTTCAACCAGTTATGCAATTTTAAATAATAATGGGGGTCAGCCAAACATGGTGACTCATGCCTGTAATCCCAGTATTTTGGGAGGCCAAGGCGGGAGGATTACCTGAAGCCAGGAGTTCCAGACCAGCCTGGGAAACAAAGTGAGACCCTGTCTCTACAAAAAATAAAAAAAATTAGCCAGGCATGGTGGCACACACCTGTAGTCTCTGCTAGTCAGGAGGCTGAGGTGGAAGGATTGCTTGAGCCCAGGAGTTCGAGGCTGCACTCCAGCCTGGGCAACAGAGCCAGACCCTGTTGAAAGCAAGAAAGCAAGTAAGCTAGCAAGAAAGCAAGTACACTAGGAAGCAAGCAAGAAAGAAAGCAAGCAAGAAAGAGAGAGAAAGAAAGAAAGAGAGAGAGAAACAGAGAGAGAGAAAGAAGGACGGAAGGAAGGAAGGAAGGAGGGAGGGAGGGAGGGAAGGAAGGAAGGAAGAAGGAAGGAAGGAAAGGAAGAAAGAAAGAAAGAGAAAGAAAGAGAAAGAAAGAAAGAAAGAAAGAAAGAAAGAAAGAAAGAAAGAAAGAAAGAAAGAAAGAAAGAAAGAAAAAGAAAAAAAGAAAGAAAAAAAAAAAGAAAAGAGCCCATCATTATGAGGTAGTGGGTCCAGGGGCTTGGCCCTCTTCCACTGCCTTTCTTCTGCCTCTTTACTGTAACATTTCAGAGCCCAGACTCTGTGCTCACTATTTTTGATTCAAAATGTTCCCAAATTATCAAAGCCACTTTCTCATTTGCATTTGTCACAATGATGGAATTCACAAGAAAATACATTACAGACTCTGAAAACAATTCTCCAAATAATTTTGGCACCTCTTCTGGAACATTTCCTTCACCTTCGGGTTCTTCTTCTCTTGCATCTCTCTTATGTAAGCAGTGGCTGCTTTGTATTCCACACCTGACTTAACTGGGCCTGGAGGGTGAGGTAGGTGCCCTTTTTGCTCCTCATTGCCACATTCAGGCCATTGTTTCTCTCCCTAGAGCCCCCTAGCTCCTCTAAGACACCTGCTATCAAACTAAACCACTTACTACCCCTTGCTGAAGTAATCTACTAATTCCCGGTCACTTCTTCATTTGTGGGAGATGATAGCACCTTCCTCACACTTCCCATGACTGCTCAGACCATTATACTTGGTGATTTCGATATGTATGTAATCAATCCATTCAATATCTCAGGCTCTCAGGCCTTTGCCTTCCTCTCTTCCAATGATCTTGTTTTCCCTTCCACCTCAGACATCCACACCAATAGTCAACAACCTAGACCTTGTGGCATTACCAATAAGCACACTCCTCAAAACCTCAGTTTCAAGCATTCCACTTCCAAACTACCAGGCCCTATCTTTTCAACTTACTCTCCTCCCTTTAATACTTCAACTATAATTTTTTCAGCCCCAACAAAACCTAAAATAATAAAATTATGGATTTATTTTTGCTTTTCTAACTCCCTTCCCACCTCCCTCCACCCCCACTTTAGCTCTTACTTTCACTTCTTCTCACTTTGAATTCCACAGGACATCACTATAATTTATTTCTCATAAGCACCCTTGCTGTCTTACCCCTCTCTCTTGGGTCACACTCTTCTGGAAAAATTCTAGCTAAATCCAATTTTCAGCTTACTCCACTCCTGCTCTCATGTACCTGAACATAGCTAAAGAAAACTCAGTGATGATGATTTGTCTCATTTTGAACTCACGACCCAATTATCTGAAAGGAGATACCCTTTGAGATAATTTGGTACTACCCTCCAATCCTACATTTCTTTAGTCAATTCACTTTCTCATTCTACAGGAGGTGACCTGATCTCCTCTTCTTAAACTTCTAACATCCCTTTATACCTACTTCTCATTCTCAGGTTATGATCTAATTTCTATGAAAAAAATAGAAGCAATCAGGACAGAACTTCCACATCCATCCTCCACCAACCCATTGCAACCATAGCCAAATACTCTTTGTTCCCTCCTATTTTAACCACCATATTATTTATGCTCCTATTTTCAGGCCAACCCTTCTGCTTGTGGCCTGAAGCTCATCTTATCTTGCTTCCTCAGAAACTCCAACCTATTTATCCCTTCTCCTTTCTGAATTGTCAGTTTTTTTCTCTCTATTCATTCAATCCCAATAGGATTCAAACATACTATAACATTGAATATTTAAAAAATCCTCAACTCCATGTCCTCTTCTAGCAACTACCCCAATTTTCTTTTCCCATTATGGAAAACTCAAGTATTCAAATTTGTGTTCTCCAGTGTCTTATTTCCTATTCTCATATTAAGCCCTCCCATCAGGTTTTAGTTCCACCACTCTACCAAAACTGCTCCTAAGATCACCACTGACCTTCTCACTGCCAAATCCAATGTCAATTCTCTCTTCATCTTATTAAACCTCTCAGAAGTGTTTTACCTGAATCACTTTTTTCATTCAGCTTCTGGGGTACCACACTCTGCTGATTATCTTACTACCTCACATGCTGCCTACCTCACACATGGATCTTCATCTTTCTGATTTCTTTTTTTTAAGACCTCTTCCTCATACCCCAGACTTGCATATCCAACAGTCTTGATATCTCAGCTTGAAGGTCTAATAGGCATCTAAAACACTTTGCTTAGATAGCTAAATCACAATGAAAACGTTGGCAAAGATCTGGAGCAATGGAAACTCTCAAACATGGGTGGTGGGAGTGTAAATTGGTGCAATTCTTTGGCAAAACATTTGTCAATGTCAACTAAAGCTGAACATATGTATACCCCTGTGACAAAATAATTTTACTCCTAGGTTTATACCCAACAGAAATGAGTACACATTACATCAAAAGACATGTATAAGAATGTTCTCAATGGCATTATTCATAATTGCCTCCACCTGGAAACAATCCAAATGCCTGTCTGCAGCAAAGTGGGTAAATAGTGAAACATTCATATAATGGAATATTACAACACCCACAAAAATAAATGAACCACAGCTATTTGCAATAACATGAATAAATCTCACAAACAGTAGGTAAAAAATGCTAGACACAAATGTATAGGGTATGATTGCTGTGGTTTGAATGTCTCCTCCAAAACTCATGTTAAAATTTAATTGCCATTGTGACGGTAATAAGAGATGGGACCTTTACCAGGGTGATTAGGTTATTAGGGATCTGCCCTCATGAATGGATTAATGCCATTATTGAGAAAGTGGGTTAGTTAGCATTGGAGTTCTACCCACTTTTTCTGTCTCAAGTGCTCTTGCCCTCCCTTGCCACATGATGCCTTCTGCCATGGGATGATGCAATATGAAGGCCCTCACCATTTGTTGGTGCCATGCATTTTGACTTCTCAGCCTCCAGGACCATGAGCCAAATAAACTTCTATTCTTTATAAATTATGTAGTCTGTGGTATTCTGTTATAGCAAAAAAAAAAAGACTAAAACAGAAAATTGGTAAAGGCTATTTTAATGAGGTCCTAGATGGAAATGAGGAGCAAGGTATTGGAAACTAGAGTAAAGGCCATCCTTGTATACAGTTGCAAAGAACTTGGGGGATTGTGTCTGCGTTCTAGGGCCTTATAAAGTGCAGAACTTAACAGTGACGAACTGGGATATCTGGTGGAAGAAATATCTATGCAGCAAAGCATTCAGACTGCTGTGTGGCTGTTTTTAACTGCATACAATGAGATGTGAGAGGAAAGAAATAAAGATGGAATTTATAATTAAAAGAGAATCAGGGTAGAAATATTTGGAAAATGTATAGCCTGGCCATATAAATAATAGAAAAGTATGTTCAGGAGAGAAAACTAAGTGTGTGGCTAAGTGACTTTTTACTAAGGAGATAAACATGGACAAAAGGAAGGTGCTATTCATTAAGACAATGGGAGACAGACCATAAAGCATTTCAAAGATCTTCAAGTCTGCCCCTACAATCACAGGCCCAGAACTCTAAAAGGGTAAAATGATTTAGGGGAAAGGCCCAAGGCACCCTCCATGGACTCAGCTCAGAGCTGCCTCAGGTCTGCTCCTGGGGTTCCAGAGCAGCACTCTGTGGCCACCCTAGCCATGGCTCATTAGGCCCAGGTATGGCTTGATCCAGAAAATGCAAGCTGTAGAGCTTGGCAGTGTCCATGTGGTGCTGATGCAGCAGGCATGCACAATGCAATAGCTGTGAAGACCTGGCTTCCTCCACCTAGATTTCAAAGGATGTTGCTGACAGTCTGGGGGCCCAGGCAGAGAATTGTGCAGGGACACAGCCACTGCAGAGAGCCCCTACGACAATGACAAGTGGAAATGCGGGGTCAGAGCTGACACAGAGTCTCCACTAGGGCTGCCTAGTAGAGCATGGAAGTAGGGCCACTCTTAGGACTCCAGAATTGTGGGGGTAACAGCATGCAACACCAGCCTGGGAGAACTACAGATACGAGACTCCAACCCATGACAGCTACTGCATGGACTGAACCATTGGAGCAGGGCTGCCTGAGGCCTTGGCTGCCCAACCCCAACCCCTAGATGTAGGACAAAGAGTCAAAGGAGATTATTCTCCCACTTTAGGACTTAATGTTGGCCAGGCACAGTGGCTCATGCCTGTAATCCCAGCATTTTGGGAGGCTGAAGCGGGTGGATCATTTGAGGTCAGGAGTTCAAGACCAGCCTGGCCAACCTGGTGAAACCCTGTCTCTACTAAAAATACAAAAATTAGCTGGGCGCGGTGGCAAGTGCCTGTAATCCCAGCTACTCAGAAGGCTGAGGCAGGAGATTGTGCCACTGCAATCAAAAAAAAAAAAAAAAAAAGTCTTAATGTTTTCCCTGTTGGGTTTTGGAAAATAGGTAACTTGTTTGATTTCACAGGCTCATGAATGGAGAGAATTTGCCTCAGGATAAATCATACCTTGACTACAACCCACATCTGATTCAGATGAGACTCTGGACTTTGGAGTTGGTGCTGGAATGAATTAAGAATTTTGGGGCTACTCGGATGGAATGAATGTATTTTCTATGTGAGAAGAACATGAGTTTTGAGGGTCAGGGGCAAAATTCTATGGTTTGAATGTCTCCTCCAAAATTCATGTTGAAATTTAATTGCCATTGTGATGGTTTTAAGAGGCGGGACCTTTAAAAGGTGATTAGGTCGGCCGGGCACAGTGACTCATGCCTGTAATCCTGGCACTTTGGGAGGCCGAGGCAGGCAGATCACCTGAGGTCAGGAGTTCAAGACCAGCCTGGCCAACATGGTGAAACCCCGTCTCTACTATAAATACAAAAATTAGCTGGGCATGGTGGCAGGCGCCCGTAATCCCAGCTACTCGGGAGGCTGAGGCAGGAGAATCGTTTGAACCCAGGAAGCAGAGGCTGCAGTGAGCCAAGATCATGCCATTGCACTCCAGCCTGGGTGACAAGAGTGAAACTCTGTCTCAAAAAAACAAACAAAAAAACAAATAAAAGCTGATTAAGTCATAAGGGCTTTGCCCTCATAAAGGGATTAATACCATTATCACAGGAGTGACTTAGTTATCATGGGTGTCTGGCCCTTTTTTCTGTCTCACACACTTTCACCCTTTCTCACCATGTGATGCCTTCTGCCATCAGATGATGTAGCACAAAGGCCCTCACCATATCTAATTGTTGGAATTAATACTCAGGATAATAGTCACCTTTGGGGAAGAAGAAAAAGGCTGTGATTTGAGGGGTGAAATAGCATTACTGGAATGCCAGTAGTGCTCCATTTCTTGACCTAGATGATAAGTTTACAGATATATTCACTTTGCACATTTATATTTTGTGTTCTTTTGTTTTTTATTAAGTTAAAAAGTTCCCAAACTGAATTCTGATTCCTCATCCCCTCTGTGAACCTACTGCATACTTGGTATTCTCTATCTCAGTACATGGTAAATCCTTTCAAGTTGCTAAGGCTGAAGTCCTTAAAGCCACCCTAACTTCTCTCTCACTTTTATAGCTAACCCATAGGCAAACCTTACCTGCTGTACATTCAAAATACAGCCTCAGTCCAACTACTTCCCATCGTTTTGTCAACAATATCTTTGTTTAAGCCACCATTCGATCTTACCTGGACTACTAGCATTCCAACTAAATTCCTGCCTGTACTCTTAACGCTTTATAATTTATTCCCTACATTACAGCAAGTGACCCTTTTTAAACAATTCAAATCTGTGCCCGACACTCTCCAATGACTTGCCATCTCATTCTGAATAGAATGCTAAATCCTTACCATAGCCAAGAAAGTCCTGAGGAACTACACCCCCAGCTCTCTCTCTGACCTCATCTCCTACCCTCACTTATTACAATCCAGCCAGTGTTTCTGAAACTGCCAAATGCTCCTATCTCAGGATACTTGTGGCTCCTAGTACCTCTGCCTGGAATGTTATCCTCTCAGATATCTACCTAGTTCATTCCTTCACCACCTCCAAGTGTGTGCTCCAATGACAAGTCATTAGAAATGCATTTCCTTTTTTTTTTTCCCCCATATCAAGCATGTGAACCCAAGAAAGGCATTTCCTAACCATTCTGTCTACAATAGCACCACCACAACCCATGATGGAAGTCTTGCCCAAGCCCTTCACCCTGCTTTATTATCTATGTTTACCACCCTTGGCATTTTACAACTTTCTTTATAATAGGATGTGAGCTCTGCAACAGAATATTTGGCTTTGTCTATTTCTGAACCCCTGCAAATATAATTAATTCAGCCACCTCATAAGCATTGGCTGTGGTTGAATGATTTTTAATGAAGACTTAAATGTTTAAGGATGAATGACTAAGTTACGTGACATTTTCTCTCTTTTCTGCTTCCCTCACAGTCATTTAGCAAAAACTACTCAAGTGGTTTAATATCTATAATCTGGCAGACATGGAAAGTGCCAATCTAGGACCTAGAGGAAAATGCTTAGTCTCTATATGCCCAATCTTGGACATTGAAACATCCAAATAAATTACACATGAAGGTATTAGAACTTTTTGTTAATAGTAGACAATTCCTTGCCTCATAAACAACTGGCTGGCTTTACTGATAACTTCCGAGGTCTTTTTATTTCTGGTCAGTTTGTTAGCAAATGTTAAACCTGTAAGGGAATCCCTCTGTTATTTTTCTGGATTCATTACAACTTCAAGGAAAAACTTATAACTTCTGCCAATTCTCCCTTCGATTTTAATTTGGGGCCAAGGGTGGTGACTACACCTGTAATCCCAACACTTTGGGAGGTCAAGGCAGGAGGACTGCCTGAGGCCAGGAGTTGGAGACCAGCCTGGGCAACATAGCCAGACCCCATCTCTACAGAAATTTAAAACAATTAGCCAGGCATGGTGGCATGCACCTATAGTTCCAGCTACTTGGGAGGCTGAGGCAGGAGCATCCTTTAAGCCCAGTTTGAGGCTGCAGTAAGTTATAATCATGCTACTGCACTCCAGCCTGGGTGACAGAGCAAGACCCTGTCTCTTAAATTAAAGAAAAAAAAAAGATTTTAACTTTGCTCTACTCTCTCAGTATGGTAAATATTAAGAAACTAATGTTGGTATTATACTAGATGTTTATGGCATATATGACTTGTATATTACAATCAAGAAAAAAAAGACCAAGAAATGGTTTAAAATAACTTCCTCCCTCTGCTCTTAAAATAGAGGTAAGGAGAAAAAATGGTAAATATGTGACTTAGTTCACCAAAGTGTAGTTAGATAGATATGTCTGAGCAAAAGGAGCAATTGTAAATCCACCTGCTTTGGGAAACAGGAATGTGGTCTGGAATAGCTAGTAGAGATGTTTTTGAGAAACACAAAAAGGAGATACAAAAACCAGGATCATGTGAACTTCTGTAATCTCACTGACTGTCAAAACAAATACAAGCCAATTTTTCTTTCCAGTGTACACATTAGGAATTTAAGAAAAAACACTTATGCCTGGGTCCTATCTCCTAAGGCAATTAGTCTCTGGAGTTGTAGGGCCTTGGCAAGATAATTTTATAGGGTTCTCCAGGTGTTATGGACTTAATATGTTCTCTCCAAATTTCTATGTTGAAAGCCTAATCTGCAATGTGATGGTATTAGGAGGGGGGCCTTTGGGAGGTGATTAGGTCATAAGGGTAGAGCCCTCACCAATGGGATTAGTAGTCTTATAAAGAGATATGAGAGGTTGCTCTGTCTCTGCTTAGCACCATGTAGGAACACAAGAAGAAGAGAGGTGTCTGCAAACGGAAATGGGCCTTCATCTGACACTGGATCTGCTAGTACCTTGATCTTGGACTTCCCAGCCTCTTCCAGCTTTAAACAAATTTCTATTGTTTAAGATACCTAGTCTATTGTAATTTAACATAACAGCACAAATTAAGACACCAGGTGACTCCAATATGCAACCAGGGTAAAATAACACCAGTTTAAGTTGTAGAAGTGGAATTCTATAGTTGTGGTAAACTCCTAGAATATTAAAAACAGACTAGAAGAAGAATAATAGTAAGTTTTAATATTCTTACTGAGTTAGGCTATTATATGCAATTGAATTGTTAATTTGAGGGTATTTTATAATTCTTTTTATTAGGAACCAGTTACCTAAACAATGTAAATGCATTAGACCAGGAGCATACTAGATCCCCGATCTAGTTACTGAAGCACAAATTCTATTGGCAAAACATGCATAAACATACACATTCTAGATGCAACACAGCAAAATGCTGATGTATAGTAAACCCATTCAAGAAAATATTGTAAATATACAAAACTGATTATAAAACTCCAAACTACCTTTGAAATAATCTACTCCAAATCCTTCATTCCATAAAGGAAACTAAAGCTTAAAACAGTAGAGTTTTCTAATGTCACAGAGTGGCTTAATAACAATTGGATTAGTTCAGCCCAATGTACTTTCCATTCCATAACATGATAGTGAAAATTTAAAAGATTTCAAGGCAGTTTCTAAATCCACTCTGATTCTTCAGTACTTAACAAAAGGACAAACTAAAGTAAATATCTCCCCTAAATTTATGATGTTCCTAGAATTGTCATATGCCAGGATGCAGTCTCTGATGTTTGTTGAGAGCAGAGCGATATCTGAAGGATTTTCCACAATCATTACATCCAAAAGGCTTCTCTCCTGAATGAATTCTCTGGTGCTGAATGAGATATGTGCTCTGGCTAAAAGTCTTTCTGCATTCATTACAGTTATAAGGTTTCTCTCCAGTATGAGTATTCTGATGTTCAGTCAGATGAGTGCTCCGGCTAAAGGCTTTGTCACATTCATTGCACTTATAGGGCTTCTCCCCAGTGTGAATTCGTTGATGCTGAGTTAGATGGGAGCTCTGGCTAAAGGTCTTTTCACATTTATTACACTGGTAGGGTTTTTCTTCTGTGTGAGTTTTTTGATGTTGAGCAAGAGATGAACAATGTCGAAAGGCTTTACCACACTCAGCACACTCATAAGGCTTGGCTCCTGTATGAATTCTCTTATGCTGTGTAAGGTGTATGTTCTGGTTGAATGCTCTCCCACACTCATTACACTTGTAAGGTCGTTCTCCAGTATGGATCTTCCTATGCTGAATAAGGGATGAACCATAACTGAAGGTTTTCCCACATTCATGACACTGATAGGGTTTCTCTCCAGTATGAATTCTTTCATGCTTAGCAAGAGATGAACTCCGAATAAAAGCTTTCCCACATTCTTTACATTCATAAGCTTTCTCTTGAGTATGAGTTTTCTGATGCTGATTAAGGTTTGAGAGATAACTGAAAGCCTTTCCACATTCACTGCATTCAAAGGGCTTTTCTCTCGTGTGAATTCTCCGATGTTGAGTAAGGGATGAGCAGTAACTGAAGGCCTTTCCACATTCATTGCATTTGTAAGGTTTTTCTCCAGTATGAATTTTCAGGTGTTGAGCAAGGGATGACCAGTAACTAAAAGATTTTCCACATTCTGCACAATCATAGGGTTTCTCCCCAGTATGAGTTTTTTGATGCTGAGTGAGGTTTGAGTGCTGGCTGAAGGCTTTCCCACATTCATTGCATTCGTACGGTTTTTCACCAGTATGAATCATATGATGACGGATAAAAGTTGAGGGCCCGTTGAAGGCCTTTCCACATTCATTACATTTATAGGTTTTTTCTCCAGTATGAATTTTTTGATGTTGAGTAAGGTGTGTGCTCCTGGTGAAGGTTTTATCACATTCATCACATTTAAAAGGTTTTTCTCCCGTATGAATTTTCTGATGTTCCATAAAGTGGCCTCTCTGGCTAAAGGCTTTTCCACACTCATTACAAGTGTATGGCTTCTCGCCAGTATGAATTCTCTGATGCTGAACAAGATGGGTCCTCTGACTAAAGGCTTTCCCACATTCATCACATTTATATGGTTTTTCTCCAGTATGAATTCTTTGATGTTGAGTAAGAGATGGACCCTCAATGAAGCCTTTTCCACACTGATCACATTTATATGGTTTATCTCCAGTATGAATTCTTTGATGGTTTATAAGGTTTTCACTCCGGCTGAAGGCTTTTTCACATTCATTACATTTGTAGGGTTTTTCTCCAGTATGTGTTCTCTGATGGCGAATAAGAGCTGAACAATAACTAAAGGCTTTCCCACATTCATTGCACTTACAAGATTTCTCTTTTTTAACTGGGTTTGAATTCTGTTTGATGCTTCTTTTAGTAGAGGTCTCTTCTGGAGATGGTTCTTGTGTTACAAGGTTTGAACTCACATTGACACTTTTCCCAAATTCATTATTTACAGGGCCTTTTTCCCAACTGGGTATTGTCTTTTCGGTTACCTTTATTTCCTTTGGCAGTGTCTGTTGGTTTGCCTGCTGTCTCTCTAAACTGCCTTCATATTCCCAACTTTCTAGCAAGTTGGAACTCCAAGAATCATCTCTTTTGTGTTTTTCCACTATTACCTCTGGAGATAGCTCTTCTTCAGAAATGTCAGGCTCTGGGGCTGACACACTATTTTCAAGTCTTGTCTCCCAGTCTAAAAGAAAAAGAAAATTCCAGTGTTCTCTGAATAGAGAAAAAATAAACTGCTATTGTGGGAATAATATAATGATACTGAAAAATAAATCTCTCAGAAAATTCTAATGGTTTTCAAATATATAGCCATATTATTTGGGGAGAAAGTTGGAAGGAGCTAAGGAGAATTATAAATAAAATACGAAAGTGGCAAAAGAATGTCTAATTCAATTTCATAGATAATCTTCAAGAACCAGTAAGGAAATACATTTAAGGTAATAGTTGACTAAAAAGGTGACAACAGAGATGGCTAAGAGTAGACAGAGATGAACTGAATCTGAAGGGGGCAGTTTGAATTGGGATTCCTTGCTAATAAACAACAAAACAAAAAATCCAAGAACCATGATTTAAAGACAGAACAAACAGGAAAGATTTATTAGCTAAGACCCCATGTGTTTCAGCCTGGAACACTGAAGAAATAATCACATCATTGCTAGATATGGGAAGAGTTGTAAATAGTAGAGAAATAATTTAGCAGGGAGAAACTAACAAGTTCAAGTCTAGGCATTTTGAGAATTAAGAAAAGAAATGGAGAGCTGGACTATAGTAGCGTTTGTGGAAGTGAAAGATGCCAACATCAGAATAACAAGGATGTTCAAATGTAGGATGGAAAGTATCAGCTCAAAAAAAGAAGGACAAGAATAGCTAAAGCCTTAGAAATATATGTGAAAAAGAGCAGAGGCAGAGGGAAGATCCTTGAGAATAGTCAGGGTAACAGAATTAATAAAATATACCAATGAAAGAAAGCAGTTTATCAGCAAACACATAAAACAACAGAAGAAACATAACCAGGAAAGTACATAATCAGGAAGTAAACTGTTGCCCAAAACAAAAGAGATGACAACTAAAAGAAGCAGGGTAGTCAATGCTGGCAATATTCTTAAAGAACAGATTCAATGGTATCAGGAGTTTACAGCAGACCCCAGAGGATCCTGAATCTTTCCCATATTGCAAGCCCAGTCACTATCACTACCACTACCACTATCACCGCAAGCATGAGCAGTGCGGCAGACCTCAGAGCTGCCTAGCATCCCCTCCACACCTGGCACTACAGGTAACAGCACAGCACGTATTAGTGTAGGCAGCCTCACAGCAGTAGAATTTCTACAGGAGGGACGACATCAATACAATACAGGGTTTGGAAACAGCCGATTGTTCAAGAAATAAATATGTTTTCATCAACAGAAATGACACCAAGGAAGGTATGTTTGCAAAGCAGGTAGCCATAAAGAATACCTCTGGAAGTACTTCACAATGAAAGATATGGAGACCATGGAGTCTGATGCTGTTAAAGAACAGTGCATGGAAGTGGCAGATCTCCAACCCTGGTTGGAGTTCCACTCAAAGGCAACATGAAACAGGCCATGGCCAATGTTATCTATATTGTCATGTCCTCTACTCAATAACCAACAGAATTACTAGAATATAAGGGGCAGGGCAAAAAATGAAGGGATGGAGAAAGTTCCCAAAGACCAGATTGAAAAATACCATCCCTATTGCAGAAGCAATTCTCCCTTTACTACAAACAAAGTCTACAGACATTGACTATACTATTCTGATGTCCCATGTGTGGAGAAGTAATCGAGGGTGTTGACAACCAGGGGACAAGAAAACAAGATAGACCAGTGAGACAGATACATATCAGGGTTATAGATCATGATCCTGAGGGTCAAGATCATCAAGACAGCTCCGAGAAGATGGCAATAAAGAGGATGAGGGAAATTAGGTAGACTAGGCCCAGGGCTAGTGGCCAAACTCAACATAGGTACTGTCACAATATCACTAGCTGTAAAGATATCTACAAAACTATACGACATTTTTATAAAGACAAAAGCAGCCAACTCACCAGCTAAGAATAAATCTATTCTAGATGCTGATAAAGATAGACTTGAGGGCTGATTTACCAAGACTATCATCATCAGGTCAAATTCCAGCAATAAAAAGTAACCAAAAGAATGGAGCTAAATATCTCAAGTGCTTGCCTTCTGTTCACTGACCAGGTAAGTGGAACTATAAAAATTATCTATGCAACATGGGGGTGGGGGTTATTATTTTTGCCTAAATAAATCTTTCTGGTAAAAAGTAGTTTTTGAAAAGCCTAAGTTTTTCAATGTACATTTTAATGGTTTAAAATGGTTTTCTATCTGGTCAAGTAAAATTTCATTTTTAATTTGTAATAAAACTTGACAACTTGCTTTTTCCAAAAGTTAACTAACCATAAGCCCCAGTTATTAAAGTTCTTCTTCTTTTTTTTAATTAAGCTTTCTAAAGTATGTTCCATGAAACCATTCTAAGAGAAAGATTTTACAGATGTGATATGAAAAAAAAGTATTCATTGTTGGAGGCAGGGCGGGGGTTGGGAGATGTTACATTCTATGCAACCCTGTTGAGCATTCATAACACCTAACTGCCTATTTAAAAAAAAAATCTCTGAGTGGTACTCCAGTTAGAAACTTGCTAAAGTTTGAACATGGCATACATTTTTCCCCCGTAAAGAAGAACCTCACCTACATCCCATTAACTCTAGAGACGTATCGCTTACCTAGAATGACTAGGTTTGTTTGTTTTTCCAGGGTCAGATCCTTAGGTTACTTCATGCAGTTTGGAAACTGATGATTTAGAAGAAAGTTATTCATAATTTCAAAAACTGTATGATGAAGTGATAAAATCAGAAGCTAGCTAGGTGCAGTGGCTCACACCTGTAATTGCAGCACTTTGAGACGCTGAGGCGGGTAGATCACTTGAGCCCAGGAGTTCAAGACCAGCCTGGGCAACATGGCGAAACCGTGTCTCCACTAAAAATACAAAAATTAGCCAGGCATGGTGGCGTGCACCTGTAGTTCCAGCTACTCGGGAGACTGAGGTGGGAGGATTACTCAAGCCTGGGAAGCAGAAGCTGCAGTGAGCCAAGATTACGCCACTGCACTACAGCCTGGGCAACAGAATGAGACTTTGTTTCAAAAAAAGAAAAAAAAAATCAGAAGCTATACATGTTACTAGGTAAGAATTAGGTGATAAAGAAACGAAGCCTGCAGTTATGGAATTCATTTTTGTTGAGTTTGCTTGGGAAAGAAAAGATAAACTGAATGGTGGCCATAAAGATTCATATTGTGGAGTAAATCTATTTGGAAATATAGGTTATGTATTTCTATTTAAAAGTACTGGGAATGGAGCCCGTAGATCCAAAATAAAAAATTGTAAGGACTGAAAAGTACGGTGATAATTATGAGATCATGGTCCTAAAGGAAGTAGAAAGAGATGTAATTCAGAGTCCAGTTCGAGAGGTGGATTTCATAGAAAGGTAGGAAGGACATCTCCTCAAAAAGGGGCATAACATAGAATATATATTGCAACAATTAGTGACATAACAAAGCATAAGAAAGTCCAGAAAACAGATGTTTTCCCATTTCTCCACAGGAAATACTTTAAAGGGAAGAAAGTACATCTACACTTCAGACATAAAATCCTCTCTTATCAGGCTGACAGTCGGAGTTAATGATATTCATCTGCTGGCATCCATGACTTACCTGCACAGGTACCTACTGGAATGCTTGGCTCCATGATCCATGGCTCTGTCCCTTGCTCTAACTGGGAAATCACATCAGGTTTAGAAACTTGGAGTCCTGTTCATTAGGGAAAAAAAGAAAGAAACCTGCAGTAAGGGGAAAGTACCATATCAGAATTCAATCACCACTTTGTCTTTAGAAGAAATGATATGTAGTAAAAACCTGATGGGAGTGGATAGCATATCAAGCTTTAGTGTTACCAGTTCCCAGACATGGTGGGAGTATAATTTGGGAACTGATCGGGGTTCAGGAAAATTATTATTTTGTCCCTCTGCTTGCTAGGATGGTAGAAACCTTTTCAAAAACTAGAAATTTAGAAATGGTTGGTTACTAAACTTAAAGGCAAACTCCCCTGAGCACAAGAGAGAACCCTCCTCCTGCACACCCCTTGATATTAACTCAGAGAAATTATCCTTACCTATAGAGACCAGGTGTGTATAATTTTCCAATGTCACATCCCTGAACAAATCTCTCTGGCCAGGGTCCAGCTGTTTCCATTCTTCCTGGGTAAAGTCCACTATCACATCCTTGAAAGTCACCGCTTCCTGAAATACCAAACATATTTCTGCTTAGCCATAAGCATTTACTTAGGAAAGGGGTAAAGTTAGCAATACTGACAGAAGTAAGGCAGTCTATAGGATGTCTGCAAAATAATCTTGACATTTTCTCCTTTATGAAATAAATGTAAAAACAGTGCCTCATCCATTGGGTTATTGTGAGAATTAAATAAAACATTCCATGTGAAATGCTTAATTTAACGTCTGGCATATAATAAGTGCTCAGTCAATATGGCCATTGTTGTTGTCCTTCATCGTCATCATTACCATCATCATCTCTGTGTTCCAAGGTCCGCTAAGTATTAATGGTTTAACTATTATCATCAATATTTTTTACTACCTACAATGTGCAAGAGCACCCAAAGGTTTTTTGAAAAAGAGAGGTGGAAAGACTTGCCCTAATACATTTCAAAAGATAAAGTAATTTAAAAATGGCCTAGTCTGGAATAAAACAAAATGAAATAAAATAGAAAATCCAGAAACAGATTCATATTTATAAGAGTTAAAAGGCATTAAGCAGCTTTCAAATTGGTTAAAAGTTAGTTAAATTAAAAGTAAGTTAAAAGTGAAATTAGTTAAGATGGATTAGTCACTAAATCATGCCATAACAAACGACTGTCTATGAAAAAAAAATTAAGGTGAGATCCTTACTTCACAACACACACAAAAATTCCTGCCAACCTAAAGATGAAATCGTAAAGAAAAAGTCAAAATAAAATAGAATAAAAAACAGGAAAATATTTGTATAAGCTTGAAATCTGGAAGGCAAAATTTACATGATGGAGAGAGAGATCGATAGATATAACCACATAACAATGTAAAACATCTATAAGACATCATAAACAAAAGGCAATTTAAAAAGCTTCTGCACAGTAAAAAAAAAAAAAAAAAAAAAAAAACAATCTACAGAGTTCAAGACAACCTGCAGAAGGGGCAAAAATATTTGCAAACTATTCATCTCACAAGGGACTAATATCCAGAATATACTCAAATCAACAGCAAAAAAATAAATAATACCATTAAAAAGTGGGTGAAGTATCTGAATAGGCATTTCTCAAAAGAAGACATATAAACACCCAAATATATGAAAAAATGCTCAATATCACTAAATGCAAATCAAAACCATAATAAGATATCATCTCACCCCAGTTAGTCAAAAAGACAAAAAAAAAAATAACAAATGCTGGCAAGGATACAACACTGGTGGGAATGTAAATTAGTACAACCATTATGGAAAACAGTTTGGCACTGTCTCAAAAAAACTAAATATGGAACTACCATATGATCCAGCAATCCCGCTAATGGGTATTTATCCAAAGTGAAGGAAATCAGTATACCAAAGAGACACATGCATCCCCATGTTTGCTATGGCTTTACTGACAACAGCTAAGATATAGAATCAACCTAAATGTCCATCAACAGACGAATGGATAAAGAAAATGTGGTATATATACACAAGGGAATACCATTCAGCCATTTTAAAAAAGAATAAAATCTTGTCATTAGTGGTAACATGGATGTACCTGCAGGACATTATGTTAAGTGAAATATGCCAGGCACAGAAAGATAAATATCGCATGTTCTCATTCACATGTAGGAGCAAACAAAAACAAAACGAGCTCATAGAGAGTAGAATTGTGCTTACTAGAGGCTGGGAAGGGTAGAGGAGGGAAGGCTAGGGAAAGACTGGCTAACAGTTACAAAGTTACAGGTAGATGGAAGGAATAAGTTCCAGTGTCTATAGCACTATAGCGTGAATATGGTTAACAATAATTTAGTGTATAATTACAAGAAAGTAGAAGAGAGGATTCGGAATATTCACAACACAAAGAAGTGATAAATGTTCAAGGTGATGGATATGCTAATTATCCTGATTTTATCATTACACATTGTATTCACGTACCAAAATATCACTCTGTATCCCATGGATATGTACAATTATTACATGTCAACTAAAAATTAAGGGAAAAAAAAAAGATCAACTACCCACAACAATAGCAACAATAAAGGCCAACAACCCAAATAGGCAAGTCACCGAGGAAAATGTGAAACCATGAAAAGATGCTCCCCTCCCCTAAAAATATAGTTAAACAGTAAAATATCAGACTGGGTAACACTGCTAAAGTGCTCATGTGTCCTATGGTGGAAACAGAACCCAAATGCAATCTATCTGGGGGGCAATCTGACAAGATCTATCAAAACTTTAATGGATACACCATTTGATCTGGTCTTCCTACTTCTAGGAATTTATTATTCAGAAACACTTCTAGGTACAAAGACATATGTACAATTGCCATTTCAACATCATTTGTGTGGAAGGAAAAAAAATCAAACTTACATGCCCATTAATAGGATAGTGGTTAAAAAATATATAGTACACCCATACTAAAACACTTTATATAGATAGTTATCAAATGATGTATATCTATACGTACTCATTAGAAAATATGTACACAAGAGGACAGGCATGGTGGCTCACACCTGCAATCTCAACACTGTGGGAGGCCAAGGTGGGAGGACTGCTTGAGCCCAAGAGTTCAAGACCAGCCTGCGCAACACAGTGAGACCTCATCGGCACTAAAGATAAAAATAGAAATAAGCTGGGCGTGGTGGCACGCACCTGTAGTCCCAGCTCCTCAGGAAGCTGAGGTGGGAGGATTGCTTCCACCCAGAAGTTCGAGGTTGCAGTGACCTATGATCATACCACTGAACTCTAGGGTATAATCCTACTTTTCTTTTTATGAATAGGAAGAACGTTTATATGTAAATGAACAGAAAAAAATCTAAAAGAATACTCAACCAAATACTATTGGTGGGACTGGGTAGTGGGACCTATAGGCAATGCAGGCAACTTCCTGCTTTTTTTATTGCTATGTATTTAAAACTAAGTGAGAGAGCAATAACTTTGTTTAAAAACTATAAATATATTAAATCATTAGGACTTTTCCCTCTAACCATGACAAAGCAACTGGACTAGCTCTTCCAATATAAATAAAACTGAACAATATATCTGAAACAAGTGTTTTCATATTTTGAACAGCAGGCAGGACAGAAGTGATACGGAGAGAAGGGAAACACTAACATGAGCCCCAGAATCCCCTTAACTTTTTGCCTGAGGCACTGTCCAGACTGCAGAGCAGGGAGGCAGAGCTCTACCAAAGCAGTGGTCTTACTGAGCTGAGGAGACAAAGTTGAAAGTTCAGAACTACTGAGGCAGGGAATTTGCAGGATAGATACTGGAGAGGAGGGAGCTGCAGAGAAAAGGAATACCACAAATCTGGTGTAAATACAATCTCCATGGGCAATGCAAAGTTACCAACATGACATAACTGAATAGAGTTGAGAAGTTATGTGCACAGTCGGCCCCCACAAACAGTTCCAGGACACTTTAGGAGCAGGGCAAGTCTAGACTGTGAAGAAAGAATATAAGCAGCAGGTCTGGTTGGCTCATTCCTTGCTAAATTCCAGGGATGCCTAGATCCTTGGTTCTGATCCTTGAACAAGTTCTGAAAACTAAACCTTTGAACATTTCCATGGTCACTAATTATCGACATAATTCTGTGTGCCTAGTCACTGATTAATGACGTTATTCTGTGTGCCCAGTGCACTGGGACAAGATGTACCAAACTGTCAACATCGTTTAAAGAAACACGGAAATTTATGAGTGTACCAGGTGCCGAGTGTGGGGTCTAAACTATAGCTGGTCATATGGCAGGTAAAGGCCAATGTGATCAGCAACCTTTATGAATTCGGACTCCAAGACTCAAGCAGGATTCCCTGGGTAGACATTCTTCATGTTTCTGTGGCTCACAGTAACAGAGAAAGTGTATCTGTATAATCATCACAGAGGGAGGACTCAGAAGCCTGTACCTGATTTCTCTGGACTCTGATTATGAATACCCTTTTCCTTCTGATCCTCTTTTGTATGCTTTGCTGTAATATTTGTTAGCCATGATTTATGCTACTGAGTCATATGAATCATTCCAACAAATCACTGAACTAAAGCGTGGTCATGGGTCCCTGAAACACAGCCCTAGAGTAAGGCTACACTAGATCAGCCCTAACAATGCTTACAGTTTAAAATACAAATGTCAATAGAATCAAGCTGTGGCCAAGATGGAATTAACAATAATTGGATTTACTCTCCTACATGAAATAAACAATACATTCCAGACAAAATGAAACAAAAGTCTCCATCACACTGAACCTCAGGTAGCAAAGAAAAGTGATCCCTGAGAATCAGGAAACAAATGAGGTGAGCCCTACAATTGCTCTAGCTTACTGCCTTGAGAGTTTCCAAACACTGGTGTAGGGAGGTGGAACCTAGGAGGAGCCCAGCAGATTTCTGGAACTCAAGAGATAGAGCTGAGAGTTTGGGAAAATCAAGGTGACTAGAGTTCACAAGACACAGTACTGGAGCGGAGAGAGCTACACAAAGAGAGAAGCAAGGAAAACTGCAGAGGTTCCCTCTTGAGTATTCAGAAAAGTACCAATCTGTGCATGGGTGTGATGAGACTATCTGAGGCCAGTGAAAGAATCACCTAAAGGAGTCAAGGGACCAGAACCAGCACTCAAAAAGGGTTAGAAATACATTAGCCAAAATGGAAAACTTCATAATTCATGAGGCATTGGGTAGAATACTCAATGGTCCTGCCTCTATGGTCAGGAATAAATAGGCTGAGACTAAATGCTGTTCTGGGCCCACTTAACAAATCTTAAAAGGCCTGAAAGGAACACACTGTTTCCAGTAACTTAACTGCATCCCAGAATAAGGTTCAAGAATTTTTTTTTTTTGAGGCGGAGTTTCTCTCTGTTGCGCAGCCTGGAGTGCAGTGGCGTGATCTCGGCTCACTGCAAGCTCTACCTCCCAGGTTCACGCCATTCTGCTGCCTCAGCCTCCCGAGTATCTGGGACCGCAGGTGCCCGCCACCACACCCGGCTAATTTTTTTGTATTTTTAGTAGAGACGGGGTTTCACTGTGTTAGCCAGAATGATCTCGATCTGCTGACCTCGTGATCCACCCGCCTTGGCCTCCCAAAGTGCTGGGATTACGGGTGTGAGCCACTGCGCCTGGCCAAGAATATTTTATATGAATATAAAAATATTCAGAACCCAATAAGGTAAAATTCAGTGTGTGGCATCCAATCAAAGACTATCAGGCAGCTGGGCACAGTGGCTCACACCTGTAATCCCAGCACTTTGGGAGGCCTAGGCAGGCAGATCATGAGGTCAGGAGTTTGAGACCAGCCTGACCAACATGGCAAAACGCTGTCTCTACTAAAAGTGCAAAAAAATTAGCCAGTCATGGTGGTGAGCGCCTGTAATCCCAGCTACTCAGGAGGCTGAGGCAGGAGAACCGCTTGAACCCAGGAGGCAGAGGTTGCAGTGAGCTGAGATTGTGCCACTGCACTCCAGCCTGGGCGACAGAGTGAGACTCTGTCTCAAAAAAAAAAAAAAATTATCAGGCAATGCAGAGAAGCAGGAAAATATAACCCATAATAAAGAGAAAAGTCAATCAACTGAAACCAACCCAGAAGAGACGTTAGAGTTAACAGACAAGAACATCAAAAGTTTTTATGACTGTATTCCATATGTTCAAAATGTTCAAAACGTTAGGCAGAGATATGAAAGACATTTAAAAAAAAAAAAAAAGAGAGAACACATGGACACAGGAAGGGGAACATCACACTCCGGGGACTGTTGTGGGGTGGGGGGAGGGGGGAGGGACAGCATTAGGGGATATACCTAATGCTAAATGACGAGTTAATGGGTGCAGCACACCAACATGGCACATGTATACATATGTAACAAACCTGCACATTGTGCACATGTACCCTAAAACTTAAAGTATAATAATAATAAAGAAAAAAAAAAAACTAAATGGAACTTCTTAGAGCTGAAAATGAGAATGTTTTGAGATTTAAAAAAATTCACCAGTTAGTATTAACAGAAGAGTAAGCTTTGAAGAAGAGAGATTAGTAACTTCAAAGACACAGAAATCAAAGCTATTCAAAATAAAAGAAAAAAATAATTTTAAAAAAAGAGCCTTGGGGAGCTCTAGGAGAACTTTAAGTTGCCTGCTTTATGTGTGATTGGAGTACTGGGGCAGGAGGCGAAAGATGAGAGGGGACCAGAAATCATTTTTGAGGAAATAACAGCTGATTATTTTCCAAACTTGATTTTAACCACAAAAAAATTGCACCAAAATACATCATAATCAAATAGTTTAAACTCAGTGATAGAAAAAAATCTTACAAGTAATCTGAGGAAAAAAGACACACAAATATAAAAAAACAAAGATAAAAACAACAGTAACTTTTTTGTTAGAAACAATGGACACTGGAGCAATATCAAATACTGAAAAGAAGAAATCTGTCACACTAGAATTAATAAACAAAGGCAAAATAAAGACTTCTTTAGACATAGAAACCTGAAAGTATTATTCACAGCAGACCTACACTACAAGAAATGTTAAAGGAAGTCCTTCGACCAGATTAAAAAAAAAAAAAACCAGATGAAAATATGGTTCGACACCAGGGTTTCTCAACCTTGGCGCTATTGATATTTTGGACCAGATGATTCTCTTAGAAAAGTGTGGGGGCCTGTCCTGTGTATGGAGACATCACTCGTCTCAACCCACTGGATGCTAATAGCACTCCCTACCAAGTCATGACAATCAAAAAAGTTCCCTAACACTCTCAAATGTTGCTCCTTGGGGAGCAAAATCACTCACGATTGTGAACTACTGATTTATAAAAATGAATAAAGAATACCGAAAATGATCATTACACAATGAGCATTGTAATAATTATACACAATTATTTTCTTATTACTTAAATCTCTTTCAAAGATAATTGGCTGCTTAAAGAAAATAACAACAAAGTATTATGGGATTTATAACATATGTAACAAGTAAAATGTATGGCAACAATAGCATAAAAACTGTGGTGGGGGGAATGGAAATACACTATTCTAAGTAAAATGGAATATCACTTGAAAGTAAATGGTGATTAAAACAAATATGAATCCCTAAAGCAACAAGTAAAATAGCAAAGAGTTATGGCTAATAAGCTAATGAAGGAGATAAAATAGAATCATAAGCATATTCAATCCAAAAGAAGGTAAGAATAGAAGGAAAAAAAGAAAAAAGACAATACAAATAGAAAACAAACAGCAAGGTAAAAGACTTATCCATATCAAAAGTCACATTATATTTAAATGTAACACATTACATGTAAGATCATACTGAATACAAATGGTCTAAACACCCCAAGAAGCAGAGATTTCCAGATTGGATAAAAAAAGCAAAACCCGGCCGGGCACAGTGGTTCATGCCTGTAATCCCAGCACTTTGGGAGGCCAAGGTGGGCGGATCACGAGGTCAGGAGATCGAGACCATCCTGGCTAACATGGTGAAACCCCGTCTCTACTAAAAATACAAAAAAATTAGCTGGGCTTGGTGGCGAGCGCCAGTAGTCCTAGCTACTGGAGAGGCTGAGGCAGGATAATGGCGTGAACCCAGGAGGCGGAGCTTGCAGTGAGCCGAGATCGCCCCACTGCACTCCAGGCTGGGCGACAGAGCAAGACTCTGTCTCAAAAAAAAAAAAAAAAAAAAATAGAGCTTCTATCATGTGAGGACATGAGGAGGTGGCACCATCTACGAACCAGACACAGAATCTACAGGCACTTTGATCTTGAACTTCTCAGCTTACAAAACTGTGAGAAATAAAGTTCTGTTATTTAAAAAAAAAAGAAAAGAAAAGAAAAGAAAAGAAAAACCCGGCAGGGCGCGGTGGCTCATGCCTGTAATCCCAGCACTTCGGGAGGGCGAGGCGGGCGGATCACGAAGTCAGGAGATCGAGACCATCCTGGCTAACACAGGGAAACCCTGTCTCGACTAAAAATACAAAAAAATTAGCCAGGCATGGTGGCAGGTGCCTGTAGTCCTAGCTACTCGGGAGGCTGAGGCAGGAGAATGGCATGAACCTGGGAGGCGGAGCTTGCAGTGAGCTGAGATCGCGCCACTGCACTCCAGGCTGGGCAACAGAAAGAGACTCCATCTCAAAAAAAAAAAAAAAAAAAAAAAAAGCAAAACCCAACTACATGTTGCTTGTAAGTAACTCACTTTAAATATAAAGATACAAATAAGTTAAAAGCAAAAATATATAAAAATATATACCATATGTCAAAGTAAATTTCAAGGCAAAAGATACTACCAGGCATTAAAAACACTGTTTCTCAACGATAAAGGAGTCAACTGATTAAGAGAACATAACAATCCTAAATGTTTATGCACCTAATAACAGCGCTTCAAAATATATTTGCGAAAATTGGTAAAACAGCAAGGAGAAACAGACCAACCCACAACAGTCTGAGATTTCAATACCCCTTTCAGAATAACTGATAAAACAAGCAGACAGGAAATCAGTAAGGATATAAAAGACTTGAACACTATCAACTAAGTTGACCAAACTGATATCTGTGGTATACAGAACAAAGCCCTCCCAAAGATGTCCATGTCCCAACCCTGAAACCTGTGAATTTGTTACCTAACATGGCAAAAGAGACTTTACAAATGTGATCAGATTAAGGGCCTTGAGTGGGGAAATTATTCTGTATTACATAGGTGAGCCTAGAGTAATCACAAGGGTCTTTATAAGAGGGAGGTAAGCATATCAGAGTAGGAGACAGAAAGACAGAAGACAAGTCAGAGTCAGAGGGAGAGAGAGAGAGAGAGAGAGAGAGAGAGATAAATTTGAAGATGCCACAGTACTAGCTTTGAAGATAGAATAAGTAGACAAAGAACACAGCAGCCTCTAGAAGCTGGAAAAGGCAAGGAATAGATTCTTCCCCTAGAACCTTCAGAAGAATGCTGTCCTGACAACCTATTTTGGACTTTTGACTTCTAACACTGTGAGTAAATTGTGTTATTTTACGCCATCTAAGCTTATGGCAATTAATTATAGCAGCAATAGAAAACTAATACATCTATAGAACATTCTATAAAACAATAGCAAAACATACATTCTTTTCAAGTGCTCACTGATAGTTTACCAAGATGTACCACATTCTGGACAAAAAAACAAGTCTCCATAAATTTGAAAGGATTCAAGTCACACAAGGTATGTTCTCTGATTATGGATATTTTCACTCTCTTGCTTGTGGTAATGGTTTCATGAATGTATACATGACAAAACTTATCAAATTATATATTTTTAAATATGTGCAGTTTACTGTCACAGTATACCCCCCAATTAAAAAAAAAAATACCAAAAGTACTTCGGCTGAAAGTGGGAAGAACTGGTACCATTTCTTTGTTAAGAAAATTCAGTTATGGAACACGAATTAAGCAGGGGGGAAATTTTAAGAAGGAGGAGGGCTTGAGGTTGATTATGGCTGGTGAGCAATTGTTACCTTTTTTGTCTAAGTTCTCAATCAGTCCAGGTCACTTTTCTTCCATTAAAAATCATTAATGGTTCATAAATGGCCTACACAATAAAGCCTTCAACTTCTCATCCAGGTATTCAAGGCTTTCATATTCTGACTTCATTCAATCATTTGTGTACCACTTGCCATAATCCATCTCTTCCAAATTTTTCTGAATCCTGTGTAACATCTGTTAATCCTTACTTATGAACTTCTGCTTATAATCTTCTCTATACCTAGAATCCATACCTCCAGCCCCACCACCTTACTTGTTCAAATATCGAAATGTCACCTATTGTTTTAGAGGCATCCCAAGTCCCCCATCCTCCATGAAACTCTCCTAATCCCTCCAGACCACATACATTTTTCCATTCTCTAATATCCACATTACTCATTTCACCTTTCTTACATTTACCTGTTTTATTTTCTAGCAGTCATTTTGGCCTATTAAAGGATCAAGTTTTGGGGCCTGGCGTGGTGGCTCACACCTGCAATCCCAGCACTTTGGGAGGCCAAAGTGGATGGATCATGAGGTCAGGAGTTTGAGACCAGCATCACCAGCATGATGAAACCCCGTCTCTACTAAAAATACAAAAAATTAGCCAGGCGTGGTAGTGTGGGCCTGTAGTCCCAGCTACTCGGGACGCTCAGGCAGGAGAATTGCTTGAACCCGGCAGGCGGAGGTTGCAGTGAGCGGAGATCACCACCATTGCACTCCAGCCTGGGCGACAGAGGGAGACTCAATCTCAAAAAAAAAGGATCCAGTTTTGTACTTCTTTTGCTCTCCCATCCCTGGAGCATAGCAAGATACTAAGCAAGTGGTAAGTGGTGAATGTATTAGTTAAAGCTGGAGAGGCACAGCTAGGAATGCGGTTACTAGACAGATGAGAGCCCAGAATGAACTGCCAACATTGATTTTTGGATAAATAGAAAAAACAAAACAAAACAAAAAACCACAATCACCCTCTAAAGAATAAAATGGCATTTCAAGAAACCACATCTTACCTGAAAACTGGCTGATGAGAGTAGATTATGTCCCCCTTGGAGAAGGGTGGAGTCTGGAGAGGACAGATCTAGGGGGAGAAGCAGGAGCCATATGACTTCTGTTCAATTTAGCCATTCCCAGCAATCCATAAATTCCATTTACTCTTCTATTTGAAAATAACAGAAACTATGCCATTTCCTTTATATTTTAGAATGCAAAAAAAGTTACAAGATAACTGGGGCCCTGGTACCCTCCTCAGTAGGCTCAGGAGGTAAAGCATTGCTTTATGATTCAGTTTTGTACCTAGACACTTAGAAGTCATATGTATTATATGACTCAATCTATGTTCCTCATTAAATGAGGCAAACTATTTCTGCTGGCCTTTCTCTGCTACATATAAAATATGAAGAAGTAATCCGATTACTTTCCAAAAGCCTTCATAGGCCCTTTGAAAACTTTGCTATTAATGCAAATTAAATATCACAATGACATATGCTACTTACTCTACCCACCCAACAGAATGTCTTAAATTAAACAGACATGGTCAATACTAATTGCTGGCAAGAATATAAAGCAATTAGAACTTTTTAGATTGGTATATGGTATAAATTTATCAACCACTTATGAAAACTGGTAGTTTATACTAAGCTAAACATATGACTATCCTATGACTCAGCAATTCCACTCCTGTCCTTACATCCATAGAAATGCTTATATCCACCAAAGACTTCTACAAGGATCTTCACTGCAGATTTATTCATAATATCTCAGAACTAGAAACAACCCAAATGCCTTTCAACAGAACACAGCATAAACAACCATGGTATTTTCATACAATGGATTATTCCAAAATATAAGAAAGAGCTACTAACATAATTAACAACATGGATGCATCTCTTAAACATAATGTTGAGCAAAACAAGCAAAACAAAATAATGCATACTGTATGACTATATTTATATTAACTTTAAAAACCAACCAAACTGATCTACAGTAATGAAAGTTAGAATAGTACTTCTGGAGGGATAACTGACTGGGCAGAGGCACAAGATACTTCTGGGGCATTAGAAACATTCCATATCTTGGTTATACTAGTTTATACATACATGAAAATTTGAAAAGCTATATATTGTACAGTATTTGTGCACTTTACTGTATATAACTTATACCTTAATAAACAAAACAAAAAAAAGCTTTGCTCTTGGGGGAATCCACTTAGAGTACTGGTTGACAGGAAAGCCTGATTCTCAAAATGACTCGTCTGGTAATTAATTATGTATAATTATGCAAGTCCCTTGTCTTCTTTAGGCTTCAATTTCCTCATCTTTAAAAGACTAGAGGCGAATGTCTGACAAACATACCTTTCAAAATCCTCTTGAAGAGGAGATAGTGGTGAGGAAAACCAAACTAGGCACACCTGTTTCCACAAAGAAGTAAGACAAGAAGAATTTTCTCCTCTTAGAAATTTAATGTATGCAGAAAGACTAGTGAGGGAAGATGTCTCTGGATACAAAATATGAATGAGACTGGCTGGGCAGAGTGGCTCATGCCTGTAATCCCAGCACTTTGGGAGGCTGAGGCGGGCGGATCACAAGGTCAGGAGTTAGAGACCAGCCTGACCAACATGGTGAAACCCCATCTCTACTAAAAATACAAAAATTAACCAGGCGTGGTGGCGTGTGCCTGTAATCCCAGCTACTCAGAAGGCTGAGGCAGGAGAACTGCTTGAACCCGGGAGAGGGAGGTTGCAGTGAGCCGAAATTATGCCACTGCACTCCAGCCTGGGCGACAGAGCAAGACAGTGTCTCAAAAACAAAAAAAAAAAATTTGAATGAGACATGAGGTATGAAATAGACTAGCAATGCTGTAAGAGATGCTTGGTAAAAACTAAGAAAAAACAATCAAACAGGTAAGGGTCAAGATGGATATTTATGACCACACATAGATGTGTGAGATAGTGGCAATAAGCCAAGTGAATGTACACCTGAAAAAAAGAAGGGAAACTCAATATTTTAGGCATTAACCAAGGCTTGTTGGGTTGGAAGACATAAGACCTTAAAACTATAAAAAAAAATCAACTAAGGGACTAAATATAAAGACAGTGGGGAACATGAAGAATAAAAAGAAAAGCTAAACAATCAAATGGACAGAACCCAAGGGAATCTAAATTGCACCACTAAGGTGCAAGGGCAATCTCTTTGGGATACCACCATTAGGGTAGGTCAGTGCCATCTAATTTTAGTTCCAAGATTCAAATTCCAGAGACAGCTAACTGGCCTAGTGTGGGTTTTATGACCAAGCCTTGTTTAAAAGAGAGCTGGGTAAAATTTACGCAAAATGATCTGATATAAACAGACAGACTAAGAGATGGATTATTGTATGTGATGCAATAATCCTGAGTGTGAAACCTGATAGAAATTGTAGATAAATCGAAAGAAAGAAAGAAAAAAAAAAACAAAAGTAGCACCATGCTGGCAACAGTGTGCCATAGACAGCTTAGGCAGGTGGGGGTGATGAATAATATGGAGAAAAGCAGTTTCAACTGTTTGGCTAAGTATGTAAGTTTCATTTTGTAAAAAATGTATTAATCAAGAAATTCTTAATTTATATTAATGGTGTCATGCCTCAGAAAGTAGAGGAAGCAATAAAGGGAACTATTATGCTCAACTTGATCTTGACCAGTAAAGAAAAACTGTTTTGTAACAGAAGTCTTAAGAAAAAAATGAAGATATTATCTTGGAAGCTCTTAACAGTGAAAGAAAATGTTCTAAATGCACAGACAGGTACCTAAGACTTTAGGAAAACAGAATCAAGAGAAATGTCTCAGGTAAGATGCTTTTTATTCCAAATAACAGCAACCAACAGAACCAAAAACAGCAACAGTTACAGAAACCAACTGTGTGCTTGGCACATAGTAAATGCTCAGTATGTGCTACAAAAGTTATGATTACAAGGAACAGAGGCTCAGTAAAGTTAATCCTAATGATAAAATTGTGAGAAATCCACAAAATAAAGAAAATACAAAGGCTTTTAATGAAACTACTTTGGCTGATTTAATTCTGAGAAACTTAGAATATATATATAAAAAAATCCACTGTAAAAAAGACTTGAAGTACAAAAAATTGAAGAAAAGTATGGACCAAACCTACATTATTCACATGACTAATATGAATAATGTTAAGACTTCTAATGATATTATCTTTAACAAAGGCAAAAAAAGGACTGCATGATAATAGTTAGGTCAAACCAAACTTGATTGCACAGCCATACCTAAAGAATGTAAAGACAACACCAATGCAGAGAGAACTCCATAGGGACATGTCATAAGCCTCTATCCTTACCCTGATCTGTTCAATGACAGGTAGGAAGAAATAGAAGGAATATTCATCAAATCCGCTAGTGGCATTAAGTTAGAAAGGACAGTTAAGGCACTGAATAACTAAATTAGGATTCATAATCATTCTGAAAGCCTAAAACATGTGACCAAAAAATTGAACAGTCATAAATGTAAGTCATGACATTAAGGATAATAATAATTCCATTACACAAAAATGGTGTAAATCTAGATCACTGCAGTTTATGTAAAAAAGATCTAAAGTTTACAGTACATCACTGATAGTTTTTAAAGCAAATGTGATCTAATGCCAAACAGCGGAAGTATAATCCGAGTCAAAGGAAGTAGTACATTATCCTCTCAGGTACTTTTCAAAGCACATCCAAAGAGCTATGTTTACCATTAGGCACTGCATTTTAAGAAAAATGCTGACAAGCAGGAGAGTTTTCAGAGAAAGGTCTAGATACATCACATAGACCAATCAAAAGAAGTGAGGCTATATTGCTTAGAAAAGAATTTATGAGGAGGAGTTGTAACAGCTGAATTCACATATCTTAAGGGCAGCAGTGTGAAAGAAAGAACAGACAGTTTCCTTTTCTTTGGAGGACTAAGAACTAAGATCAACACAAAAGTTACAGGGACAAGTACATCTGTTTAATATAAGAAACTAAAAAAGAAAGCCAACAAGGGAATAGTCTGCACCCAAAATGGCGAGTTTAATGCCACACTAGTTCGGGCATAGGGTTGACAGACAGCCGTCTGCCAAGGAGATTTCAAAACTGACTCTTTCATTGAAGGGATAATTGCCAAGATGTCTTCTGACTTCAAGATTATAATTTTAATATTTAATATTCAGAAGTCATGTGGGGATCACAGATATTCTGAATGATTATGTCTTTTCATTCCCCAATGGAACGAAAGAAAAAAATAAACTCCTCTCCCAAGTATCTCTCTATAAAACAGAATCTCTCCCTACAATGTAATTCGGTTTCTTTGCTAATCCCTAAGCATACCGTTCCTTCCTTCCAAATCTCCTGCTCTGATCTCAAGTATTTGATACTCCAGTCATGACTGTTCTCAAGCCTCCATCACCCCGCTCTCCCCCAAGTCGACCCCACTACCTTCCATCTCAGGAGCTCATCCCGTTCCTCTGGAACTTGAACACCAGGGTTCGCCAGGCAGCGTTCCTTCAGCTGGTATCTCGGTCTAGGACTCAGATGTCTAACTCCCCTTGCAGGGAATCTGCAACACGCTGAGGTTGTCTACCCTAAAAGACACAGGATGGCGTCAGCAGCATACGTCACACAATCACACATCAGAGTCTTGCAAAGTGACCAAGAGGTGCTACACAAGAGAAGTGCCCCAAGAGAGCACTAGAGAGGTGTGTGGCACTCCGATGAACAAAACAGAGTGGAGATCGGGTACGCGGGTTCTGCTTCAGATCCAAAAAACCCTTGGTGCCCACCCTAGAATCTGGCCGGGGCATCCACAGACCTGGTGTGTTCCCTCTGTGCACACTTGTGACTCACACCCCTGCGAGCTCGGATAACACGAAGACACACCTGTTGCAGAGCGTTAAAGCTGGAAGGTGGACAAACAGGGCGGGGCCCGGCACCCGACTTCCCCTTAGGCCAGAACAAAAGAACAAAGCCCTCCAAGGGATCAGGGCGGGACCGCCCCGCACAGAAGGAGGCGAGGTGCGCCCCCTTCGAGGACTCCCCAGCTTTCTCCTGCAGAGGCCTCTAAGCGCGAAATCAGAAGGGTGACGTCACGAGTCCGGAGGGCTGGCTGTTGCCATGGTGATACCTGAGCTCCCCTCCCCCTATAGCGATCCACACACTCTGATCCCGGGTCCGGAAGCGCATTGACCGCCACCAGACCTAACGCAGGGAGCCGAAGCAACTGGACTTCCAGCGCGCCAACCTCTTTCCACGCCTACAACCGGCTTCAACGGTCACTTCCGGTCGTTACGAGCGAGCCCCGCCCCGCACGCCGGCGCCGGGCGGGCACACTGGACCAGCGTTCCCAGAACACTCCGCGAAGGTGTTCCTGAACTTCATTTCCCAGAGGCTTTAGCTAACGTGTACTTTCGCCCTGCGATGGGCCGCACATTTTCGCCGCCAGTCTTTTGCTCCTGTTTCAGGTATGCGTGTGCATTGTAAACTTGTCTGACTGAACTGATTATAAGAAATGCACGTCTACTGACCGAGCGCAGTGGCTCACGTCTGTAATCTGAGCACTTTGGGAGGCCGAGGTGGGTGGATCACTAGGTCAGGAGTTCGAGACTCAGCCTGGCCAATATGGTGACACCCCGTCTCTACTAAAAATACAAAAATTAGCCGGGCGTGGTGGCGCGCGCCTGTAGCTACTCAGGAGGCAGAGGCAGAAGAATCGCTTGAACCCGGGAGGAAGAGGTTGCAGTCAGCCGAGATCGCGCCACTGCACTCCAGCCTGGGCGGCAGAGCGAGACTCCGTCTCAAAAAAACAAAACAACAAAAAAAAAAAAAAGAAAGAAAGAAAAGAAAAAAAAGAAATACACGTCTACACACAGTTTTAAAACGCAAACAATCGTTACCTTTATTACATGTTCTACCTTCTATTTTCTGTTCTACTCTTTTGTCGTTTTGAAAATACTGGTAGTTACCCATTAAAATTGTTTTCACGACTCTCAAATGAGTGGCGACCAACTTTTTTTTTTTTTTTTTTTTTTTTGAGACGGAATCTAGCTCTGTTGCTCAGGCTGGAGTGCAATGGCGCGATCTCGGCTCGCTGCAACCTCCACCTCCCGGGTTCAAGCGATTCTCCTGCCTCAGCCTCCCGAGTAGCTGGGATTACAGGCATGCACCACCATCCCCGGCTAATTTTTGTATTTTTAGTAGAGACGAGGGGGTCACCATGTTGGCCAGGCTGGTCTCGAACTCCTGACCTCAAGTGATCCGCCCGCCTCGGCCTCCCAAAGTGCTGGGATTGCAGGCGTGAGCCACTGCGCCCGGCCCCAACATGTTTTTCTAATGCTTAAGGAAACCCGGAGATAATATTCCCATGTTTTGCCACTTAGTAAAGCATTTTATATGCCTGTGTCAGCGAGCACATAGCTGCAAGTGTAGCCCATGGCCAGTCTGTCACTGTGTCCTTGGCAGAAAAAAAGAATCCAACAAATCGGTAGGTTTTTATATTTAAGACATGGCACTTGCATTTTATTATGCTGGCGTGCATCCCCAGCATTTGGATAAGGGGCCAAGGTCAAGTCTCTCAGACTGTTGGCTGACAAACATTAAACCTGGAAATCCTAACAGAGTGTATGAAAAACAATTACAGTCAAGGGAACATGATAGAGAAAGCTTCGGTCATCTTAGAGAATGCATATATTGCCATGAAGAGAACATTGGTTTAAAAAAAAATGTTCAAGAGAATGAAAAGACAAGTCACAGACTGGGAGAAAATACTTGCAAAGTACATATCTGATAAAGAACTGATATCCAAAATATATAAGAACTCTTAAAACTCAACAATAAGGAGACAAACCGATTAAAAAAATAGGCCAAAGACCCTAACAGATGTCACCAAAGAAGATATGCAGATGGAAAATAAGCATATGAAAAGATGCTCCACATATGTCCTCAGTGAAATGCAAATTAAAACAATGGGATGCCACTATACACCTGTCAAAATGGCCAAAATCCAGAACCCTGACAATACCAAATGCTGACAAGGATGTGGAGCACAGGAACTTTCATTCATTGCTGGTGGGAATGCAAAATATTAGAGTTACGTTGGAGGACAGTTTGACAATTTCTTACAAAACTAAACATACTCTTACCATATGATCTAGTAATTGTGTTCCTTGGTATTTATGCAAAGGAGTTGAAAATGTATGTCCACACAAAACGTGCCCAAGAATGTTTATAGCAGCTTTGTTCATGATAGGCAAAACTTGGAAGCAGCCAGATGTCCTTCAGTACATGAATGAATACATAAACTATGGTACATTCAGACAATGGAACATTCAGTAAGGAAAAGAAATGAGCTATCAAGCTACCAAAAAGGAAGAACAGAAGAATATTAAGTGCGTATTGGTGAGTGAAAGAAGTCAATCTGGAAAAGGCTATATACTGTATAATTCCATCTACATAACATTCCTGAAAAGGCTAATCTATGGAAACAGCAAAGATTGGTGGTTGCCAGGGGCTTAGGGGGAGGGAAAAAGGGAAGAATAAGTGACATTCAGTGGATTTTAAGAGGGAAGAATAAGTGACGTTCAGTGGATTTTAAGAGGGAAGAATAAGTGACGTTCAGTGGATTTTTAAGGCAGTGAAACTATTCTGTATGATATTGTAATGGCGAATACATGTTGTTATACATTTGTTAAAACCCATAGAATATACAGCACAAAGAGTGAACCGTAATATAAACTATGGTCTTTAGTTAATAATAATTTATCAACATTGGCTCATCAATTTTAACAGATGTACCACACTAGTGCAAGATGTTAATAATAGAGAAACTGGGGGAGGAGGGGAGAAGGAAGGAGTATACTGAAACTCTACTTTCTGCTCAATTTTTCTATAAACCTAAAACTGTTCCCAAAATGTTCTATTAAATTTAAAATATAAGAATGTTAAATATGCTTATGGTAAGGTCTCAGAAGGAAATTAATGACATGCAATTAGAAACTGAAGGAATGGTTATCTTGTTATAAAGTGGGAGAGCCTTGGCTGAATTGTATTCTATATTTGGGTGGAAAACAGAATTTGTACATGATGAACTTGAATATTTAGTTAAGAAGACTTCCAAGTAAAATGTGGAATGTGCAACCTGGTTAGTTATTGCTGCTTATGGTGAAATGCATGAGGAAAGAAATAAACTGAGGAAGGAACTATTCAGCACAAAGGAACCAGCACTCATGATTTGGAAAACTTTTAGCCATACCTTATACAAATGAGGCTTTCAATACATGTTGAGGACACAGAAAGATATAATTTTTGTCTTCAGTGACTTCTCTATATGTTGCACAAAGTGGCCTCCAACTCCTGACCTCAAGCAATCCTCCCACCTCGGCCTTCCTAAATGCTGGGGTTACAGTCCATAAGCCACTGAACCCAGCCCTCAGAAACCTTTTGTGCTTAAAAAAACACCTCAGCAAAATACAAAGCAACTAGTGATATATTTGAACTGAAATTACTAATCAACTTTGGCTTGTTTTACTGTAACAATGACTAGGGACTGGCCACAGCTGCAATCTTACTTGTTTTACTGGGCTGAAAACAAAAACATAGTAGAATGGATCTCAGTAAAGGTAGAGAGTCAGGACTTAGTTGCAGGAAACAAAAACCAGTCCAGTTTCTACTTTAGCCCTAAATTGGAAACAAATCAAATGTCCTTCTATACTTAAAAAGGCAAATTGTCAGTTTTTCTTCAAATACAAGGAATACAAAGAAAATACATTTTTTTTCTACAAAGAAAAAAAAGTTAGCTAGGAGTGGTGGTGCATGCTTCTATTCCTAGCTACTCTGGAGGCTGAGGCAGAAGGATGGCTTGTGCCCAAGAGTTCAGGTTACAGTAAGCTATGATGGTGCCACTGCACTCCAGTCTGTGTGATAGAGTAAGACCCTGATTCTAAAATTTTTTTAAATTTCTTAAAAGAGATTTGATATTTCTTTGGTATCTAACTTTATTCAAAGCTGGAGTTGCAAATGATTTCAGCAAAAAAAAATAAAGATGTGCTTGATAAAAATATGTCCACCAAATAAAAAGGATGTGATATGCATTAACTATGAACAACAATCTATAGCACAACTTATATTTGTATGGACACCTGGCTACCCCATCAAACTGCTTCATGTCTATTCCCTCAAATTATGGTCTTCCATAAAACTAGTGAATTTCTTTTAGTCTTCTTTTGAGCCTGTAGGGGTGAGAGAATCTTTTTTCTCCCTTCTGGAGGTTGGATATTTGAGTCTGAGAAATAAAGCTGCTAGTAGACAGATTAACAGAAGAAAAGGCATACACATTTATTATGCACATATGCACAGAGGTCCCAGAAAGTGTAAGTGAGACTCAAAGAAGGGGCAGATGGTTGAAGCTTAAATAGGACTTGGAGCTACATAAAGAAATAGGAGCTTGAAGGCTCCTGGAAGGTGGTGGCGAGAAGCAATGTGAGGGTCAGGGCAGGAACAGCTCTGGGAACAAAGCTTGTCTTATTATACAGATAAAGTCTCTCAAGTAGCAGCCCTCAGAATAGGTGGTGAAGAAAAGAATTGAAGTCTGGCTGGGCGAGATGTCCCGGGCATGGAGACCTTTAGTTTTCTCTCCTGGGATCTGAGTTAATCTTCTCTGGTTAATACAGATTCCAGGAGAGGGTTCATGACAATCTCTTTCCTTCTGGAGGAACCTCCGTAAGTCAAATAAGGGAAACTTCAGTGAAAGCCCCTCCCTGCCATTCAAGAAAGAAAGAGGATCAGGAGGCAGTGGGGCTGCGGAAGGTCAGAGAGACTTTGATTCTGAGGTTGCTTCTTTAGTTCAAAGTACTCAGCACTTCCAAGAGCCATACTTTGGGGTATCATTTTCTGAGCTCTAACAAGGGTCCTCAGAAAATCTCTGTCTCTTCCCTTCCCGGTCTTCCTTCGTTTCTCCTCTTCCTCTTCCTCCTCTTCTTTCTCCTTCATCCTCTTCTTTCTACCTCCTGTCCCTCCTTCCTTTCTCTCTTCTCCTTTCTGGTCACTTTCTTCTTTTCCTCTTCCTTCTTGTCCCTCTTCCTCATTTATCTACTTAGTCGACATGATTTCTTAGCTTGCGATTGTTTCCCTCTTTTCTTAGATTAGTATATGGTTCCAAGAAGTAGATGAAAGCCAATTACAATAATCTGTGCATCCAAAGGGCTCAGGGAAACTCCAGGACCGGCAGCTTTAGACTTCAAGACGGAAGCATAAGAGGAAAAGAAAACATACTGCGTGGGTTAGATTTTGAGAGAAGGAGCGTCTGCCTTGGCCAAAAATCAAAGTAGGATCTTCCTTTTGATAGGTAACCTGGTTCCATGGGAACTCATGAACAATCTATAAATTTCTTTCTTAACCCAACTGAAGCGTGGAAGCGCATTGTGAAATGCAAAATGCCGTGCAAACGAGACCGGGTAGATATACTCCCTTGGGTTGGTGTGAGCCTAGAGACTTAGGGACCTCATCAGAGCAAGAAAGTGCAAGTAGGCTTTTCTGCATCATTTTCTGGCCCTCCAGTTCAGACACAAATCAAAAGTTAGTCCCTTCTTGAAAGCCATTAGCATTCATCAAGGAGCCTCAATGAGAGGAAGTTTCAAACAAAAACTAAATGTGTCAGGCCCAGATTTACGGTGAGGGTCTGATTCCACTTCCTTGCGGGGTCAGTTTGGGTCCAGGTGAGAGAGGTACAGTGGTCTCTAGTTTTCTGGAAACGGTACTGCTGATAGGGCAAGGACTCCTTGCGGCTGCCCCAGAGAGGTTGGCTTGTCTTATCCAACTTGCACTTCACGTTAGAGTTTCTAATGAACTCGCAGACTCCAGTTTCTTGCCCAGGAAACCATTTTTACCGTATTTTGTTCTTTTGACCGTTTCTTGTCAGTTAGCTGGTGTAAATTCTGTTTAAAGATGTGAAGGGAGCCTTCTCCATTCGTGTAGTCGTGGCCGAGTGGTTAAGGCGATGGACTAGAAATCCATTGGGGTCTCCCCGCGCAGGTTCGAATCCTGCCGACTACGGGATGTTTTACTGAGAACAGTTCAGCGAGGAAATAGGATCTCACATTTGCTTTCAGTTTGGGAGTAAAGAAACTCGTGATAGAGCCTCTGCGTGTCACCTAACATAGCCTGAACTTTTGCCGACTTCGGGATGTTTTACTGAGAACAGTTCAGAGAGGAAATACGATGTCATATTTGCTTTCAGTTTGGGAGTAAAGGAACTCGTAATAGAGCTTCTGCGTGCCACTTAACGCAGCCTGAACTTTTGCCGACTTCGGGATGTTTTACTGAGAACAGAGAGGAATCGTATTTACTTCAGAGAGGAAATACGATGTCATATTTGCTTTCAGTTTGGGGGCGAGGGAACTCGTGATAAAGCTTCTGCGTGCCACTTGACGCATCCTGAACTTTAAAAATACATCTGCAGACTCTTTATCTATTTTACCTCAACGGAGCGCAGGTATTGGTCCCACCTCTGCTTTTCCTGTCTTTGAAACCAACCGATGCACCTTTCGGGATTTGTAACTCCTATGTTAGCTAGGGCTCCAACCATGGTTGAACATAGACGGAAACCAGTGCGTCACAAAGGAGGCTAGCGAGAGTTCTTTTTTAAAAGGGTCTGACAAAGCGTCCGAGGAATGAAGGAGGAACTGGAGAGGATTCGCGGTTGGGCGGAGACACGTTCGCTGAATTGCCTTGCGTATATTTGGTAGGGGAAACGTGTGACTACAGAGCAAAGAAAGATGGACAATAGCGAGTAACTTCACAGGGATTTCCTAAGAGCTCCATTTTCACGTCAATTCCTCGTTAGTATAGTGGTGAGTATCCCCGCCTGTCACGCGGGAGACCGGGGTTCGATTCCCCGACGGGGAGGAGGCTTAAACTTTTTTTTAGAAAAGCACACTTCCGGTAAACACAGTCTCTAGTCTTCTGGGCAAATGTTGGGTTCTCTTTTTCTTTAGCAGAGTTCTTTCAAACCAACGAAATACTGATCGCAAAAACCATAAGCTGTAGAAATCATGAGGTTCTGTAATAGCAAGAAAATTTCCACTCTGCACTGTAATCTCCATCACAGTGGAGAAACCGGGTAGATACCATCTTACCCAAGTGATTGAATCAGTATTGGGACGAATCTACATTATATACCTTTTTTACAGGATGTGCTCATGAGAGCACAACGTCACTTTTGTGGTATTCTTGGCAAAAATATGTAATCTAAATCAGAAAACATCAGACAAACCCATATTGAGGGAGATTTTAACAAAATAACTGACTTGTACGCCTCAAAAACTGCAATTACTTTTGCATCAACCTAGTAACAGGCAAGCAGGGAGGAAAAATAAATAAATAAATAAATAAATAAATAAACAAATAAATAAAATAACAAAGTTACAGAACACAAAGAAAGGCTGACTAAATAGTCCACATTATAGAAGATCTTAAAGATATGACAGCAACATATGGTCTGGAATTTTTATCTTAAAGGACATTATTGAAATAGTTGGTGAAATCTCAATAAAGTCTATAGATTTTATAATATTATGAATGTGAATTCCTGATTGTATTAATTGTTCTATGGTTATAGAACAAAATGTCTTTAAGAAAATTCACACCTATTTACAAAATACGTATTTAAGGGTAAGGGGAGGTATGTGTCTTCAAACTCACTGTCAAATAGTTCAGAAATATACATTTATGTATATATATGAGAGAGAGAAGGAAAAGAAAATATAGGAATATCCTTAATGTGCTAATATTGAGGGAATTGGGGTGAAGGGTGCTCAGGAATTATCTGTATTATTCATGTACTGTGTCTGTCAGTCTAAAATAATTTCAGAATGGAAAGTTAAAAGGAGAAAAGCCTAATAAAACTATAAATGAAAATATACGAATTAAAATGTAAAAGGGCAAATATACAATTTTGAACAATGCATATGACAAGAGTGACGACTACATTAATGAATAGGAATTTAGAACTGATGAAGGAGTGGGATTCAAAATGTTATAAGTGAGCAAGAAAATTCATAACATGTGACAAAAGCTACATAAAGAGTGAATGCCTGAAACAACATTGTTTCGTAATGATTACATGTTGGAATATGAAAACAAATGGTACTAAATTTCAAAACAGCAACGACAATATAAAATGGAAAGGTATGGCGAAATCCAAATCATTCTAAGCTCCTTTATAATAAGGTAGGAATTAGAAGTGTACCTAGTATATACCCTCGACCAACGCTGAATGGATGAATATTAAAAGCAATATTTTTGTGAGCCATAATCAAAGCCAACAGCATTGCTTCTTTAATGAAAGAATACTCTTCCAGCATATAACAATATGTCTGATTTTGTTTTAAAAATACTTATTGGCCAGGCGAGGTGGCTCATGCCTCTAATCCAAGCACTTTGGGAGGCTGAGGCGGGTGGATCACCTGAGGTCTGGAGTTCGATACCAGCCTGGCCAACCTGCTGAAACCCCATCTCTACTAAAAATACAAAAATTAGCTGGGTGTGGTGGCGGGCACCTGTAATCCCAGCTACTCGGAGGCTGAGGCAGGAGAATCACTTGAACCCGGGAGGCGGAGGTTGCAGTGAACCAAGATTGCAGCATTGCACTCCAGCCTGGGCGACAGAGCAAGACTCTGTCTCCAAAAAAAAAAAAAAGAAAAATAATTATTATTAACATTTTTGTCATGAAATTTTGGCCATCAAATTTAAAAGTTAATATTATTGTGCAACACTTTCAGCCAATGGATTCTTTTTTTCGTTAACACTATTGAACAGTAGAGTGATTGATGCCTCATCCTTTTCACCTAACATTGAATCTCGTTTGTCTCTATTACTTCCTTTTAATCTATTATTTCTTTTTTAATCTAGAAGAAAAATGATTCATCGTGGATAAGAACTATAAAGCAATTGTTTTGTTTGTTTGTTTGTTTCTGGCTTTTTTTTTTTTTTGAGACAGAGTCTCGCTCTATCGCCCAAGCTGCTGTGCAATGGCGCAATCTTGGCTCACCACAACCTCTGCCTCCTGAGTTCGAGCCATTCTCCTGGCTCAGCCTCCCGAGTAGCTGGGATTGCAGGCGTGTATTTTGAGTAGAGACAGGGTTTCACCACGTTGGCCAGGCTGGTCTTGAACTCCTGACCTCGTGATCTACCTGCCTCAGCCTCCCAAAATGCTGGGATTACAGGTGTGAGCCACCAAGCCCGACTTAAAGCAACTGTTTGAAGGCACTGATAAGCTGTCAACCCAGGCAAGGCTTGACAAACTACAATCCTTGAGAGAAGGGAAGCACATTATATGAGTTTGCACATTTGAAAGTGCTTTCCTCCTGAAGGTGTGTCCCGTATTGCACCATTGTGGAATAGACCTCATGTGGAAAGAGGCAGTTGTGCTGGACTAAGGAGATACTGGTCAGAGTTTGGGGCTACCAACGTGCATAGAACTTGATGGTCAAAATTCAAGTGATGAGGGAACCACAGAGAAAGATCTCAAATTTGTATTATAAATTCTCCTTATATTACTGGCTAATTCCTAAGTTGTACCTACACAGGAAGATGTTCCAGTACAGGAAAGAGCAACTGGAAGGCTAATGATCTGTAGAGATCCAGTAGCTGCATGGTTCTAGGGAGACAGAGGTTGATGTTCATGCCTCTCCCAGTTGGAGCCCCATTGGTAAAATGGCTGTTGTTTTGAGACTTCAGAAATACTAACCCTTAGCACTAAGTGATAAACCTTTAAAGTAAGGACCACATAAAAGGAGTAAGGCTATGCCTTCACAGCAAGGAAAAACTAAACTAGACAAATTGTAACAAAGCTTCAGTCTTTGTTGTATCCGGGAAAAACTACCAGAAGACTCTGAATGTTTGGAAATAAAGCAGTTTGTGTCCTACACTCTACAGGTCAAAGAAGAAAACACAATATAAATTTTTAAATGTTTTAAGCTGAAAGATAATGAAAATAAGACGTATCATAATTTGTCTAATGCATCTAAAGCTGTTTATAGAGAACAATTTTTACTTTTAACTACATGTATTACAACAATAGAAAGATTGAAAATCCATGATCTAACTCAAGAGACTATAAAAAGCCAGCAATTTAAATGCAAAAAGTACAAGGAGCTATTAAAAATAAGTGCAGAAATCAATAAAATGGAAAGCAAACATACATCACAGAAAATCAACAAAGTAAAAGTTTGGTTCTTTGAAAAGATTGATAAAACGAATGTACCCTGAATAAGACTGATTTTAAAAAGAGGGTAAGATAACACATGAATACTAGCATTGGGAATGAAACAGATTATATGTATGTGTGTGTGTGTATGTGTATATATATATATATATATATATATATATACATGCACACATATATACACCCTAAAGATATTTTAAAAACAAGAAAGAGGTATTATAAATGTGTTTATGTCAATATATGTGAAACATTTGATGAAATAGATATATTCCTTGAAAAACACAATATGGCCGGGTGCAGTGGATCACGCCTGTAATCCTAGCACTTTGGGAGACCGAGGCAGGTGGATCACCTGAGGTCAGGAGTTTGAGACCAGCCTGGCCAACATGGTGAAACCCTTTCTCTACTAAAAATACAAAAATTAGCCAGGCGTGGTGGCACATGCCTGTGATCCCAGCTACTCTGGAGGCTGAGGCACAAGAATTGCTTGAACCCGGGAGGCGGAGGTTGCAGTGAGCCAAGATCGCGCCACTGCACTCAAGCCTGGGCCACAGAGTGAGACTCCGTCTCAAAAAAAAAAAAAAAAGAAAGAAAGAAAGAAAAAAAGACAAACAATATGCCACAACTGACACCAAAAGCAATAGGAAATCTTTATTGCCCTATACTTATTGGAAAAATTAAATCCATAATTTAAAGAGCCACTCATATACACTTCCAGGCGTAGGTAGATTCACTTGTGAATTCCCACATACAAGTAAGAGATAAATAATATCAGTCTTTCAGAAAGCTATTCAGAGAACTGAAAAAGAGAAAACATTGTTCAGCTAATTTAACTACACAGACATAATTCTGATACCAAAACCCAGAAAGAGAGTACAAGAACAGAATATTACAAGCCAATATTTCTTTTAAACATAGACTCAAAACTTTTTACCAAAATATTAGCAAAGTAAATAAAGCATATTATTTTAAAAGTCAAAACATTATATTCAAATCAGATTTACTCTAGAAATGGAAATTTGGTTTAACTTTTTTTTTTTTTAAATTTATTTTTTTATTGATAATTCTTGGGTGTTTCTCACAGAGGGGGATTTGGCAGGGTCATGGGACAATAGTGGAGGGAAGGTCAGCAGATAAACAAGTGAACAAAGGTCTCTGGTTTTCCTAGGCAGAGGACCCTGCGGCCTTCCGCAGTGTTTGTGTCCCTGATTACTTGAGATTAGGGATTGGTGATGACTCTTAACGAGCATGCTGCCTTCAAGCATCTGTTTAACAAAGCACATCTTGCACCGCCCTTAATCCATTTAATCCTGAGTGGACACAGCACATGTTTCAGAGAGCACAGGGTTGAGGGTAAGGTCACAGATCAACAAGATCCCAAGGCAGAGGAATTTTTCTTAGTGCAGAACAAAATGAAAAGTCTCCCATGTCTACTTCTTTCTACACAGACACGGCAACCATCCGATTTCTCAATCTTTTCCCCACCTTTCCCGCCTTTCTATTCCACAAAGCCGCCATTGTCATCCTGGCCCGTTCTCAATGAGCTGTTGGGCACACCTCCCAGACGGGGTGGTGGCCGGGCAGAGGGGCTACTCACTTCCCAGTAGGGGCGGCCGGGCAGAGGCGCCCCTCACCTCCCGGACGGGGCGGCTGGCCGGGCAGGGGGGCTGACCCCCCCCACCTCCCTCCCGGAGGGGGCGGCTGGCCGGGCGGGGGGCTGACCCCCCCCACCTCCCTCCCGGACGGGGCGGCTGGCCGGGCAGAGGGGCTCCTCACTTCCCAGTAGGGGCGGCCGGGCAGAGGTGCCCCTCACCTCCCGGACGGGGCGGCTGGCCGGGCAGGGGGACTGACCCCCGCCACCTCCCTCCCGGACGGGGCGGCTGGCTGGGCGGGGGGCTGACCCCCCCACCTCCCTCCCGGACGGGGCGGCTGGCCGGGCGGGGGCTGACACCCCCACCTCCCTCCCGGACGGGGCGGCTGGCCGGGCGGGGGGCCGACCCCCCCACCTCCCTCCCGGACGGGGCGGCTGGCCGGGCAGAGGGGCTCCTCACTTCCCAGTAGGAGCGGCCGGGCAGAGGCGCCCCTCACCTCCCAGACGGGGCGGCTGGCCGGGCGGAGGGCTGACCCCCCCACCTCCCTCCCGGACAGGGCGGCTGGCCGGGCGGAGGGCTGACCCCCCCACCTCCCTCCCGGACGGGGCGGCTGGCCGGGCAGAGGGGCTCCTCACTTCCCAGTAGGGGCGGCCGGGCAGAGGCGCCCCTCACCTCCCAGACGGGGCGGCTGGCTGGGCGGAGGGCTGACCCCCCCACCTCCCTCCCGGACGGGGCGGCTGGCCGGGTGGGGGGGCTGACCCCCCCATCTCCCTCCCAGACGGGGTGGCTGGCCGGGCTGAGGGGCTCCTCACTTCCCAGTAGGGGCGGCCGGGCCGAGGCGCCCCTCACCTCCCGGACGGGGCGGCTGGCCGGGCGGGGGGCTGACCCCCCACCTCCCTCCCGGATGGGGCGGCTGGACGGGCGGGGGGCTGACCCCCCCCCACCTCCCTCCCGGACGGGGTGGCTGCCGGGCGGAGACGCTCCTCACTTCCCAGATGGGGTGGCTGCCGGGCGGAGGGGCTCCTCACTTTTCAGACGGGGTGGTTGCCAGGCAGAGGGTCTCCTCACTTCTCAGACGGGGCGGCCGGGCAGAGACGCTCCTCACCTCCCAGACGGGGTCTCGGCCGGGCAGAGGCGCTCCTCACATCCCAGATGGGGCGGCGGGGCAGAGGCGCTCCCCACATCTCAGACGATGGGCGGCCGGGCAGAGACGCTCCTCACTTCCTAGATGTGATGGCGGCTGGGAAGAGGCGCTCCTCACTTCCTAGATGGGATGGCGGCCGGGCGGAGACGTTCCTCACTTTCCAGACTGGGCAGCCAGGCAGAGGGGCTCCTCACATCCCAGACGATGGGCGGCCAGGCAGAGACACTCCTCACTTCCCAGACGGGGTGGCGGCCGGGCAGAGGCTGCAATCTCGGCACTTTGGGAGGCCAAGGCAGGCGGCTGGGAGGTGTAGGTTGTAGTGAGCCGAGATCACGCCACTGCACTCCAGCCTGGGCACCATTGAGCACTGAGTGAACGAGACTCCGTCTGCAATCCCGGCACCTTGGGAGGCCGAGGTTGGCGGATCACTCGCGGTTAGGGGCTGGAGACCGGCCCGGCCAACACAGCGAAACCCCGTCTCCACCAAAACCAGTCAGGCGTGGCGGCGCGTGCCTGCAATTGCAGGCATTCGGCAGACTGAGGCAGGAGAATCAGGCAGGGAGGTTGCAGTGAGCCGAGATGGCAGCAGTACAGTCCAGCTTCGGCTCCGCATGAGAGGGAGACCGTGGGGTGAGGGAGAGGGAGAGGGAGAGGGAGAGGGGTTTAACTTTTTAAAATGTAATTTGCCACATTAATAGAATAAATATAAAAACCAAATTTTCATCTTAGTAGACATAGACTAAGCATTTGATAAAATTCAATAATTCATGATTAAAAACTCTCAAAATGAGAATAAAGGGGAATTTCTTTAGTCTAATAAATCTTAACTACAAAACACCTACGATGAACCTGAGTTTGGGAACATGACAAGAATGCCCACGATTATCACTTCTATTCAATACTATGGTGGCAATAGTAGCTACTGCAGTAAAATAAGAAAAATAAATGATTGATATTAATATTGGGAAATACAGCCTTCATTATTAGAACTTGATTATGAGTGTACAAAACTGAGAAGAATCTAAAAAATGATTGGAATTAGTAAGTAAATTTAGCATGGTACTGACTTCATGGTCAACATACAAAATATCAAATATGCTCACGTATACTAGCAACAAACAAATGAAAAATGAAATTTTAAAAAGTCAATTTTTGAGGATGAGTGCAGTGGCTCCCACCTGTAATCCCAGCACTTTGGGAGGCAGAGGCAGGAAAGTCTCTTGAGCCCAGGAGTTTGAGACTAGACAATATAGTGAGAGCCTATCTCTACAAAAACATTGTTTAAAAAAATTAGCCAGGCGTGGTGGTGCACATTTGTGGTCTCAGCTACTTGGGAGGCTGAGGTAAGAGGATCGCTTGAACCTGGAAGGTCAAGGGTGCAGTAAGCCATGACCATGCCACTACACTCCAGCGTGGGTGACAAAGTGAGATACTGTTTCACAAAACAACAACAAAAAGTTCCATTTACAACAGCATTAATAAATGTAAAAAAAATGTGCAAAAAAACTATAATAAAAACTAAAAAACATTACTGGGATAAATTAAAGAAGACTTAAATGAATGAAGTGATGTATCAGGTTTATAATTAGGAAGATTTAATATTGTTAGGATATTAATTTTTCCTAAATTGATCAATAGATTCAATGAAATCCCAATCAAAATACCAGCATGTATTTTTGTGGAAATTAAGTATATTTTTGTAAATGCAAAGGAATTTGAAAAATCATGTCAATATTGTAGAAGATTAACTAAGCTTGAAAACTTATGCTGCCAATTTACAAAATACGTAGGTCAATTCAGTCAAGTAAGAATGATCTTTTTAATCACATAGAGTAAAAATAAACCTTGACCCCTATGTCACATTATAAACAAAATTATTTTATTATATAATAGACATCAATGTGATAGAAAAAAAGATAAAATTTCTAGAAGAAAACACAGTAGAACATCTTCATGATCTTGGGCTAGGCAAAGATTTCTCAAACAGTACATTAGGAACATAAATCATAAAATAAGATGCATTGGGCTTATTTTAAATAAGGGATTTATTGGCTGCAAAAGACAGCATTAAAAGAGTGAAAACACAGCCAAGGAATGGAAATGGCATTTACAATATCTATATTTATATCTATATCTATATCTGAAGCCATCAAATAATTAATATCTAGATTAATATCCTGTATAGCCTAGGCTGGTCTCTAACTTCTGGGCTCACAAGATCCACCCGCCTCAGCCTCCCGAAGTGCTGGGATTACAGGCAGGAACCACTGCACCAGGCCCAATCTGTTTTGTTTGTTTTTGAGATAGAGTCCCACCCTGTCGCTAAAGCTGGAGTGCAATGGTGTGATCTTGGCTCACTGAAACCTCTGCCTCTTGGATTCAAACAATTCTCCTCCCTCAGCCTCCCCAGTAGCTGGGATTACAGGTGCCCACCACCACGCCCAGCTAATTTTTGTATTTTTAGTATACAGACAGGGTTTCACCATGTTGGCCAGGCTGGTCTCGAACTCCTGACCTCGTGATCTGCCCACCTCGGCCTCCCAAAGTGTTGGAATTATAGGCGTGAGCCACCGTGCCCGGCCCAATCTATTTTTTAATTGAAATATTTAGTCTGTGTATATTCAAAACATATTTAGTTGAGTTTAAGTGTACCATCTTGCTATCCTTTTAATTTCAGCAATATGTTCTTCTCTGATTCTCTCTTGCCTCTTTTTAGGTTGAGAAATATTTATATTATTCTTGTTCTCCTGAATTAATTTTTATTTATACATAAAATGTTTAACGTAGCCATAAGCACATCATTTTAAGATTTGCCCCTAGGCAGTTGACAATTTTTATGATATTGAAACTGGAACTTTTAATTTTAATTTACTTATTTTTGTTTTATTTTATTTTATTTTGTGTTTTTAGTTTTTTTCAGACAGGTTCTCACTTTGTCGCCCAGGCTGGAGCACAGTGGCACAATTTCGGCTCACTGCACCCTCCCACTCCCAGGTTCAACAGATCCTCCTGCCTCAGCCTCCTGAGTAGGTGGGACTACAGGTGTGTGCCACCATACCCAGCTAATTTTCTTTTCTTTTCTTTTCTTTCTTTTTTTTTTTTCTTTTTTTTTGAGATGGAATCTCGCTCTGTTGCCCAGGCTGGAGTGCAGTGCCACGATCTTGGCTCACTGCAACCTCTGCCTCCCAGGTTCAAGCAATTCTCCTGCCTCAGCCTCCCGAGTAACTGGGATTACAGGCATATACCACCACGCCCAGCTAAGTTTTGTATTTTTAGTAGAGACAGGGTTTCACAATGTTAGCCAGGCTGGTCTCGAACTCCTGACCTCAAATGATCTCCCCGCCTCAGCTTCCCAAAGTGCTGGGATTAAAGGCATGTGCCACTGTGCCCAGCCTAAGCATTTATTCCAATCACTGTATGCAACTCTTTCACTTTTTTTTTTTTTTTTTTTTTTGAGTCTCCCTCTGTTGACAGGCTAGAGTGCAGTGGTGTGATCTTGGCTCACTGCAACCTCTGCCTCCCGGGTTCAAGCTGTTCTCCTGCCTCAGCCTCCCGAGTAGCTGGGACTACAGGCGCACACCACCAGGCCCAGCTAATATTTTGTATTTTTAGTAGAGATGGGGTTTCACCATGTTGACCAGGCTGGTCTCGAACACCTGACCTCAGGTGATCTGCCCACCTTGGCCTCCAAAATGCTGAGATTACAGGCATGTGCCACCGCGCCCAGCCAAACTTTTAATTTTTAATTTTCACTTGTTTGTTTTTAATATACAAATACATTTGAATTTTTGTATCTTGATCATGAAACCAGCTACCATGCCAATTCTTTTATTAATTCCAACTTTCAGATTTTTCGTTTTACTTTAGCCTCGAGAAAACCCTTTGTTGGCTGGGCGTGGTAGATCACACCTGTAATCCCAGCACCTTGGGAGGCTGAGGCGGGCGGATCATCTGAGGTCAGGAGTTCGAGACCAGCCTGGACAACATAGTGAAACCCTGTCTCTACTAAACATACAAAAGTTAGCTGGGCATGGTGGCGGGCCCCTGTAATCCCAGCTATTCAGGGGGGTGAGGCAGGAGAATCACTTGAACCCGGGAGACAGAGGCTGCAGTGAGCCGAGATCATGCCACTGCACTCCAGCCTGGGTGACAGAGCAAGACCCTGTCTCAAAAAAAAAACAAAAACAAAAAACAAACAAAACCTTTATTATGTCTTGTAATACACATCTGTTAATGAGATATTGCCTCAACTTTTGTTTGACTTAAATTATCTTTATTTTTCACCAGTCAGATCAGATTAGGGCCCACCTTAATGGTCTCATTTAAACTCAATCACTTCTTTAAAGGTTCCATCTCCACATACGGTCATATTCTGAGGTACTGGGGGTTAGGACTTCAACAGGTAAATTTTGAGGGGACACAATTCAGCCTATAACACCTTCAGACAAAGCAGGCAAACACTATGCAAAAATGGCTTCATTGCTGAAATCTTAAAACGTTAAGGAAGATCTAATATACACATACTCTTTCGGAAAATAGAAAAAATGAAAACTCTTCACAATTCTTTTTATAGGGCCAGCATAATCTTCATACTAAAACCTGACAAGGAATTACTAAAGAAGAAATTACAAGTCAATCTTTGTGTTAAACATTCTAGATATAAAACCACTAAAGACTGTAAGAGCAATCAGACCCAGTAATATGCAGAAAGAACAGTCAAATGTTAAGCTGTAATGTGTGTTTCAGTAACACAAATTTTTTAATATAAAAAATCAATCACTTTAAATTTACCACAAAGTATAAGAGAAAAAACCAAATAATCATATCAGTAGATGCAGTAAAAGTATTTGACAAAATTCAACACCACGTTGGTTAAAAAAAAAAAAGCAATCTATGTATAGAAAGGAAATTTCTTAATCCCAGAATGCATATATACAAAATCCTACATTTAATATCCTAATTATAGTAAATATTTAACACTTTCTCCCAGATATTGGGACCAAGACAAGCATGACCACTATCACCACTGCTATTCAACATTGTATTGGGCATCTTAGGCCATTACATAAGACAAAATATTAAAAGATATTAAAATTGAAATGAAGAAATAGGACTGCCATCATTGGCAGATAATGTATTTATGTATTTGAAAAATCTCTAAAATCTACAAATCATTAGAATCATTAAGTGAAAATAAGTTTGCTGGGTACAAAAACCAATATTCAAATATATGTTGTATTCATATATACTTTGAAAAAATAGACAATACATTTTAAAACTGTGATTTACAATATCAAGAACACTATCAATAACCTAATAATAAATACAATAATAAATGTAATAAAAATATGTGAGTGGTACATTAATAGCTACAAATCACTGTGCACAGAAGTTTTTAAATATCAAAATAAGTGAAGGGATATAACGTATTCATTGATTGAAAGGCTCAGATTCAATGTAATTGAAATAAAATATTGAAACAGGACTTTTGGTAGAATTGACAAGTTGTTTCTACAACACATGTGCAACTGGAAAGGACCTAGAATCACCAAGGAAATCTTTCAGAAGAAGAGCAAATCTGAAGGACTTTCACTACCACATAATGAGATTTATTTTATTCTGAAGATACACTGATTAAGAAAGAGTGTTACTGACATAAAGATAGAGACCAATGAAACAAAATGGATCTACCTATGTAAAACCACATACAATGCAATTCAATCAGGGAAAGAGAGATTTTTCCAAAGGTGGTGCTGAATCAACAGGATATACAAAGGAAGACAATGTGGGCACTGACGTCTTCCTTAAATTATTCCCTAAAAAAATTCAAGATAGATTAAAAATCCAAATGTCCAAGTTAAAACAATAAAAGTTATAAAGGAAAACAATGAACTATCTTCATGAACTTTGGGTTGGCAAATACTTCCTGTTTAATAAGCACAAAAAGCAATAACTATAAAAGAAACAGATTGATAAACTGACTTTCTTTTAGACTTCAGAACTTCAGTCATCCAAAGACACCATCAACAATGTAAAAAGGCAAAGCACAGAATAGAAGAAGATATTTGTAATACATATTTATGACAAAGGATTCATGTCTAGTGTGATGGTTAATACTGAGTGTCGATTTGATTGGATTGAAGGATGCAATATTGATCCTGGGTGTGTCTGTCAGGGTGTTGCCAAAGGAGATTAACATTTGAGTCACTGGGCTGGGGAAGGCAGACCCACCGTTAATTGGGTGGGCACCATCTAATTATCCACCAGCGAATATAAAGCAGGCAGAAAAACTTGAAGGGACGAGATGGGCCTAGCCCATCAGCCCACATCTTTCTCCCATGCTGGATGCTTCCTGCCCTGGAACATGTGAAAATGGACTAATACACCAGTCTGTTACACTGGGTCCTCTTTCAAGGACAGTGAAAGTTCCTCCTCAGTGCAATACTGACATTACTTTTAATCCTCTGGGAAGGCCCTCTATTTTGGCAAAACATTTCAGCTTCAACATCTGTACAGGGTATAGTAGATTGGTAGTAACCATCTCCATCTCCTTCAAGTGAGCCTTCCTAGACCAGAGGCTAGAGAGAACAACATTTCTCCAACTCTTGCAGTTAGGGTTCTGGGTGTGATTTAAGCTTTGCCTCAGGATTTTCAAATATGGAAATAAGGAGCCTTCTGTTTCTGTTTTTTTATGTTCACAAGCATTGTCATGGACTCGAGGTTTTCTGCAGAGGAACACAACATAAGGAGCATCAGTTTGCTCATTCACATCTGGGAGGCATGCTGTGCTCTGCAAAATGTGATTCTCAAAGTATGGTTCCCAGACCAGCAGCAACAGAATTTGGCAACTTGTTTAGAAATGTAAATTGCTTTCTGACTGCTCTGTGTTTTCTTTGAGCCTGTATTTGTCTATTTGGCATCCATTGATCCATTTGGCATCGTTGATCAGAGGGGCCAAACTATAGCCAAAGTTATTTACTTCTCCTGCTATCCAGAGCCCATACTTTGAATGACCTCCTTTATCTAACTCACACACTAAGCCAATATTTCCCCTGGGGTAAGTCAACTAAGGGCCAAATATCAGACAACCAGGGACAGCCTCTATATCCAAAGCCTGCCAGAATTATTCAAACTAGCCAATTCTAAACTGTTTACCCTGATCTGCCCTGCCTTTCCCATGGAAACCCCAACAAAGACTTTAATTTATGCCTTCCTTTTCACTCCTTTCTGCCTCCTGGGTGACACTGGTACTTCCCAGTGTGGCCCTGCATGGTGTGCTGCACTTCTCGTTTCTAGGGAAACTGTGAATAACATTATAATTTTCTTTCAATGGCATTGACCTCTCTGTCTTCACTCCATCATCTTTATAAATTAAGACCTGGGCACAAATCACTGACAGACTTACCTGAAATGAACAATTCTAGTGAAAGCATCTTGAGTTCCTACTTTCTTGATTGTGGGAACAACAACAGCCTCGATGGAGACTATTTCTTCGAGGTTATTTTGGGAACAATTCCTGCAGAATCAAATTAGAACTGATACCTTCCTCCATCCCTCTCTTCTAAAAATTTTGTAAGCCTCTATATTCTTTATTAATCCCGTTTTATTTAAAATAGTTTGAGAGGTTTTGATTCTTAGGTACAGTTTTTTTATTATTTAGTTTGGCCGGGCACAGTGGCTCATGCATATAATCTCAGCACTTTGGGAGGCTGAGGCAGGTGGATCACCTGAGGTCAGGAATTCAAGGCCAGCCTGGCCAACATGGCGAAACCTCATCTCTACTAAAAATACAAAAATTAGCTGGGCGTGGTGGCGTGTGCCTGTAATCCCAGTTACTCATAGGGCTGAGGCAGAAGAATCCTTTGAACCTAGGAGGCGGAGATTGTGCCACTGCACTCCAGCCTGGGCAACAGAGTGAGACCCCATCTCAAAAATAAAATAAATAAATCAATTAATTTAATTAATTAATTTTTTTTTTTTGGTAGAGATAAGGGTCTTGCTTCGTTGCCCAGGCTGTTGCCCAGGTTGGTCTTGGATGCCTGGCCTCAAGTGATCCTCCCACCTCGGCCTCCCAAAGTGCTGCATTTACATATGTGAGCCACCACACCTTGCCTAAGTACATTTTTAATTGACATATAACACAATATTGATACAGAAAGGTATCTGTATCATAATTATACAGCTCAAGAAATTTCACAAAGTGAACACACCTATGAACCCAGAACTCAGACTGAGAAATAGAACCATCCCCACGATCTCCAACAAGTCTCTTCATGGCCTTTCTCAGTGTAATTACCTTCAACAATCACCTTCCTGATTTCTAACACCACAGATTTGTTTAGTTTGTTTTGAGCTACAGTACATATAAACAAAAGCATGTATGCCTTTGTGTATGGCATCACTTCAATATTATGTTTGTGAGATTCTTCCAATTTGTGTGTAATTGAAAATTCTTTGTTCTTATTGCTCTACTGTTCCTTTGTATGAAAAACAACTATCTTTTCTATTGTTGATGGACTTTGGACTGTTTTCAGTTTGGGACTAAAATGTCTAGAATAGTTTTGTTTCCTACAAGTGAACCCTGATTCATTTGTTTTACCTGAATCTATTCTGCCATGCTTTGGTCCACACATATGAATGAGGAGAAAAAAAAAAAAAACGATTGAAGCTATCACAAGTCTCTGTTCATTTTATTCTAAGCAAAACAAGAATTGATTCAATAAATTCAGTTCATATTAATATTAATCAAAGCAAGTTTCCTTTTTTAATGATTTTTTTAAGCATGAAAAGTCTGTTATTTCTTCAGTATTTAACTCCCTTCAAACTAGAGTTCTGAAGGAATCTAATTAAAATGTTATATGCTTGTTAAAATGTGTAGACCAAATAAAAGGCATATGATATGACTATGGAAACACCTTCTATCACAACTTATATTTTCCTTTAAATTTGTATTTAGTCATTTCATAACTTGACACGATTTTTAAAGGAGGTTTATGTGACTGATACTCATTTTAACAAGAAAGTTTAAATAACAGACTCCTCAGTTAAATACGGAATCTGGTTCTCTTACTCCAAACTCAGCTTAATACTCCCCTCAGAGCAGACTCCCTTTCGTTAAACCATGGGATTTCTTATAGTTGGTTTTATTAATATTTCCATAGCAAAGCAATATTTCTTCACTCCCCCTTACCCTGCCTTCACTCTTCTCTTCACCCCTCTCCTCTCCTCCGTTCAGATGTCACAATAGACCCCTCTGTCATCGTTCTCTTCTCCTCCTCTGCCCACTCTCCCTTTTCTCCTCTTCCTCTACCTCTCTTTCTTCTTTAGAAAATTAGATTAAGATTCTCTAAGCAGGGTAGACAAAATCACTCTCAGGTCTTAGGAAAACACTGTTATTGAGATATTAAGGTCAAAATGTAAGAGGGAGAAAAAGAAAACTTGCTAAGTTGACTAAATTTAGAGCAACGCGGGAAGCCCTTGTGTCGGCCAAAACTCAAACCAGATTCTGAGCCTAAAAGACTTAATGTCACAACGAAGGGACACAGAGGAGACTTTTCCACATAATTTTTCGCTCCCTCCACCTAAGACACAAATCAGCGGAAGCGATTCCGTGCCTGGAATCCCCTACGAACACCGTCGTTCACCGAGGAGCTTTGGGCTCCTGGAAGTCCGAACACCCCGGATCAGAGGAGAGTTGGCCATGACTCCCCGTCGGTACCGGCTGGGTTTGGTGCCAGCTATGGCGAGTACAGAAGCCTGGCCGGTCCCGGGGCAGGCAGGCGCTCGCTGGATGTTATTCGACTGACTGGATATTTGCTGGAAACGTTAATGCTTGTGCGATGAGGACTCTCTCTAATTGCAGGGCGCTCAATTACCAAGGATAGCCTGACTTCCTTTCCTAGAATTCTCATTTCACCTTAGCATTTCCAAAAAAACTCACCAAAGACAGAAGTTTGCACACGTCACCTGACACGTCATTTCACCAATCTATCAAAGGGTGAAGTTCCACAGCTGTAGTCGTGGCCGAGTGGTTAAGGCGATGGACTAGAAATCCATTGGGGTCTCCCCGCGCAGGTTCGAATCCTGCCGACTACGGGGTGGTTTTTGCTCCCAGTGAGCTAACTTAACCCATCTGTTTGGCAGTGTGAAATTACCTAACAAGGAAATCCTTACCACCCATTTCTTACCACAAGGGTGCAAACTTCTTGACTTGACTTGTCCAGATGCCTCGCTCATTCAAACCTCTACTGCCACTGGGTTCCCAGCGTGCCAGTGATCCCAACATTACTTCTTATTTGCCTAAAAATAAGCAATATTCTCTATGAGCAAAACGCAGGTTTTGGCGATGCTGCCTCATTTCCTGTCTTCGAACCCCCTGCCTCGAATTTCCCTCACGGAATTGCGCCCGGGAAGAAAACGAATGTTTATATTCATAAGGTGTCTCTCATCTTTGTGTTCACAAATATGTCTCACTTGGAGAAGTAGGGCTGGGCGCGGTGGCTTACGCCTCTAATCCCAGCACTTTGGGATGTCGAGGTGGGCGGATCGCTTGAGGCCAGTTCAAGACCAGCCTGGCCAACATGGCGAAACCCGTCTCCACTAAAAATACAAAACTTAGCCAGGCGTGGTGGCGCGCGCCTGTAATCCCAGCTACTCGGGAGGCTGAGGCAGGAGAATCGCTTGAACCCGGGAGGTGGAGGTTACAGTGAGCCAAGATTGCACCACTGCACTCCAGCCTGGGCAACATAGCGAGACTCTGTCTCAAAAAAAAAAAAAAAAAAAAAAAAAAAAAAAAAAAAAAGGTAGGTCAGCCCCCTCAATCCCTCAATTTGAATTTGTCTGCTATTTCCTCCGAGTTATATTCAGATTATTTTGGCAGCAATACCACAGAAGTGAAGCAAGGTCCTTTACCATTCTTCAAATCCAGTGGCACATGATGTTAATTCGTACTGATACTCGTATGTTAACTGTGATGAATTAAGATGATGTCTATTAAGTTTCTCCACTGTCAACTTACCTTTTGTATTACTCATTACGTGATTTATGCAGCTTACTTATTTTGCATTATATTTGGTTATTTTGAAAAGTATAAGTTAAAGGAAGAAGAAATTGAAGAAGTGCGTTGAATTCTGAATGTTAAATCAGCTTTTCTGTGAAGCCACCGTTGAAGTCTGTAATCAAGGAATACCCTTCTTGCATATAAAATAAATCTGAAATGTTAATCAACATTTTAATTTAATTTTTAATTATTACCATTATGTTATTTAAATGTTAGTGTTTAAAATGTAAAATATTGATATTGATATTATTGTGCAGCAGAGTTATGCACAATTATTTCTTCAGTCACTCTACCTCACATTTGAAATAATACATAGATGCTCACTTTCAGCTATAATTGAACATCATTTGTCTGTTTCTTCTTTTCTTTACTGACCATATCCAAAATGTGTATATGCATAAGTGGAAATTAAAATTAAAATATTCCATTCCCAATAGCAGCAAAAAATTTAAAGTTTGACAATAAATCTAACGGCCAGGCATAGTGGCTCACATCTGTAATCCCAGCACTTTGGGAGGCCGAGGGGTCGGATCACGAGGTCAGGAGTTCAAGACCAGTCTGACCAACATGGTGAATGAAATCCCGTCTCTACTAAAAATACAAAAATTAACCGGGTGTGATGGCATGCACCTGTAGTCCCAGCTACTCGGGAGGCTGAGGCAGGAGAATCACTTCAACCCAGGAGGTGGAGGTTGCAGTGAGCGGAGATCATGCCATTGCACTCCAGCCTGGGCGACAGGGCGAGACTCTGTCTCAAAAAATAATAATAATACAATAAAATAAAAATAAATCTAGCAAGATATGCAAGAAATCTACACTTAAAACTATAAAACGTTGCTGGTGGAAATTAAATGGAGGAAGTGGAGGAAAAATAACAAGTATGTCTTGTTAGACTCAATTTCATCAAGATGAAAACTATTTCCAAATTAATCAATAAGTTCAATGAATCCTAGTCAAGTTCTGAGCCTGTATTTTTTAAAGTTTAACTAGCAGTTTCAAAAATATATTTTAAAGGTAAAGCAAGTTTAGAAAAAAAGAAAATCTCTAGTTTACAGATTCAAAGAAAAGAAAAAATAGAAAAAAAACAAGAAAAGATTAAAGAAGATAGCAAAGTTGGAGGACTTATACAACATGTATATCATGACTTATTGCAAACCTACAATTAAGTGTTATTAATTATGTATGTAAATATTAACACATTTTTTAAATTTAAATTTTATTTTTAATTGATACCAAACATTATCTTCACTGCTATGGTATCAACTTGGCCAGGCTGAACTACATTCCCCAGAATTTCTTTTTCTGTGTGTCTCTGGTTAGGATGGTCCCCAAGAGATATTCTTGCAGAAGATTTGAGAAAGAAAGCTAAGTAGCAGTCATTTTGTAGCTCATGCTAACTCACCTGCTGACTTATCTTGTCACATGGCAGTATTTGTGCCTGCAACTACCCCACCTTCCTGTGGGTTCTCCTTCAACCTCTGTAATTTTTGAGCCAAATGTCTGTGTTTAGCTTCAAGCAAAGGACCCTGTCTTCTGTAGAATACTACAACACCAAGGAGAGGCAACAAGAGCTGACACAGATTTCAGTTCATCCTGTGGGGATCCAGTTCATGCTTGTGGGTTCCAGCTTGTTCTAATATTCCCCACTTTACCTCTTTCTTCCTTTCTTGATAACCTGCCCCACAGTCTTTATAACGCTGAAGCTTGAAGTGCATCCCAGTGGTTCTGCTTCTTTTATTGAATCTTGACTGCTACATATCAATGACTCAACTAAATGATCAAAAACTTGAATAAACATTTTATAAAAGAAGATATCCATGTAACTAATAACCAATTATTTTTCATGGACCTGTTGCAATTGTTGACTCTCACAATGTTAATTATGAATAAAATTAGGTGCAGTAAAGTGTATAGTCAAGAAAAGGATCATGGAGGAAGAGGATCAGTAAACACAACTCAAAGGAAAGGATGATATCCCACCAGGATTAAAGTGAAATTGGTCATTTTAAGACCAGTGCCAAAAGGACTCCTGTTTCTTCCCCATGGTAAAGTAATAGAAACCAGACTTACCCTACCACCTTAAACAACTGGAAAACTGTACAAAGTATATATAACAATTTTCTTCAGATAGACAATAGGCAGTGACTAATTTTGATACCTGGGAAAAGGGAAAAAATGAGAAAGAAATTGCCCTATTTACTGCCTATAATCAGATTAAGAGGAACATTTAATAATGATAAAGAGGTCAATGCACCAAGAAGCCGCCACAACAACCCTACATGTATGCACCTACAAATAGTGCTTCAAAATATGTGTAGCAAAACCTACTAAACTGCAAGGAGAAATAGAAAAATTACTCAAATATAGTTGGAAATTATATTTTTTATTATTTATTTATTTATTTATTTATTTTTTGAGACAGTCTTGCTCTGTACCCTGGCTGGAGCACAGTGGTGCCATCTCGGCTCACTGCAACCTCCGCCTCCCGGGTTCAAGTGATTCTCCTGCCTCAGCCTCCTGAGTAGCTGGGATTACAGGTGCCCACCACCACACCCAGCTAATTTTTGTATTTTTAGTAGAGACGGGATTTCACTATGTTGGTCAGGCTGGTCTCAAATTCCTGACCTCAGGTGATCCACCCCCCTTGGCCTCCCAAAGTGCTGGGATTACAGGCGTGAGCCACTGAGCCAGGCTAATAGTTGGAAATTTTAACACTTCTTTCTCAGTAATTGATAGAACAAGTAGTCTGAAAATTCAGTACGAATACAGAAGATTTGAACCACATTACCACAAATTTGACCTCATTAACATTTATATAACGCTTTTCTCAGCAATAACAGAAAACTTTCTTTTCAAGCGCTCATAGAATACTTACCAAGACAGACCTTATTTTGGACTAAAAAATAAGTCACAGTAAGCTTAAAAGGACTGAAATTACAGAAAGTATATTTTGTGACCACAACAGAATTAAACCAGAAATCAATTAACAGAAATTAAACAAAATAATCTAAAACCAAATAATATATCACAAGGGAAATTTAAATTATTTTGAACTAAATAAAAATGGTAACAAAATATAACAAAATGCAGCTAAAGCTTTTCATAGGAAAAAAGCTTTTATAGAAAAAAGAAAAAAAGCTTATTATGAAAAAAGTGGTCAGGTGCTGTGGCTCATGCTTGTAATCCCAGCACTTTGAGGGGCTGAGGCAGGAGGAGTGCTTGAGCCCAGGGATTTGAGACCAGCCTGGGCAGCATGGTGAGACCCCATCTCTACCAGAAGAACAGGAAAACAGGAAAGAAAGAAAGAAAGAGAGAGAGAGAGAGAAAGAAAGAAAGAAAGAGAAAGAAAGAGAAAGAAGGAAAGGAAGGAAGGAAGGGAAGGAAGGAGAGAGAAGGAAGGAAGGAAAGAAAGGAAGAAAAGAAAAGAGAAGGAGGGAAGGAGGGATGGAAAGAAGGGAGGGAGGGAGAGAGAGAGAAAGAAAGGTCGGAGGGAGGGAAGGAAGGGAGGGAGAGAGAGAAAGAAAGGTCAGAGGGAGGGAAGGAAGGGAGGGAGGGAGAGAGAGAGAGAAAGAGAGAGAGAAAGGGAGAGAGGAAGGAAGGAAGAGAGGGAGGGAGGGACAAGCCAGGTTGGTGGCTGGCGGGTGACTGCAGTCCCAGCTACTCAGGAGGCTGAGGTGGGAAGAATGCTTGAGCTGGAGAAGTGGAGGCTGCAGCAAGCAGAAATCGTGCCACTACACCCCAGCTGCTCCCCAGCCTGGGTGACAGAGCCAGACCCTTAAAAAAAAAAAAAGTGTCAATCAATCATCTATAGTTTCACCTTAACAAACGAGAAAAATAAGAGTAAATTAAATTCAAAGTAAGTGGAAGAGAACAAATATTAAAGAGCAAAAGAGAATGAAATAGAAAAACAATAGAGAAGATCAATGAAATCTAAAAACCAGTGCTTTGAAAAGATGAATAATATTGATAAATCTCCAGTCGGACTGCTCAGAAAATAAATGTAGCAGGAAAGAAACAGGGGACATTTACCTAGATTATACAAAAAATAAAAGAATATTTTGGATAATATGCCAATTAATTTGACAAATTAGATGAAATATATCAATTTCTCAAAAGGTAGAAACTACTAAAACCCACTCAAGAAATAATCTGAATTGTAATATAACTGTTAAAAATATAATTTATAATTAAAAACCTCTCTAAAAGAAAAATCCAGGCCTAGATGGCTTCATTGGTGGAGTCTACCAAACCTTTAAAGAGGAAATAATATCATGTGTACATAAACTTTTCCAGAAACTGGAAAAGTAGAGAACACTTTCCTACTCATTTTATGAATTGAATATTAGTTGATATCAAAACTTGGGAGGGATGAAGGGAAACAAAGAATATAAATGTATTTATTTCTACTGAACTGTACACTTAAAAATGGTAAAGATGGTAAATTAAACATATATATTTTACCTCAATAAAATAAGCTACCATAAAAAATAAAAAATGAAATAGCCCTACCTCAGCAAAAACAAAGTGAACAAACACCAGATCACAGTTTGAGAAAAAAAAAAATTACAAACCAATGTTCCTCATGAAAATAGGTGTAAATATTCTTAACAAATGTTAGCGAATTGAATCAGCAATTTTTAAAAAGGGTGATATGCTGCGACCAAGTGGGATTTATCCTTTGAATGCTGAGAGGACTGTGCCTTTCTTTTCTTAAAGGTGTCATTTTCCATCTCTATAAGGAAAGAGTAATTGATACAGAGTAAGATGCTTTGATTTCAATACTCAGTAGCCCTGTGAATGTACAAAGTTCTCTTATCCGGACATTTTTCTTATTGTAAAAGTGGGTGGCAGCACCTCATGGAACTGTTCTGAGAGTTACATGAGATCCTGAATGTGAAGGCATTTTCTAAAATGTGAAATTTAGAATAGTTAGATAGTAGCATTATTTTTACTGGTTCAATATCAATGCCATACCACTCCTTATTTCTTCAAACAGATAACAAGGTATTACAATCATCTTGTAGTCTTAAGGAAGAGTGGGAACACTTCAAGTAAAAATACAAATAAATACATATACTTTGCTTGAAAATTTGAAAGAGAGAAGAGCTAAAAGAAGAAAACGATGAGGAGCTATGATTCAACACCTCAGATAAATTAGTATTAACTTTTTTGTTTTTACACAACCAGTTTTTAAATGCGTAAGTATGCAATGGCATATTTTAGCCTGTTTTTCCATTTTTAATTTTCCAATTATATAATTAATGCAGTCTGTTTTTCCATTTTTAATTTTCCAATTATATAAATAATGCAGATTGTTTTTATGACAAATGTAAAGAATACAAAAGTAATCGAAATTGATATTTTAATCTCTCACTTACATTCCATTTTGCTCTTTTGTTAGATTGGTGAGCGTCCCTTCGGATGTTTTTAATGGACTTTAATTTGGGGGTTCATTCGATATAAATAGAACTATTTATGTTCGCTATTTTGTGGATTAAAGTTTACACACATTTCCAAGTAAAACGATAAGAATCTAATTCTTTAACAGCTGCATAGTACCCTGTGATAGGAATGCATCACACCATTCCCTTACTAGTTAGCATATTTACATGCTATATACAAACAATGCCACAGTGGACATCCTTGCATCGTAACTATGTAAATCATGTAAATCACCAGCTGTTTCTGCCCATTTTCCACTTTGATCAAAGTGCTGATTTCCCACAAGTTATGCAATCTTCCAAAGTGTCCAGGGCTATCGGAAGACAGGCTGTTCAAAGGCAATAGATAAGTGGGGGCCGTAAGTTAGGGTCTCAGTCCACTTGTTAATTAGCAAAGTTTAGTTCCAGTTGCAGAGACTCCACTGCCAGAGCTCAGACCACAGCCTACTTCCGGGCGCCGACGGGAGCTCGCTCACTGTTTACTAACGTGAAGTTTGTATTCTTTGTTTGGAACGCTGATGATGCTCATCCTCACGCGGGAGTACTCTCATTCCAGTGCTCTTGTCCAGGTGGCACAGGAGGTTGGCTTTTTTTGCTTTTTTTTTTTTAACCAAACTCTCGTTGTACCTGAAAGTTTGCGTTCAACTCACAAAGCCCATTTTCTTGTACCTAGATAGTAATTATCCTGATTTGCATTTTCTCATGTCTATACCGTGAAAAAAAACGTTGTGATTCTGTGTAGTCGTGGCCGAGTGGTTAAGGCGATGGACTAGAAATCCATTGGGGTCTCCCCGCGCAGGTTCGAATCCTGCCGACTACGAGTTCGAGGTTTTAGATAATTAACAACAGAAAATTTAGAAGAAAGAAATTTAAGCCAACTCACGTGTTGCGAACTGAATTTGTTTGGTACTTCCCCGATCCTGAAACCCCACAACAATGGAGGGTGGAAGTTACTGAATACCTACTATTTTCATAAGATTATGGGTACCTTAATTAGCAGATACCTAGTCATTTTCCCGTTAGCGGTACCTTTGTACGGTTCTTGGGGACGCCTCTCGTTTCCCTGCCTTCCAAACCCTCCTGAAGCCTATACCTGTTACAAGTCTTGATAGTGCTTTCCTCTTCATGGAAATTTAGTCCTAGTCAGAGGTCCAAGTCTTTGGTCAATTATCAGTTTCTGTGGAATCAATGGTTCAACTGCTTTGGTCACCCGGTCTCGCTGGTTGCAAATGACTAGAAACACTGTCAGAGATCTCGACACCACCACAATCGAAAGACCAGGCTGTCCTGACAGACCCCGTCGTTTTGGCTTAGGCGGCAGATTAAAGTGTAAATTCGCCAAGTATAATCAATTTAGTAGAATACAAACTTACAGACTTAAAAAAGTGGGCAAGAATACTTAAGTTTATTAGAGGTAGTCAAAACTCGCTGACGCAGAGTTCTTCCTCGTTAGTATAGTGGTGAGTATCCCCGCCTGTCACGCGGGAGACCGGGGTTCGATTCCCCGACGGGGAGAAAAGTTGCTTTTTGCATCTTCTGCCCACTGATGGCCCCTACCTGGCTCTGAGAGCAGAGCTGCGGTGGGACCCCTCTGCCATTCCTCCTTAACTGCCAATGGACCCTCTCGACTTTCCTCACTCCTAAGACCGCTGCTCTGATCAGAGAAACATTCCAGTCAATTCTGAAACCTCAAAGTCACAGTTACTTTAAGGCCCATAGGAGAATCTAGGTTTAAATGACACAAAATGTACTCATTAAAAGTTAACGAGAATACAGTTGTCTAGCATCTGCCTCTTATTTGCATGGTCAGAAAGCTCATGTAAATGTTCAAGTCCTCCATCCTTCTAGACATCAAATCTTGGAATGAAGATATCGACAAGGCCCAGCTGGGGGCTCGTGTATGCCCCAGCTGCAATGGCTGACCTGGGCAACTCCAAACTATAGAATCCACAAGATGTCGATCAAATGTATGAGGGAAGATGACAAAGTGGCCACAGACTTTTGAGGAGATTCCCAAGTTTCAGGAGCACATGAGGAATGTCAACACTGCTGCTTTCAACAATATCTGAAGCTTCAGGCAATGTGTTAGTGAATGTATGTCAGATTTAAAATAAAAATTGAGCTACCTGAAATGGGGGGGGGGTTACTTAAAAAGCCATAGCAATCAGGACAATGTGATACTTGCTCAGGGGGTGTAAATTGGCTCAATCACTTGCGAGAATGACTTAGCATTATATATTAAATCTTGAATGTATACATGTACTGTGACTCTGTAATTCCACCCATAAGTATATCTCTCCAACAAAAATATTTATTTATATTCACTGAAATACATGTACAAGAATATTCATGGCAGCACTAGTTATAATAGCCAAACTGGAAACAATACAAATGCCTCTGTGGAGGAATTGGACTTTAAGAAGTGCCTTGACATCAGGGGCTGATTTCAAAGAGTGGAGATAGTGGAAAGTTGCCTGTCAGAGCAAGAGCAAGGGCATTTAGGGGTTGCTAAGACAGAGGAAACTCAGAATAAAAGTGGGCAAGAGGGGTGAGAACATTCCTATATTTGGCACCCTGCTAGCTTCTCTTTTGTTCCATTCCTTCAATCTCCTGGCCTTTCTCCTCTCTTCCGTTTTCTTGTTTTTCCACATCTTTTCGTCTTCTCCCTCGACCTTTTCTTCCCAACTTTATTCTGTATGAGAACCAAAGTACTGAGTGTCTGAAGTTACACTGTTTCCTGAATCTACTGTAAAGCCCAGATAAGTGTTCTTGGTCTTTGAATGTGCTGGAGAAGATAGGAAGAATAGACTGGGGCCAGAGAACTTCACCTTGAATTTTTCTAAGCTGTAAGATGAAGACATTTAACAAAATCAATAGAATAAAAATAATAAGGGCTTGGCAGCCAGAGGCTAGCTTTAACATCCACTTCCTGTGGTTTAATAAACCTTTCCCATTCTTGGGCTCTCGAATTTTTAGGCCGAGAAGATACAGTGTGTGTGGTACTGTCTACAAACCAACGAATTTATATTGAAGCTACAATCACAATCATTGTTATTGCTGCAAAACAGGTAATGCCTTGTTGCTGTTGAATGACAGTCCCTAAACTTGGGCTAACAAAACACTTAATACACTATAGGCAAAATCTTCACACACCAGACAAGCAACTTAGACTTATCTACAGAGAAAACTCGATGGAGTCTGACTTCGATTCTCAGAGCTTGTAGGTGAGGAAAAGAGAATTGCCTTCCTCAAATCAGGATTAACGTTAGGTGGTGTTTACACCACAGCAATAGATTCTCTCTTACTCGAGACACGGTTGTCTCGGATGTTGGAGGAGGAGGAAAGTAATGGACTCAGAGAAAGAGGTAAACTACAACGCAGGGTTAATAATGATGATGACAGCTAGAATGCAGAGTTCAACGCAGTGTTACCAAAGGAGATGACACAATTGTAATCCAGGAGACTCAGTTGCCTTTGGGGTGCAATTAGAAGGAAACTATTTGGGAGAAGTCAGGCTAAAACCAAACCGTAGCCGACAGGATTCGAACCTGCGCGGGGAAACCCCAATGGATTTCAAGTCCATCGCCTTAACCACTCGGCCACGACTACGCACCTGTGTAGTGCTCTTGGTTTAAGCTTTTGAAGATGTGAGCAGTGTGCCATTCTTGGGTAGTATGGTAAGTAGATACTACAGTAAAAGATGTTTTGGTGCCTGGTTACTAAGTCTAGTAACAAAGAATTTTCTAGGTGCATTAAGAGCTTCCAGCTTTTAGATGAAATAAGTCATCCATACTGAATTGGAATTCAGTTGAGAAAAGTGGAGTTCAAAGGAGCATTCTGAGACAAGAGACTTGGATTTTCTCTCCCCCTAGAACTCCACTTGCTAGTCACGGTTGATGCACCTGTTCACAGGTATTTGTGAGAAACCAGCAGAAAGGGAGTTTGGAGCTGAGGGTCTGATCCTAGTAGCTTCACAGCCTCAAATGACAATAGCACAGGAAACCTGCTAGAGGAAATTTGAAGGAATTATGACCTTGGAGTCATTTGCTTTTGCTTTCAGTATTGAATACTAAACCAGAAATATCTTCAACAGCTTTGAACTGCTTTGTCCTTTCTCTGGCTTAAAGAATTCGTTGAAACCCAATTTGAGCAGGGGTGCAGGATGAGAAGGGGCAGGGAAGACCTAGCCCTCGTGGACCCTCTGAAGAAAAAGTTGATGGGAAGGTCTCCATCCTCTCAGGAAAACTCACTCCTTTTCACCTTCCCCAGGGAGGGAAGCAGGCAGTCCCAGGAGCCAGGGGAATATGGAGAAGCTTAGATAACATGTTTTCCAAAATTTTGCAGCTTGAGAACATTGTCTGTCCCTCCTAACGTAAAAGAGCTTGTGAATGCCACATTAAATCTAGCTATATTAATACCTTTTTACCCCCTAGGATTAAAGACTGTTGGTTCAGGAAAACACTGCAGAACCAGGCTTTTATTGTTTATTCTTTAATGGGGAATCTCAGGGATTACAGCTTTGAGTTCTGGGAATTGAAATGCTTGGCCAAAGTACCACCAAGTAGATTCAGACAGACTTTCAGATACAAACGAGAGAATCTCTTTTACACCTGAGACCCTCGAACTCTCTTGCAGATACAGTTTTCCCACATGCATTTTCGTTTAGGGCAGACAAAAAGGCAGTTGCTCCTGAAGTGAATTGCATTGTGTTGCCCAGAAAGATATGTTGAAATCCTAACCTGTGGTACCTGTGAGTGTGACCTATTTGAAAACAGTCTTCGCTGATTTAATCAAGTTAAGAGAAGATCATGCTGGATTCAGGTAGGCTCTAAATCCAGTAATCCAGTGACTGCTGTCCTTATAGGAAGTGAGAAATTTAGAGACACAGACACATAGTCACTAGTTCAAAAGCTATGTTGAGAGGGAGGCAGAGACTGGAGTGATGCAATTACAAACCAAGAATGCCAAGGATTTTCTTCAACCATCAGGAGCAAGGAAAGAGGTCTCAGATTTTCCCTCAGAGCACCTAGAAAACAACCAACCCGGCCAAAATCTTAAGAATAAATCTGTCTTTTTAAGTTACCCAGTTTATAGTAATTTGTTAGGGCAGTCTTAGGAAACTAATCAGCTCCCTTACCCATGTTCTTGGAACAAGATCCTTGCTGTTGCTGCCTTAGCACTTCTCCATTCCACCAGGAAGCTCGTGCAAATGGTGACTCACTTCTTTTTTTCTTTTTCCTTGAGATGGAGTCTTGCTCTGTCGCCAGGCTTGGAGTGCAGTGGCAGGACCTTGGCTCACTGCAACCTCCAACTCCCTGGTTCAAGAGATTCTCCTGCCTCAGCCTCTCGAGTAGCTGGGATTACAGGTATGCACCACCATGTCCAGCTATTTTTTTTTCTGTATTTTTAGTTTCATCATGTTGGCCAGATGGTCTTGAACTCCTGACCTTGTGATCTGCCTGCCTCGGCCTTCCAAAGTGCTGGGATAACAGGTGTGAGCCACCGCGCCCAGCTGACTCACTTCATTTTGAAGAAAACTCACTTAGCGAAACAATCCAAACTAAAAGAAATCATTTATGTTCAAAGACACTTAGGATATTTTGTTATAATAATGAAATAATTAAAATAACAAACATTTCCAACAATGGGAGGGAAGATGATTACATAATATAGGTTATATCTACCTGGAAAAATGCTACAAAGCCAATAAAAACGATGTTTTGCAACTCTTACTAGTGGATAACAAAAATAAATAAATAAATAACAGTATTTTCGAAAAGATTGTGATAGTTCAGGCAAGAAGCATGTGATATAATGTTAAATGAAAAGAGGAGAATTTTTTAAATGCATATATTGTATAACCTCAAGTAAAATTTTTGCATTATACGTATTTGGGAGGTGTGGGAGAATACACCAATGCATTACCATTTGTGTCTGGGTTGTAGGATCATAATGGGTTTTTTTCTTTGTTTTTCTACTATGTGAAGCAAACATCATTATTCAGGTTTAAAAACGAAGGGGCAGAAATAGTATTTTATTGCTGGAACAGGGAAAAGGTAGTCCCTAGACACAAGCACTTTGATGTTACTCAGTAGTCAAACATTTGGCTCAAGTGGTCACATTGTTCAAGGGGACTTCTGGTTAAAATGGTAGTGAAACCCAGGACTTTATTTTTGCTTTCTTAAGATGCCCATAAGTTGACAGTAAAAGCAATTCAAAAATGTGTAAACCTACAATGATTAAGAGAGCATGAAAGCAAATAACAGACAGTAAAAAACATTGTTGGCTTCCCAAATTAAAGTAGCTTGATGCAATGGAAATTTCTGTCTTTTTTTTTGAGACGGAGTTTCACTCTTGTTGCCCAGGCTGGAGTGCAATGGCGCCATCTCGGCTCACCGCAACCTCCGCCTCCCGAGTTCTAGCGATTCTCCTGCCTCAGCCTCCCAAGTAGCTGGGATTACAGGCATGCGCCACCGCGCCCGGCTAATTTTTTGTAATTTTAGTAGAGACGGAGGTTTCTCCATGTTGGTCAGGCTGGTCTCAAACTCCCGACCTCAGGTGATCCGCCCGCCTCGGCCTGAGATTTATGTCTTACTCATGTAACAGTCGATTGCAGATTTTTGTGTCAGCAAAGAAAGAGGAACCTGTTTTGTGTCCTTGTGGTGATTCAAGGTTCCAGGCCTCTTCCATCTTATGAATCTATTATCCCCTAAAGCTTGGGAAAGTGCACACTTCTTAAAGGCCTGGAGAAAAACAAGCTACTTGCATTCATGATTTATTGATTATAACTAATCATATGGCCTCACTGAGGTGTAAGGAGACCTGGTAAATACAGACTTTGGCTGGGTAGCTTATTCCCACAGACAACAGTGTACTATGGAGGAGGAAACATGAATTTAGGTGGATACCACAGTTATCAACAAAATTTGGGAGACAGAAGGGAGTTGGATAAATAGTAATTGAATTAGAGTGGATAAAGCTGAAACCTAACTGTTTGCAAGGTGGGAAGCCGACAATAACGAAGCTGACATCACAGATTCCTGGAAAGGCTTAAGAGTTGGAAGAACTGGCCGGGCGCGGTGGCTCATGCCTGTAATCCCTGCCCTTTGGGAGGCCAAGGTGGGTGGATCACGAGGTCGGGAGTTCAAGACCAGCTTGACCAACATGGTGAAACCCCCGTCTCTACTAAAAATACAAAAATTAGCCAGGCGTGGTGACGTGCGCTTGTGATCCCAGCTACTTGGGAGGCTGAGGCATGAGAATCGCTTCAACCTGGGAGGCGGAGGTTGCAGTGAGCTGAGATCGTGCCATTGCACTCCAGCCTGGGGAACAGAGCAAGAGTCCATCTCAAAAACAAACAAACAAACAAACAAACAAAAAGAGTTGTTAGAATCATGTAACCTTAGGCTCATTAGTCTGTACTGCCCCTCCTTCATAGAGGGTTTATTTTGGGAAAAAAAGCTCCGGAGATGCTCTTGACTTAAGGATACCAGGTATAATTGAAATTGGGAGTGAAGCGCATGTTGAAAATTGGGAGATGGAATGAAAGTCTCTTTAGGACACCTGAAGCTCCCTTTCTGTTTCAGAAAGTATGGACAGCTAAGCTTTCTCTACCTCTAGCCCTAAACATGCAGAAGATTGAAAGATTCTGCTCCCCAAGAAAATGGACCATCATAAGAAAACTGACCCGTAGATATGGACATATCAAGGGTCTGGATTGAAATGGCCTATCATACACAATCATTCTAGAATGAGGCCTATTTATTGGCATACCATGCCCATAGTACCAATTAGGTTTAGGGGTCTACCTCCTAAATATGACTGAACTGCTATGTGCCACCAGAAATTGGAGAAAAGATAGGTACCAACGCAAACAAATGAAAGAAAGAGAGCCTGGTGGAAATAGAGATAAATAGGTAACAGAAGCAAAAAACGAAAACATCCTCAGGGAAATAAGAAAGCATTCTGTATATATGAGAATAATAAGATACTATTCTGTTATTATTATTATCATTTCAAGACGGGGTCTCATTCTGTGGCCCAGGCTGGAGTGCAGTGGTGCTGTCATAGCTCACTAAGATGCTATTACTTTTTAAAGAGCATTAAAGGGAACAAGAACCCTTGAAAATAACAAATATGGGCATGGGGCAGGAGTATGTCAGCCAAGAAAATTATGTAGTGTTAGGGAAGCTCTGAGAGTATGGCTGTGTAAGCACGCCACTGTGGTTTGAATCTACAGGGTATATTGATCACCCTGCCCATGCTGAAGGTATTAAACTGCAAATTGAAGGTGAAGGTGTAAAATCTCAATTCATTAAAAACAAAAATTTCCAGAAGGTGTCTGACCAGAAAGGAACCCCCAAGTTGCTGCAGGCAGAAGCTGAGACCACTAAGTTATTTCCAAGACTGTCAGCAGCCTTTTTCTCATGTTTCCATCATTCCCCTCCTTGGCAATCTCCATGAAGATGACAACTGGATCTTTATCTCCAAGCCCGACTTCTCTCCTGAATCCTCCTAGTGGACAGGTCCACTTGAATGTACTACAGTTACATCAAAGGGCAACATCTAAAGGAGCAAAAGAAATGTGCTTTTCCCTTTGGCCACCATTCTAATTTCTTTAAAAAAATCCTTCCTTTTAATCCTAAATAAATATCTCTAAAGAATAATATTTAAAAAAAAAAAAAGGAAAAGAAGCCTGGGCAACATGGCAAAACCCCATATCCACGAAAAATACAAAAAAATTAACCAGGCGTGCTGGCACACACCTGTAGTACCAGCTACTTGACAGGCTGAAGCAGGAGGATCGTTTGAGCCTGGGAGGCTGAGGCTGCAGTGAGCTGAGATCACTCTGGCCTGGGTGACAAAGTAAGACCCTATCTCAGAAGAGAAAAGAAAATAACAAATATGATGATAGAAAAAAGTTTAACAGAAGGGTTAGAAGACAAAGTTGAGAACATTTCCCACAAAAAGGGACAAAAAAGAAAAATGGAAAAATAGAATAAAAGATAAGAAAATTAGAAGACAAGTCTAGAAGTTTCAACAACGTGATTGAAAGTTTCATGGAAAGACAACAAAGAAAATAGGGAAAACTATTAATGAATGCAATAAAATTTTCTTTTCTCTTTGTTTTTTTTAATTTTTTTCATTTTTTTTTTTCATTTATTTTTTTGAGATGGAGTTTTGAGTTTTGCTCTTGTTGCCCAGGCTGCAGTGCAATGGTGTGATCTTGGCTCACTGCAACCTCCACCTCCCGGGTTCAAGTGATTCTTGTGCCTCATCCTCCCAAGTAGCTGGGATTACAGGCATGCACCACCACGCCCAGCTAATTTTGTAATTGTAGTAGAGACGGGGTTTCTGCATGTTGGTCAGGCTGGTCTCGAACTCCTGACCTCTGGTGATCCGCCCACCTCGGCCTCCCAAAATGCTGGGATTACAGGCATGAGCTACCGCGCCTGGCCTTTTAAATTTTCAAAACCTAAAAAGGATCCAAAGGATCCACCTACTGCCCAGCACAAGGGACCAAAACAAATAAAAACAAAAACAACAAAACAAAACAAAACAAATACAAAAGCAAAACAAAACAAAAAACCAAGAATTATCCAGAGTGTCTATTTTAGAATGGCATTTAAATTCATCACCACACTGACAACAAGAACACAATGGAGTAATGCTCACAGAATTCTAAGATAAAATTATTTTCACACTAGAAATCCCTACCTGACCAAACTAAAATCATTTATGAAGTTTGAATAAATATATTTTCAGAAATGCATCATATTTTTTAGATCATAAGCAGGAAACAGAGACCTCATGAGGACTTAAACTCCAGTGTCTTTCATGCAGGGAATTGGTTACAGAGGTGGTGGAAGATCAAAGAAGCCAGTTGGGGTGGGAGGTAGAAATCTGAACCCAAGGGGTGGGATCTCCCTCAGGAGCAGGCAGGTCTGGGAGGATCTGGAGCCATGGAGGAGACACAACTGCTGCCAGAAATGCTGCAAGAAACAGGGAGGGAAAGCAAGAAATATCCTGACTTCTTCTTCCCTCTACCTCTCAATATTCCTTCATTGTCTTCTATTGGCTGAACTCAGGCAGAAGTCAGCAGCCATCAGTGGAAATGCAGCGGCAGGGACCAGACACTGGCACTACAGAGATGACCAAGGGAGTGGCTAGGAATGCATCTGAGCACAAACAGGCTTGAGATTGCCAAATGCAAAATCTCAAAAAATTTCTCTTTTCTCAGAAAGCTGTTGGAGGATCTTCTCCACCAAAAATAGGGAGTAAACCAAGAGATTTGTGACTTAACAAAAAAACAATTCAGTACAGGTGAGCGGTAAAGGGGTTGCCTCTTCAGCCGATGGAGAAGCATCAGCATGATCTCTATAAAGCAGACCTAGAGATTAACCAGCTCAGGTTGGACAAGTTTTAAAAAAAGGAACTGAAAAATGACCAAATTCAGAAGTATTTTGCAGCACTGGAAGAGAGTTGCAGGACAAATTAGTATTAGAAACACAGAAAGGAGGCAAACAAACAAAAGAGGCAGTATTTTCAAATCAGGAAAAACAAGAGAATGTAGTTACAGTATACAAGTGATCCTGCAGTGAACAATATTTCCATGGACATAATAAGGAAAACACTTAACATTTTTAGCCACAATACTATGATACAAATACATTGAAAGATGAGGGTAGATAAGTGTATTTGTTTTAGGCTATATAGAAGAACTATGTATCTTTTCTTTCAGAGTGGGAAGTCTTTAGACATCTGTATCAATCAGGACATGAGCAGGAAGTGGAATGTTTACTTGAACTAGAAAAGTTGAGGATAATTTATTTAAATTGTTATTTACAAATAAATGGGCAGCATGTAGGGCAATAACAAGGGTTTTGCGGATTACTGGAGCTAGTAATCCGCACTACCCTTGAGCTTGATGGGCATAAGATGGAGCCTGGGACCTACAGCTCTTTGGAGAGGGCTGTGTAGAGAGGCTTCCTGGCAGATGTTGGGACATTTCCTGGGGGATTCAGACTGCAGCCAACAGATCCAGAGGATAAATATACCAGCCTCACTCTTCACCCTCCCTCTGGATCTCTCATAGGTATTCTCTTGGCCAAACTCAAGCAGGAGTCAGAGGATAAAGAAGCCCATTGAAAATGTCCATACTGATCAGCGCCAGGGCAGGCAACAAGATGCAGAATGGGGCCAGGGTACCTGGATGATACACAGCACAAGGTCTAAAATTGAGGAATCAAGAAATAGCAAGACGGCCAGGTGCGGTGGCTCATGCCTGTAATCCCAGCACTTTAGGAGGCTGAGGTGGGTGAATCAGCTAAGGTCAGGAGTTTGAGACCAGCCTGGCCAACATGGTGAAACCCCATCTCTACCAAAAATACAAAATTAGCCGGGAGTGGTGGTGCGTGCCTGTAATCCCAGCTATTCCGTAGGCTGAGGCAGGAGAAAGGCTTAGAATCCAGGAGGCAGAGGTTGCAGTGAGCTGAGATCACACTAGCCTGAGTGACACTCAGAGCGACACTCTGTCTCAAAAAAAAAAAAAAAAAAGAGAAAGAGAGAAAGAGAGAGCAGGGCAACAATAATAACCACAATCAGTTGTGCTTATGAAGTGTCAGGCACTGTTCAAAGTTCTCGTTGAATTCTCAATAACCCGTAAGCGTTCTTCTTATTCCAGTTTTACAGTTGAGGAAACTAAAACACAGAGAGATTAAGTTCCTTGCCCAAGGTCATAGAACTAGGAGTGAAAAGCAACTGGACAGTTGCCACTAGGAAACCTAAATTCAGTTTAGAGAGAGTTTGGAACGGGAAAATGCTGTGCCTCTTTGTTTTTCTTATGATTTTATTTATATGAAAGATCCAGAATAGGTCAATCCATTGAGACAGCACGCAGACTGGGGTGGTTGCCAGGGGTTGTGAGGGAGGGAGGAATGGGGAGAAACTGCTTAATGAGTAAGGGGTTTTACCCTGGAGGGATAGAAATGTTTTGGAACTAGATAAAGGTGGTGGTTACACAACGCTGTGAATGTAGTGAAGGGTATTGAATTGTTCACTTTAAAATGATAAATTGTGAAAAAACAAATAAACAAAAAAAGGCTGTCTTCCTTAGCACTCCTGAAAAATGGCAGTGTTAATCCACTGAGTATAAGTACTGAGGTGTCAGCCTAAATCAGTGGTTCCCAGTCAGAGGTGATTTTGCTTCCCAGTGGACATCTGACAGGGTCTAGAGATATTTTTGATTGTCATAACAAGAGGTGGGGAGGATACTACTGAGATATAGTATGTAGGGGCCAGGGATGCTACTGAACTTCCTACAATGCACAGAACAACCCCCACCACAAAGAATGACCTGGTCTAACCTGCCAGTAGTGCCAAGGTTAAAAATCTCTGCAGTAGACGATCAGGGGCTGAGGGTGAGAGGGGAATAAGGGCACTGAGGTATAAACCGATTAAAAGAGCTCCCTTCTATCACCCAGGAAAGAGGTTGAGAGTGGAAAGGCAGGAGACTGTCTCTCCCTTTCTCTTTCAGAATAGCCCTGAAAATCAGTGCAACCTCGGACATCCATGGTTAAAAGTCAGACCCTGTTTTGGAAATGGCTGGGAAGGGCGGCTTTCTGTTCCTTCTCAAGCCAACGAAGTTGCTCTTCTTTCTTTGCTCAGACGCTTTCCTTCTGCAGACTGCCTTTCCTGACAAGAACAGACTCAGACAGTCTGTAGAGTGGTTCCGCCCCGAAGCTGAAAAATAGTGTACAAAGCTGTCACGAAGTTTCCACTGCACAGCTCCAATGTTCCATTTGCTCTGGCGACAGATCTTTCGGTGACCTTCGAAAGCGACATCGAGATTGACGATGTATAAGAATCTGCCGCCAGAAAGCACTGCATGTTGCCCAAGACAGTCACAGACATCGCAGTTGCCTGGGAGTCACGAAACTCTACCACTACGTTCTCGCTGCTCCATCGCGCCGCCATCTCCCACTCTCGGCCGCCAAGGCCCCAGGACCGCGCCCTCCCATCCACCAGACCCGGGTCCCCTGGCCCTCTGAGCCCTACACAGCCCGCGAGTCAGCCCTGACACGTCCAGTCCCCTGCTTCTTTGTGTTTTGATAGAAAACAAAACAAAACAAAACAAAACAAAAACATCTTGCCAATCCATTTGGCTTATAAAATAATGTATTGTGCACATTTATTATAATGATAATAATTACATAAGAAGTAATTTGGGAGAATGGGGTCCAAAATCAGCTATAGTATAGTCATGAGGGTTGCACCTGGAAGAGACTGCCTCTCTGATGTTCAAAGTTTGAGAATTAGTCCTTAATGAATAAATGTATATAATGCAATTTTGAAGTTTATACTTTCCTTGTTTGAACAGGATAGAATCAGCACTAAACAGAAACCAGTACAATTCTCAATAACAAATTATCTCAGTAGAGGTCCAATAACCCTGTGATAAATATGCGCCTGTTCTTCTCCACTGTCTGACCTACTTATGTCTGCATCAAGTATCCCCAAACTGCTCTGTCAGGAATATACACCCGAAGAGCCCTCTGAGAACTGGTTTAACTAGTATTTTGGCTTGTTTTGGGTGCACCTGTGACCTAATTTACAAGACCAAGATTAATTAAATGTTCATGCACAATTAAAAGACAATTTTACTTCAGTAGTATGATGCTTAATTTCTGCTTATAGAATTCATTTTTTATTAGTTATAAATTATGCTAGATGACATAGAGAGGAATATCAAATGCAGAGGATTCTTAGCCTGAGATCCATGGACCTCAAGTGTTTCACGAACACCTTGAGATAGTTTTCAAAATGGTATATGTGTGTATCTAGGGGCATCTTTCTGAGAAAGGGATTTCCTAGATTTTATTCAATATGATCTGGAGTCCAGAGCAAAAAAATATTGTACAAATCTTTGCTCTACTAACTTCTTGACATTGGGAATTTGAGGGAGAGGAATTTTCCATCAGCTTTTTGTTTTTTGGGAAATAAATAAAATGACTATGAGCAAACATGAAGACAATTCCCAAACCAATTCCCAAAGACTGGTACCAGTAGCTCCTGGTGCAGAACCAACTTCAGCATGGCAGGGAACAAAGAAATGTTCAGTTATACTGAGGGCAAAAGGACAATGAGAATCTCCTAAGTTCCTCAAAGTCACTTCTGTTGCTCCCTGATGTTTACAGTTCAAAGCAGATACTTGTGCTCCTAAAACAAACAACCTTGAAGCCCTGGCCTGATCTATGGTCTCAGCCTATCCTTCAACTTTTTCTCAGCTCTTCTTTTACTTCCACTATGGTATGGCCACCCAGACAACCAGTCCACAGACTACGCCCTTATCTTGTATCTCACAATATGTGAAAAGGTTTGGGCCAACACCGTCTTCTAAATACCATCTTCAATCCCTGCCTAAACTCAAATATCCAGCTTATTTCAGCTTCTCAGTTTATCTAGGCTGTTAGCTTCCAGTCACCTGCAGTTTTCCCTAACTTTCTCTGTGTGGGTGTTACTTTATTCACTGTTTTTAGCCAATATCTCATCACTACAAACTGAAATCTCCACAGGCAGGGCCAGTGCTTAGTGTCCTGCTCAATTCTGTGTCCACAGCACTAAGGGCAGCAGTGGGTGTGGCACAAAAATTTGTCCTTCCTATTTTCAAGTCCGTATACTCTCAGGTCAGTTGTAGGCTGTGCAAGCTGTACCACTAGGTCTGATATGTGGCTCATTAAGCAAAAACAGGAGAGAATTGTACCAATGCACATTGCAAGCCAGAGTTCTGAATTCATTTTGAAGAAGTAACTTCATTTGGTCACATTTTTGTTCTTATTCCCGTGAGCAATAGTTTCCATTTAATTGGGAAGATATAAAGGAGAGTTCCCATATATCCCCACACTCAGTTTTCCTTATTATTAAAATCTTACATTGGTATGGTACGTTTGTTACAAACAATTAACAAATATGTATACATTATTATTAACTAAAATGAATATGTTAGATTTCCTTCATTTTTACCTAATTTCCTTTCTCTGTTCCAGGATCCTATTCAGAATTCCATGTTATTTTTAGTCATCATGACTCCCTAAGCTCTCTTGGCTGTGGTAGTTCTTAGACTTTCCTTGATTTTGATGATCTTGACAGTTTTGAAGAGTGTTGAGCAGGCATTTTGTAGAATGTCCTTCAACTAGGATTTGTCTGATATTTTTCTCATCATTAGATCGGAGTTAGGGGTTCGAGGGAGCAAGACCGCAGAGGTAAAGTGGAGGGTTTTTGTTTGTTTGTTTGTTTGTTTTGAGACAGGGTCTCCCTCTGTCACGCAGGCTGGAATGCAGTGGCACCATCTCGGCTCTCTGCAACCTCCGCCTCCCGGGTTCAAGCGATTCTCCTGCCTCAGCCTCATGAGCAGCTGGGACTACAGGCATCTGCCACCACGCCTGGCTAATTTTTGTATTTTTAGTGGAGACAGGGTTTCACCATGTTGGCCAGGCTGGTCTCGAACTCCTTGCCTCAAGTGATCCACCTGCCTCGGCCTCCCAAAGTGCTGGGATTACAGGAATAAACCACCATGCTTGACCTAAAGCGCCATTTTTATCACGTTATATCAAGACAATATACTATCAACATGGCTTATCACTGCTGGTGTAATGCTTTTGGGATTTATTCACTGCTTACTTTCCCACCCTTTTTCATACTGTATTCTGTAGAGCAATCACTATGCAGAGCCCACAATGAAGGGGTGGAGTTATCTGGAATTCTGCTCAGGAGATTCCTTGAAAAACTGAGATTTGTTGCACATCAGGGAAGCTGTAGGGATTGGTTTGAAGTCTTCTATTTATTGTTTCTCAAATTGTTTCAGCTTTGACCATTACAGGCATATATTTTTAATTTTTTTTTTCAGAGAGCACAGAACTTGGTACAAGCCCTAGCCCTTAGAAATGCTCATCTTAAATTTGTTACATGGACCTTCAGTTTTTCAAAAGCCTCCAGTGGGCTAGATTTTTATTGAAAATGCTTAGGATCCTCATGCTTCTTGTTCCCGAGGCTCCTGGAAACCACCTTTAGTTATCCCGTTTGGTAAGAGGGTTTCATTCTGTCTTGCTTTCTGGTAGTGAGTGGATCAGAAAGTCATAGGGCTGGGAGAAGATGGACTGGATGAGATATGTACGGATATTCTCTTTGCCACTGTACAGCGGCCATTGCAGCTCCTGCCGCAGAGCCCACGGCCCTACGGGCGGGACCCATTTTAACCTGGTAGTGACAGTGCCGCCTCATTGAAGCAGGAAGGATTTTTGTCCATGACACTAGACGTCTCTAAGCAATAAAGTAATTTTGGCAGATGCCGATACCTCTCATGTGATCTTGTTGGGAAGGTTCAGATCCTATCACCTGAGATTATTTACTCTTAAAGACCCTCTGCCTCCTTCCTCAGCCTTTCTGTTTGACAACATAAGATCGCTTTTATCTCCTGCAATGAACACTCCTAGACAAGTCATGTCCGGGTCTTGGTATCAGTAAATTTTTACTGCTGAATATTTTGGGAGAGGTTCTCAGTTAATCCCATTGAGAAAGACCAAGTTAAAGCTTTATCAGTGAGAAACTAATTACAAAATCCTGCCTTGCAAATATTCGAGCTTTTAACAGTGCTTTACTCTTTGGTATCCACGAGGTGGAGCCTTCCCGGGAAGCAGAAAGCATCTTTTGGTGTCCTGTTTTTTGTTTTTTACCCTCGGCAACGCCACGGGTGCCAGGACTAGTTGACACGCCGCCTCAATTTAAGTCATCCATAATTTATACGTTACGAAATGGAACTTTCAAAAGTGTTCCTAGCGTTAGGAGCAAAGAACGCCGGACAAACGCTCGGGAGGCGGCGAGCCTCGCGGTTCTTCCAACAACGCAATCTGTCAGCGCGGCTAGGTTGGTGCCCTCTCCCCCTGTATCGGGGCAGCCCGGCTTAGGGCCGCAGAACCGAGGCTGGGGAGCCCCGCAGGCTGTTGCTAAGAGTCCAGGGGAGGCACGGACTTACCTTATCTGCCCCTGGAAACAGATTTGCTCTTGGATCTTGCACGAAGAGCCCTGTGAGAAACGAAAAGGGAACTTGTGTGATGGCGGCAGATAACGAACATTAGGGTAGAAACTTAGGTTCTTAAAGGGAAGACAGCTTGAGTTCGGAAATGAAGATATATTCCTTCAGGAAGGCCTGTTAAAAACACGAGCTATTGCGAGGTTCCATGGTGTAATGGTTAGCACTCTGGACTCTGAATCCAGCGATCCGAGTTCAAATCTCGGTGGAACCTGTCGTTTCTTCTTGCTTCCTCACTATTTTTTTCTTTCTAAAATAAATTTCCCTCTTAGATATGATTGGCAGGAATCTCCAGTTCATGTGAACCCAAAGTATGACGCGGACTCTGTACGGGGCCCACTGACTCTCTGCTCTATGTTCAGAGCAGGAGACCCTCATACCTCCTTCATTTTACTACCCTCCTCACCACCACCTAACAGATATTCTAATACCCAAAATAATTCGAGTTGAGTTAAACTTTTTACTTGATTTATTGCTTTATGAAATGCAGTTAATTCACTTCAGAGGACAAAAAGGACTCAACAGATTTGAGGGAAAAGAAATATTCTTGTATGTATCTTTTTCCCAAGAGAATGAGGCTTTATAATGCCTTTTAGGTGCAATCACTAGAATTTATAGGTGTTTCATTTGCCACTGAGAAACAAGGATTAGTGAAAATAAATCTGTACTTTAAATAAAAATTGCTTAAACTCTCTTAGGTATTTGAACACTATTGGATCCTCACATGGTAACTTCAATCACTGTCAACACGGTAAGTAAATATCCAGATACACCTTCTAAGTGCTCTGTTGGTCATTTCTGTGACATTAACCCGCCACACAGAATTGCTGTCAATGCTGAATACGTCCCATAGAATGATAGAGCTTTAAAATTGTATCCTAGGATGCCTCTGTGATTATTTTGTCTTCATAAAACTAAATGTCTCTTGTTGCAAGTTAGTTTATTTTCTGGTAAATGTTTGGATTTGTCACAACTTAAGGAAAGACAAAGAAGTTACTGGGTCTCTGAAGAATTAAGGCCAAAGTGCTTTCCTTAGTTTGATTTTATCTATTAGTATTTATAAAATTGTGTCTTTTAATTGTGGATACAGGGTATCAGGCTATATGTTATAATCTTTTTTCATTTAATCTTATATTGCTAAAATTAATCATCTCTTTTGTTGTATGTAGCTACCATTCATTCATTGATTTCATGTTAGCTGCTGTGTAATATGAACATGCCACAGCTCATTCATTCATCTTTCCATTAATGGGAAACCAAGAGATGTTTATAATATAAATTTGATTTTGAATTATGGCAATTCTTGGGTCACAAAAATTAAAAATTATTTTACTGCAGAGGAAATTCCTGATTCTGCAACCATACATTTAATGGAGAATTTATAACTTTGAATTGTCATTTTCATTTTCCAAATGCTTCCACACATAATGATTATTTGCCCTTTTATATTGTACTACCCATTCCTTCTGATTCCTCATGCATTTTCTAGTGTTAACTGCTAGCAGCATTATGTTCCCCAGCATGGAATGCCTTTGCTAGGCCTTATGCCACCACTGCCTCTAAAAGCTTAAATATCTACCTGCATTTAGCAGATATCTATTCATTACCCTTACCAAGGCAAATGTTGCAAGAAAATAGATGCTTACCTTTAATTTAGATGGACCTAATTTGCTTCTAAACATTTCTTCATAGACTTTATTATACTTGCATAAAGATGCATCATGATAAAATACATAATTTTGGAGTTTTTCTCCCTTGTTTATATACATGTTTCTTCTGAAAGAAGAAATACATCTGATTGGAAAACTTAGGGCACATGCGTGCCATCCTAGCTACATAGAAGCCTAAGAAATTGTTTTAGACAGTTTGGACTACTATAACTATATAATGTTTGTTGACTTAAACAACAAACATTTATTTCTCACAATTCTGAAGGCTGGGAAACCCAAAATCAAGGTTCCAGCTGATTCAATGTCTGGTGAGCCCTCCCTTCTTGATTTGCAGCCTACTGTCCTCTTGCTCTATCCTCACATACTGGGGGGACAGAGAGAGAGAGAGAGAAACAGAGAGAGAGAGGCTTCCACATATGCATTTGAGTCCATTCAGTCCATAGCAGGAATTTAGTTATCACAGAACCATTGAGGATGCACAGTTCATTGGTAGAGAATTCTCCCTAGTCATATGAAGTCTTAGGCATATTAGACCACTATGTTCATCAATATGATTATCTATAATTTCTTTTCTTCCTAAACTTTTCTTTTTCCATCAATTTTCTCTTTCATTATGATTCAGCCACAGAATCTGTTAAAATAGGCCGGGCACAGTGGTTCATGCCTGTAGTTTCCACAGTTTCAGAGGGTGAGGTGGGTGGATCACTTAAGGCCAGGAGTTGGTGACCAGCCTGAGCAAGATGGTGAGTCCCTGTCTCTACAAAACTAATATTTGTTAAATAATCTGTTAAAATATTAGTTAATAATTACTAAATTTTGAGATGTAGAAACAAAATGGAACTAAAATGATGAATAACAATAATACACAAAATGGGATGTTGTAATAAGGATCAAATTATACTGGAGTCATTTATCATAATAAAAGATAATTTTTAGAACTGTTTACTGAAGTTATAATTCATGCAAATGCTGAACGAATGACTATGAAATTAGTACTTGTCTGAGGGCATGGCCAAAGCTACGCAGTAGTGCCTCTTTGCTGTGAATAAAATGCCAGGATGTAAAAATTTAAGAATTTTATTGAAAAACTAATTATTATTAGCATTATATTTAATGTATTATATTTTATATTAATATATTACTATAAGAACTGTATTATAATCAAAACTTTACTAGTCAAAATTTCAAAGGTTGATATTATTGTGTATTGATATCATTTACTAGATTTTTCTTCAGTCACCCTACAGCACAGCTGGGCCAAAAAATAGATGCCCACTTTTAACTTAGATGGACTTCATTGCTTCTAAACATCTCCTCTTTTCTTCAAAGACTTTGTTATACTTGCATAAACAAAGATTTGTCATGATATAATACAAAATTTTGGAACGTTTCCCCCTTGTGAAAGTTTAATGTGACAAAATAGACATTTTGCTTTTAAGTTATTTTGACAAAATGAAAAAAATTGTCAAATAGAACTTTTGTTTAAAGACTCAAGGCTAATATAGAAAATAGTTTTTGAAGGTATTTTTAAATATTCTAGAAATGAAGAATTAAGATATAATTACAACTTTATTATTCTTCATTTTATTCTAATGTAAATATTTATAATATTTGTTGAGAATAAAAGTATGTGATGTTCTTCCTATACAGCAATCTAAAGAACTCTTATATTTATATTAACTTCCTTATATTAATTTCAATTTTATTAATTCTTAATATTACATAAAATATAAAGTTTTTCACAAATTATTAATTATTGAAGCATTTTATCCCTAAAATAGTAAAAATCCATTCATATTTCAATGATTGACAGTATCTTAACAAAGCTCACAAGATTTTCACTCTATGCTTAATAGCTAAAATTCTTATTCTTGTACTAAACAATAACAGTACTAAAAAATAAATAAATAAAATAAGACAACTATACTATTCAGATACTAAAAGTAAACCTGGCCTTTTCCGCCTGTGGACACTGCTGAGGAAGCACTGTTAAACGCCCTTCTTCCCACTGCCATCATATCTAAGTCAGCGTCTCCTAAAGAGCCCGAACAGCTGCTGAAGCTTTTCATTGTCATTGGAGGGTTGAATTTTGTTTTTTTCGGTTTTGTTTTTGTTTTTTTTGAGACGAGTCTCTTTCTGTCGCCAAGCTGGAGGAGTGCAGTGGCGCAATCTGGGATCGCTGCAACCTCCGCCTCCTGAGTTCAAGTGATTCTCCTGCCTCAGCCTCCCAAGTAGCTGGGACTACAGGCGGGCACCACCACGCCTGGCTAAGTGTGTGTGTGTGTGTGTGTGTGTCTGTGTGTGTGTAGTACAGACGTGGTTTCACTATGTTGTCCAGGTTGGCCTCCCAGAGTGCTAGGATTACAGGCATGAGCCACTGCACCTGGCCAGGAGGGTTGAGCTTTGAAACAACTGATGAGAGCCTGAGGAGCCATTTTGAGCAATAGGGAACGCTCACGGACTGTGTAGTAAAGAAAGATCCAAACACCAAGCACTCCAGGGGCTTTGGGTTTGTCACATATGCCGGTATGGAAAAGGTGGATACAGCCATGAATGCAAGGCCGCACAAGGTGGATGGAAGATTTGTGGAACCAAAGACAGCTGTTTCAAGAGAAGATTCTCAAAGACCAGGTGCCCACTTAACTGTGATAAAGATGTTAAAGAAGAACTGAAGAACATAAACTAAGAGATTATATTGAACAGTATGGAAAAATTGAAGTGATTGAGATCATGACTGACCGAGGCAGTGGCAAGAACAGGGGCTTTGCCTTGTAACTTTTGATGACCATGACTCCATGGAAAGGATTGTCATTCAGAAATACCACACTGTGAATGGCCACAACTGTGACTTTAGGAGTGCTCTGTCAAAGCAAAAGATGTTTAGTGCTTCATCCAGCCAAAGAGATCGAAGTGGTTCTGGAAACTTTGGTGGTGGCGTTGGAGGTGGTTTTGGTGAGAATGACAACTTCGGTCGTGGAGGAAACTTCAGTGGTTGTGCTGGCTTTGGTGGCAGAAGTGGTGGTGGTAGATAGGGTGGCAGTGGGAATGGCTATAACAGATTTGATAATGATGGAAGCAATTTTGGAGGTGGTGGAAGCTACAATGATTTTGGCAATTACAACGATCGGTCTTCAAATTTTGGACCCATAAAGGGAGGAAACTTTGGAGGCAGAAGCTCTGGTCCCTATGGTGGTGGAAGCCAATACTTTGCCAAACCATGAAACCAAGGTGGCTATGGCAGTTCCGTAGCAGCAGTAGTTACGGCAGTGGTAGAAGATTTTAATTACTGCCAGGAAACAAAGCTTACCAGGAAAGGAGAGTCAAAGAAGTGACAGGGAAGCTGCAGATTACAACCGATTTGTGAACTCAGCCAAGCCCAGTGGTGGAAGGGCCTAACTGCTACAAAGAAGACATGTATTAGACAAATACTCATGTATATGGGCAAAAAACTTGAGGACTGTATTTATGACTAATTGTATAATAGGTTATTTTAGTTTCTGTTCTGAGGAAAGTATAAATCATTTCAACAAAGGGTTTTAATATAGTGTGTTTTTTTTTTTTTGCACCTAGGCTGTTGGATGCCAAATGTAATAGTCTAATCATGACTCTGAATAAATGTGTCTCTTTGAAAAATGTGCTATGTAAAGTTAGTCTACTCTGAAGCCATCTTGGTAAATTTCCCCAACATTGTGAAGGGAATTCCTTCAGGGTGATGCCACATTCTATTTGGAATTTGTATATGACCTGCTTGGGTGGAGAAGCCATTATCTTCAGTAACCTTGGTGTAGTTGAACTGATAGTTACTGTTGTGACTTGAAGTTCACCATTAAAAGAGTTCACCGGGCCAGGCGCGGCGGCTCACATTTGTAATTCCAGCACTTTAGAAGGCTGAGGCAGGAGAATTGCTTGAACCCAGAAGGCAGAGGTTACAGTGAGGAGAGATCTTGTCATTGCGCTCCAGCCTGGGCGACAGAGTGAGACTCCAACTCAAAAAAAAAAAAAAAATTAGGCTCAAGGATTCCAGAAATAACATGGAAGTAGATATCTGGCTATTTGACTTTCATTCTGGGATGGGGGTAGGGGGTTCTTTACAGCCTGGGGCAATGAAAGTCTCAGCTCCCTGTTCTGCTTTCTTCGAGAAGTGTGTGTGTGTGTGTGTGTGTGTGTGTGTGTGTGTGTGTGTGTGTGTGTTGGAGGTAGAGGGAATGCACCTTGTTACAGCTTGATGGAAGTCTAGATTCCCCACTTTGCCTTTGCTGTTGTGTGTGAAGGTTTGGACGACAGTTGTTTTTTTTTTTTTTTTCCTCTTCCAGCTTCCCAAGAGCAGAAGTCCGTAGAAATGGAGTTTGTAACTCCACTGAACACACAAAATTAGCTAAAAAAAAATAACAAGTCACAAAACAAAAATTTTAAAAATGTAAAACTTTTAGAAGTAGAGTCAGGCTTCGGCCGGGCGCGGTGGCTCACGCCTGTAATCCCAGCACTTTGGGAGGCCGAGGTGGGCGGATCACGAGGTCAGGAAATAGAGACCATCCTGGCTAACTCGGCTAACTCGGTGAAACCCCGTCTCTACTAAAAATACAAAAAATTAGCCGGGCGTGTTGGCGGGCGCCTGTAGCCCCGGCTACTCTGGAGGCTGAGGGAGGAGAATGGCGTGAGCCCGGGAGGCGGAGCTTGCAGTGAACCAAGATCGCGCCACTGCACTCCAACCTGGGCAACGGAGCGAGACAGTGTCTCAAAAAAAAAAAAAAAAAAAAAAGGGGAGTCAGGCTTTGGTCCAATAACTCATTAAAAGATTATTATTATTATTATAATTATTATTATTATTATTATTATTAGTTTGAGACGGAGTTTCGCTCTTGTTGCTCAGGCTGGAGTGCAATGGCATGATCTCAGCTCACCGCAACCTCCGCCTCCTGGGTTGAAGCGATTCTCCTGTCTCAGCCTCCCGAGTAGCTGGGATTACAGGCATATGCCACCACGCCGGCCTAATTTTGTATTTTTAGTAGAGACAGGGTTTCTTCATGTTGATCAGGTTAGCCTCAAACTCCTGACCTCAGGTGATCCGCCTGCCTCGGCCTCCCAAAGTGCTGGGATTACAGGCGTGAGCCACTGCGCCCGGAAAGACTTATTCTTTCTTATTCTTATTCTTATTCTTATTCTTATTATTTTGAGATGGAGTCTCGCTCTGTAGCCCAGGCTGGAGTGCAGTGGTGCGATCTCGGCTCACTGCAAGCTCCGCCTCCCGGCTTCACGCCATTCTCCTGCCTCAGCCTCCCAAGTAACTGGACTACAGGCGCCCACCAACACGCTCGGCTAATTTTTTTGTGTTTTTAGTAGAGACGGGATTTCACCGTGCTAGCCAGGATGATCTCGATCTCCTGACCTCGTGATCCGCCCGTCTCGGCCTCTCAAAGTGCTGGGATTACAGGCGTGAGCCACCGCGCCCGGCCTAAAAGATTATTTTATATTAGGGAAGTGTTCTCAGCCTCCTGTTCATTTGCCCTTGCTTATTTTGATTTTGTGTATTATGCAGCACAAACATTCACTGCCTTTTCTTTTCTTTTTTTTTTTTTAGACAGAGACTCGCTCTGTCACCCAGGCTGGAGTGCAGTGGTACGATCTCGGCTCACTGCAACCTCCCCCTCCCAGGTTCAAGTGATTCTCCTGCCTCAGCCTCCTGAGTAGCTGGGATTACAGGTGCAGGACACCACGCCCGGCTAATTTTAGTATTTTTAGTAGAGACAGGGTTTCACCATGTTGGTCAGGCTGGTCTTGAACTCCTGACCTCGTGATCCACCCGCCTCGGCCTCTCATAGTGCTAGGATTACAGGTGTGAGCCACCCTGCCCGGCCTGCCTTTTCTACCCTTAGGGACACTATGCTGTATTAACTATCTTCACAGCTCTGTAGGTTAAGCCCCCTCTGCTTACATAGCCAGATAATCATTATTGTATGGCTTGTCACCCATGTTTTCAACTTAAAAACACATGAATCATCACACAAACATTTTACAACGTCATCCGCACCATAGAGATTTTTAAAACATCTATCTCAAGAACTCATATAAAAACCAGAAATTTTTAGCAATTATATGTCACTTTGTTTCAGAGACTCCTTGAGCACTCATACCACTCAAGCTGGGGTCCTCCTTGCCAGCTTGGCAGTGAGTAATATAGTTGTCAAATCACATTTTACCATCTGCTTTCACAGACCTCTTCTGATACCAGCTGTGAAAGTTTGGGATCGCTGGAAAGCAAACACTAAGATGCATTACAAGTGCAAGGGGTTATTGACAATAATGCCCATAACAATAAACAAAGAGGAGAAGGAAAGATGAATGCAGTAAGAGATTTCAGACCATGATGTGGGTCTGGCATGGGCAAAATTAGAGAAGGAAGAAAGTAGGATTGGGTAGAAAAACCCTGAGGTTTTGGCACAGCTCTGAGAAAGTCTCGTCCAGCTTTGGTATAGAAATTGCTCATAGATAAGACCCCAGTCAAGCGGAAATGGCCAGGCTTTAGCGTACACCCACTCTGCTCACCAAGAAGAAAACAACCTCAGTTTGAACACTGTAGAAGACGGTAAAAGTGCTGTAGCTGAAGATGGTAAAAGTGCCTTGGAGGCTGTCAGCTGACAGCATTTCTTGCAACTGAAAACAAGTTCTTCCTTGAAGGAAGATCTGAGCAGCGCACCTCCATGGCCACAGAAATTTTACAATACACATTTAATGATATTTCAGTATAGATAAAGATTATTTAAACAAATCTATTTACCTAAATGACAAATATAGAACACTACACTCAACTAAAAATATATATTATTTATTTATTAAAAGATATTGTATTGTGTATATTTGATGCTTACAACATGATGCTATGAAATATATGTAGATAGTAAAATGATTGTTCCAATGAGGCAAATTAACATGTATCATCTCACATAGTTACATTTTTTTTGGACAAAACATCTAAACTCTACTCATTTAACAAAAATCCCTAATATAATACAATTCAATTCACTAGAGTCTCCATGTTGTACATTAGCTCTCTAGACTTGTTCATGCTACATATCTGCTACTTCGTATCCTTTAACCTACATTACCCTATTTCTTTTCTCCTCAGCTACCCCTGGCAACCAATTTTTTATTCTCTCTGTATGTTTGACCTTTTTTTTTTTTTAAATATATATCCACATATAAGTAAGATCTCATAGTATTTTTCTTTCTATGTCTGGCTTATTTCATTGAGCATAATATCTTCCAGGGTCATCCATGTTGTGGCAAATGGTAGAATCTCCTTTTTTAAGGCTGAGTAATATTATACACACACACACACACACACACACACACACACACACACACACACACACACACACAGATTCTTTATCCATTAATCTATTGACAAACATAGTTTGTTTCCATATCTTGGCTATTATGAATAGTGCTTCAGTGAATGTGGGAGTACAGATGTCTTTTACGAGGTAGTAATTGTATCTCCTTTGGGTTTATATCCAGGAGAGGAATTGCTGGGTCATATGGTAGTTCTATGTTTAATTTCTTTAGAAACATCCATGCTGTTTTCCATAATGACTGCACAAATCTACATTCTCACCAACAGTGTACTAGGGTTCTCTTTTCTCCACACCCTTGCCAACATTTGTTGTCTCTTGTCTTTTTGATAATAGCCATCCTAACAGGTGTAAAGTTATATCTTATAGTGGTTTAATATTGCATTTTCCTGATGATTAATGTTGTTGAGCACATTTTCATATGCATATTGGCCCTTTTATGTCTTCTTTGAAGAAATTGTTCAGATCCTTTGCACATTTTTCATGAGACTGTAGTGCTGCCAGCTGTGCTCAGAAGGTAAGTCTCTTTGACCATTTTTTAATCAGGTTATTTGTTTTTCTGCTATGGAGTTATAAGTGTTCTTTATAAATTTTGAATATTAACTCCTTTTCCCCAGTCTGTAAGTTGCCTTTTTATTTTGTTGATTGTTTTCTTTGCTGTGCAGAAACTTTGTAGTTTGGTGTGGTCCCATTTATTTATTTTTGTTGTGTATCCTGGACATTTGGCATGATATCCAAAAAAATTATTGCCAAGGCCAATGACGAAGAGCTTTCCCCCTGTTTTCTTATGGAAGTTTTGTGTTCAGGTCTTACATTTAGGTGTTTTATCCATTTTGAGTTGATTTTTGTGTATGGTATAAGAGTCTAATTTCATTATTTTGCATGTGGAAATCCAGTTTTCCAAGCATCATTTATTGGAGATTCTTCTTCTTTTTTTTTTTTAATTCTCTATGTCTTTTTTTTAATTTTTTTTTTAATAGTATTTATTGATCATTCTTGGGTGTTTCTCGGAGAGGGGGATTTGGCAGGGTCATAGGACAATAGCGGAGGGAAGGTCAGCAGATAAACATGTGAACAAGGGTCTCTGGTTTTCCTAGGCAGAGGACCCTGCGGCCTTCCGCCGTGTTTGTGTCCCTGGGTACTTGAGATTAGGGAGTGGTGATGACTCCTAACGAGCATGCTGCCTTCAAGCATCTGTTTAACAAAGCACATCTTGCACCGCCCTTAATCCATTTAACCCTGAGTGGACACAGCACATGTTTCAGAGAGCACGGGGTTGGGGGTAAGGTTATAGATTAACAGCATCCCAAGGCAGAAGAATTTTTCTTAGTACAGAACAAAATGGAGTCTCCCCTGTCTACTTCTTTCCACACAGACACAGTAACAATCCGATCTCTCTTTCTTTTCCCCACATTTCCCCCTTTTCTATTCGACAAAACCGCCATCGTCATCATGGCCCGTTCTCAATGAGCTGTTGGGTACACCTCCCAGACGGGGTGGCGGCCGGGCAGAGGAGCTCCTCACTTCCCAGACGGGGCGGCCGGGCAGAGGCGCCCCCCACCTGCCAGACGGGGCGGTGGCCGGGCGGGGCCCCCCCCCCACCTCCCGGACGGGGCGGTTAGCCGGCCGGGGGCTGCCCCCGACCTCCCTCCCGGACGGGGCGGCTGGAGATTATTCTTTCCCCCATTGTGTCCTCTTGATGCCCTTATCAAAAATTAGTTGGCAGTATATGTTTGAGTTTTTTTCTGGGCTGTCTATTCTGTTGCATTGGTCTGTTTCTGTTTCTATTCAGGAATGATTATGCTGCTATCAGAACAATATGTCTTGATTATTTTAGCTTTATAATATAATTTTAAAGCAACAAGTGTGATGCCTCCAACTTTGTTTTTCTTTCTCAGTATTGCTATGGCTATTTGGTGCATGTGTGTGTGTGTGTGTGTGTGTGTGTGATTCCATATGAATTTTAGGATTATTTTTTCTACCTCTGTGAAGAATGTCCCTTTGGAATTTTGATAAGGACTGTACTGAATTTGTATATTGCTTTGGATGGCATGGACATTTTAACATTATTAACTATTCTAATTCATGAACATTGGATATCTTTCCATTTATTTATGTTGTCATTAATTTCTTTCAACATTTTATAGTTTTCAGTGTAAAAATCTTTCATCTCCTTGGTCAAATTTATTCCTAAGTATTTTATTTTTTGATGCTATCATAAGTGAGATTGTTTTCTTGATTTGTTTTTCAGTTAGGTCATTATGTTTATATAGAAATGCTACTGATTTTTTTATGTTGATTTACATATTATTTTTAAATACCCTTGGTGGGCCCTAATGCAAGTCTTTAAAAATGTACAAGGATTGAAATGACACAGAATATATTCTGTGGGCCCAGCATAATAAAAATAAAATCAATATCAGAAATAAAATGGAAAACCCCAAAATGTTACTAAATGAAAAAACACTCATCCAAAGCCATAGCTTAAAGAAATCACATTTAGTTAAAATGAAAGATAAAATAAGATATATAAAAATTTGTGTAATGCAGCTAAACTGTGCCCAAAGTCTAATTTATAGTTCTACTTGCATATATTAGAATAAAGATGTTTCAATATTTGATGTTAAAGCTTTTTTCTCAATAATTTAGAGGAAAAGAGCAAATTAAAATGTTAGAAACAAGATTATAAAAAGATAGAACACACACACACACAAACAAACAGAGAATATCAACAAAGCCATAAACAGGCATTTAGGGATGATTGACAAAACTATTGTTCTAAATCAAGGATTGTTCAACAAAACGAAGAGAAAACAGAAAATACTAATACCAGGAATAAATATAGGATAACATTACATTTTAGTATATAGACATCAAGAATATACTAAGAATACAGTATGAACAATGTTTTGTAAATAGATTTGACAATTTAGGACAGATTTCCTTCAAGAGATGATTTACCAAAACTGACAGAATAAGGAATTAAGACCTTGAGTTTACTCCTCATCTCTCTTTCTTCTACCTGGAAACCACACTAAGTGAGTAAATCTACTTTTTGTTTCCCAGAATCGTTAGTGAAGCTCAGATAAGCATTCAAAGGGCATTTAAATAAGTGGGGACTTAAAAAAGAAAAAAAAAAGGTAGTAAAAATCTACCTTTGATTTGAGATGCAGGGGGAGTCCTTTACTGGAGGTCAAAGGGGGAGTTGTCAAGGGGAAAAGATGAAGTTTCTTAGAGGCAATACCAGGCTCTCAAACTGACAATAAGTGGATTTCTAGTGTATCCTCTTACTAAGTGTAGCCTCTTACTGGGCTACCACTGAAATACTAGTGCATTTCCTTTCAGTAAATAGAAGTGCATCTCATTCCTTTTATCAATTGCAGAATCTTCCATTATATGGATCTTCCAAAATTTATTTTAAAAGTCAAACATCGATGGCCATTTGAGGTTGTTCAAATCATTGCTATAACTCAAAATTCTGCAGCAAATGTTAGAGCTTGTCGCAATTGTTGCGGGTGTTTCCTGGAACACCATCAGAAGCGGATGGAGCAGGAAGCTTGGTCTCTGGGAATGCCTCCCCGCGTAGTCTCCTTCCATCAAAACATCAGAATAAGGGGTCCTCCTAGGTCCGAGGATAAAGTGTTACTTGTCAGTTTACCACAACAGCATGATAGTCATCTAACTGATGTCAAAAAATAAGAAACATTGACAGCGAATACACTTTTTGGCAGAAAATTTGACCTTTCCAAGGGAGCTAAAGTTCAGTACAGTGACTTATGCTAATGGACAAAGTGTCCTTCACGTAGTCGTGGCCGAGTGGTTAAGGCGATGGACTAGAAATCCATTGGGGTTTCCCCACGCAGGTTCGAATCCTGCCGACTACGGTCCCTTTCTTGTTGGAAAGGGAGTCTACTGACACCTTGCCAGATTGAAAGTCCGGTGTCTTGCCAGGTTGAAAGTCTGTTATTGTCTCTCAGGAAGAAGCTTGCTTGTTCCAACCTGTAGGCTTTTCCTCTTTATGGACCCACTAAAAATACTCCATGTCTCTGAAACAATGAGGAAAAGTCATACAAAAAAAAGTACTTCTATCACAGTCGTATTATTGATGTTTTCCTTTGCCCTAAGAAGAGCTCAGGGTGATGTTTTTCTGTTTCCTGAAACAGATGCCCCATTTTGAAGACAGCTTTCCTTAGAGAAAAAAATTGCTAGGAGTGTTTGTGTCTCACAGAATTGTCCCCTTATTAGGGATCTTCTCCAGTCAAGCAAATGCCCTGGTTTAACGTAGAAAAGGAAATTCCAGGAAATCCATGATCAAATACAAGAGAAAGTGGCACACAGGCATGGTCACCAAGATGAGAATCTATATTGGGCATTTATAAGCAAACCACTACATAATAAAAGATTATTGAGTAAAGCAATTTTTTACATAACCCAATTAAAAAAAAATCAACCATGTCAAGTGGAGTGGCCTGTCCTGGGGTCCAGGACAGTGGTGAAGCAAGAGTGACTAAAACCGAGGTGAGGTTGCGATTATATCCTGAGCACAGAAAGAGCCCCAGCTCAGATGCAGAATCTCATTGTGATGAACAATTATGGGTTAACGCATTGACCAAAAGAATGTTGACCACAGCTGAGTATCTTCCTAGGAATTCCTAGGGGAATTCACGCATCACTGCCTTGGCAGCTTAAGTGGAGCTTGTCCTCACCTCTCTTCTGCAAATCTTCAAAGAGTTGTGATTTATTTTACCTCATCCAAGAATGATTCTAATATTTTTTCATAAACAGAGTGCCGGCCCTGTTCATTGATAAAATACCAGATCCTTTCTTCTTTTATGTGTCTCTTTAGAGCACTGCATTTCAAAATTAGTGGGGCAGTGAGAGTAAACTGCCACAAATCCTCTACTGAGCAGTGCAGGCAGGAGGAACAAGACTTGTCTCAGTGTACGGAGATTCAGGTTTCCAGAGGAGGAGCCTGATCAGTTCTCCTACCCTCTCCCACATCCAGCATGCAGGTTCCTTTGATTCGGAAAAACAATCTAATAGAATTCTAGAATGTGAAAGCTAATGAAATGCTAAAGCCCTTTTGAGGAAATAATTCCTAATAGTAGAGTTAAGTATTCCATCTGACATATATGATCAGAAATTGAAAATATAAATTTGTTCAAAAAGATATCTTAAATGGGTGGGCGCAGTGGCTGACGCCTGTAATCTCAGCACTTTGGGACACCGAGGCAGGTGGATCACCTGCAGTCAGGAGTTCAAGACCAGCCTGACCAACACGGAGAAACCTCGTCTCTACTAAAAACACAAAAATTAGCCGGGCATAGTGGCGTGTGCCTGTGATCTCAGCTACGTGGGAGGGTGAGGCAGGAGAATCGCTTGAACCCCAGAGATGGAGGTTGCAGTGAGCCGAGATCGCGCTGCTGCACTCCAGCCTGGGGGACAAAGCAAGACTCCGTCTTAACAATGATAACAACAGAAACATATCTTAGAGAGGAGTGTTGGTAGCATAAATAGGAGCTTCTCTCCTTCTGGATGCTTTTTTCTGGAAAGCCCATGCAGACTCAAGTTCAGGTTCTGGGGCTGGAGCAGAGATCTTGAGCAAGGATTGATCTTACAGAATTTTGCCTTGTAGAAGAACAGCATTTGATCTAGTTTCTGAATAATGCCATCGAGTTCTAGAAGGGTTTTGTTTTGTTTTGTTTTGTTTCTCTTCCTACTACTAAGGAAGAGAAAAGATGTCTTATAGACAAGAACGTAACATGGAAAACGAGACACACTGATGGACAGTGTCATGAAAACCAGTGTTACAGTCAGTGCAGAAAAATAAGGAAACACAGTATGGTGCCCATAGTAAATAATACTGTAGTGTATATCTCTTTAAAAAAATTTCTTAATTGAAATAGAGATGAGGTCTCCCTGTGTTGCCCAGGCTGGTCTCAAACTTCTGGCCTCAAGTGATCCTCTCACCTTGGCCTCCCAAAATGCTGTGATTACAGGCATGAGGCACCTTGCCCAGCCACATAGTGTATATTACAAAATAAACAGACAAGAATGTTCTCACCACAAAGAAATGATAAGTGTTTGAGATGTATATGCTAAATACCATGATTTGATCATTATACAATGTATAAATGTAACAAATCATCACACTGTACTCTGTAAATATGTATAATTATTATGTGTCAATTAAAAACAAGATTAAAAAATAAAAAATAAAGTGAAACCACTGTTCCCTTCTGTGAATTCTTGGCTACTAAAAAATTGTCAATAAATCATGAACATGTAAAATTAATACAAAAATAAATAAAACAGGTGCATGTTTACCTAAAGCAAATAACTTTCAAGGCCTTGCCTGTCCCATACTGCTAAGGGTATTGTCAAACTTATTTTTATTTTTTTCTTTCATATTTTTTATATTTTGAGAACAAACAGTACCGCTTTAGGGATCTAGTTCTATAAGCTGACTTTTCATTGCTCCATCTTCAAAGCTCACAGAATAATGGAAGACACTCTCCGGTTTTATTTGTCTTCCACCTCAACTGTGGACTCCCTCACTGCTTGCTTGATTTTCACTAGAGGGGCTCATGAATCAGACCATGGCTTCACATGTCATTTCCTCAACTGCCTGGTTGTTCCTGCCTTTTTTTCTTTTCTGTTCTTTTCTTTTTTTTTTTTTTTTGAGATGGAGTGTTGCTCTGTTGCTAGGCTGGAGTGCAGTGGCGCAATCTCAGCTCACTGCAACCTCGGCCTCCCAGGTAAGCGATTCTCCTGCCTCAGGCTCCCTAGTAGCTGGGACTACAGGCGCGCACCACCACGCCCAGCTAATTTTTGTATTTTTAGTAGAGACAGGGATTCACCATGTTGGCCACGATGGTCTCAATCTCTTGACCTCGTGATCCTCCCGCCTTGGCCTCCCAAAGCGCTGGGATTACAGTGTTCCTGCTTTTGAGTGTGATGATGTCAAGATAAAAGGACATCACCCTTAAAGGGAAAGCATTAGAGAAAGAGCCATGGAAAACACAGAGTTTAAAATACTATTCTCATATTTCAGGTTTTATGGAGAGTTCTTTTCTAAAATAGTTTGAAACTTACTTGGGAACAGTGTTCTGTGATCCGAACTGCTAGGCAGCTCCTACAGGGTCCTTCCAAGCTCTGCTGCAAAAAAAAAATTTCCTTGGTACCAAGAAGAATAGAAGATATACCAAGAACTGATCATTATTGTACCATCAATGGCAAAGGAAAGGTAGGAGAGAGTAGCCATCCCAGATTGTTACCCTAAAGGGCAGTGGGGAGAAGCAAATGGCTTTTACTAGAGTAAAGAATCACAGGTCTCAGAATTTGACCCTACCCAGCTGGACTCCAGTGTATGCCATAGCCATGATGCAAAGACGATTTTATTGCATTGTAAATTTTCAACTGTTAAAGGAGGCATTTCCAAGTGTTCAACTGTCTGTGACTGTTTGGAAAAAAACCTATGCTGCAAAAAGAAATTTGTATTCTGTGATTCGATGGATAGTGGTCACCGGTTTAACAGAAGAAAATGTCACTGTCTTCCCTCCCCTACCCCACTTCTTGACCTTCACCCCCACACCCCAGGGAGAGTCCATACATCCCTTCAGAGCACCTTGGCCCACTTGCCCACTTGGAGGGAGACAGTAGAAAGAAGACGTTCTGGTAAGTGGGATTTTTTAAAAAGCTGATATTAAACAAAGGAGTTTAATCATTCTTACCCACAGACTCAAAGAGAAAAACATATAAAGATCAATTTTAACATTAGTTTTAGGTTACAGTGAATTTTAAATTTAATTCTGACATGCTTACAACCATCACCTTCTACACAGGATAGGCTCTGGACTCTCTGCAATCAATATATAAATAGGTTTGATCTAGCAAATCAAGGAAACATTATTCTACATAAATACAGACCAAGAATGTAGAGAAGGAAAAGAATTTCTCCAATAGAAATTTAAAAACTAGAGAAATTTAAAATTGCAACATGAGGAATACAATTTTCTCTCCTTCAGTAATTGAACTGCCTCCTCAGACCTAGTAATAGCTAGTGGCCCTGTGGGCAGCCACTTGACTGGCTTAGAGCTGTTCTAACAGAGAATATAACTTAGAAGGAGGACAAAGAATGAGATGAGTAAGAATTTGGACTAAAACAATCAGCAGATTCAAGTAAGGCAATATACTAAACTAGGTTCTTACTGTGAACTAAACATTCAATTAGGAGCTCTGAGAAGGTCATTCTTTCTATAAATAGTAGAAAACAGGCGGGACGCAGTGGCTCATGCATGTAATCCCAGCACTTTGGGAGGCCAAGACGGGTGGATCACCTGAGGTCAGAAGTTCAAGAGCAGCCTGGCCGACATGGTGAAACTCCCGTCTCTACTAAAAATATAAAAAATTAGCCAGGCGTGTTGGCGGGCGCCTGTAATCCCAGCTACTTGGGAAGCTGAGGCAGGAGAATTGCTTGAACTCAGGAGACGGAGGTTGCAGTGAGCCCAGATCACGCCGTTGCACTCCAGTCTGGGCGACAAGGCGAAACTCTGTCTCACACACACACACACACACACACACACAAACACACACAGTAGAAAATATTAAATTTTTGTGGTGGGCCAGGTGTTGTGCTTAGTGCTATAGACACAAAGGTAAACAAAACACAAGCACAGTTGCTGACCTTATGGTGATTGGTGTCTATTAGGAGGAATATTCTACAAATATAAACAAGCCCACACAGGGAGAGTTTAAGGAAACTGCTTGTGGCCAGCAGCATAATGGCACAAAGAGGGTGGAATACACAAATAAAAATGAAAACTGCAATTTCCAGGTGGATGAGCATTAGAAAGTTTGATTGGGGAAAAGTGTGAGTCTACCATTTCTCGGGTACAAGATTTATGCTTGTGGGCCTTGATCATTAAAGGAGAATGATTAATTCTGGAGGGCCACAACATGAAAGAAAAGGGAAAGATTAAGTTTAGCAACGAAATTAGCAGCATGGCTCAGATAAAGCCTGGAAAGTCATATGCTTTAGGTATGCATGTGCCTGCATTGGTCTGTGAATATCAGAAATATACTTGGACCATGGCACTGAGCACAGCAATTTCCAATAACCCTTTTCACCTTGGTATAGTAGTGAGTATAGCTTTGCCACTGGGGAAACAGATGCTTGGCCTGTCTCAGAGAATTTTGTAACAATTAGAGACATCTCTCATATATGTATTTTATGCATTTCCCAAAACAACAAAAAGCAGTTGGCAATTCTCTCTTCCACTTCATGGTCATGAAGTTATTGGGAAAGAGATTTTTAAATTCTTAAAAATTCCAAGGCACAGCCAGATAAGGTACTACATGTCTCTATAGTTCCAGCTTCTTGGGAGGCTGAGGCAAGAAGATCACTTGAGCTCAGGAGTTGGAGGCCAGCCTGGGCAAAATAGAGAGACTCCCGTCTCTTTAAAAAGAAAAATAAAAAGTCCAAGCCAAATAGGAAAAAAGGTATGAACTCTCTCACTTTACATGCCCCCTGATACAAAACAATTGGAGAAATCATTATCAAGGAGTTCACAAAAACTGTGGAAGACCATGGATGCTGAGCAGGGAATCACCTGCCTTTTGAATTTCCTTCCATGTCAAATAATTGAATTTAACTAAAAGGTTCAAAATCACCAAACATGATCTTAAACATGAAGCTGCTTTAAAAATATTACCTTTGAGGCTGGCTGCAGTGGTTCACCCCTATAATCCCAGCACTTTGGTTAGGCCGAGGCAGGTGGATCACATGAGGTCAGGAGTTCAAGACCAGCCTGGCCAACATGGCGAAACTCCGTCTCTACTAAAAATACAAAAATTAGCCAGGCGTGGTGGCACACATCTGTAATCCCAGCTACTTGGGAGGCTGACACAGGAGAATCACTTGAACCCAAGAGGCTGGAGGCTGGAGGTTGCAGTGAGCAGAGATTGTGCCACTGCACTCCAGCCTGGGCGACAGAGCAAGACTCCATCTCAAAAAAAAAAAAAAAATTGAATTAAAAAAAAACCTTTGAATTGTGGCCATATGATTCATTAATCTCAGCCTTGTAAATTAGGAGGCCAAAATTACACACCCAAAGCTGAGATCCTAGTCAAACCAGTTCTTTGAGTTTCTCTCTCTTTTCTGAGGGAGCTTATGAGTGCTGGTTCCTCGCATTACCCTTTGGGACATTAGAATGACACATATATAGGTCCAGCAGAAGGGAATAAAATAAAACCTGGCTGGTTAAGGGATGATTAAATTCCTTTTCAACCCTTACTGTGAGACCTCCACTCAGAGGAAGCCCTCAATTTAGGATATTTTTCCTTTCTTGTTGAGAAAAGAAGCAAGAGGGAGACAAAAGCAAAGTAATGCTCTTTTTCTTAACACTTTATGAGTATTCTGAATTCTGTGTAATTTAAGCCCAGATTTTTTCACTGAGTGTTATCTTGTTTGTTGTGCCACTTGAAGGTGATACTTGCCATTGCCGATTTATAAATATTTCATAAGCAGCATTTTGTTTAGAATTTCTTGTTGCTTTGGAAAACAAAAAGATACAGGGAAAAAATAAGCTCCTAAACTGTACGAGGTAAAATTTAGGAACTCCTAAAATATATAAGGTAAAAATTAAAAAAAAAAAAAAAAAAGGCCGGGTTCGGTGGCTCACGCCTGTAATCCCAACACTTTGGAAGGCCGAGGCGGGCGGATCACGAGGTCAGGAAATCGAGACCATCCTAACACGGTGGGCTAACACGGTGAAACCCCGTCTCTACTAAAAATACAAAAAATTAGCCAGGCGTGCTGGCGGGCGCCTGTAGTCCCAGCTACTCGGGAGGTTGAGGCAGGAGAATGGCCAGAACCCGGGAGGCGGAGCTTGCAGCGAGCCGAGATCGCGTCACTGCCCTCCAGCCTGGGCGACAGAGCCGGAATGTCTAAAAAAAAAAAAAGAAAGAAAGAAAGAATCAGATAAAGCCGCAATCATACTTAGAAATTTTAACACAATATATATCCCTCAGAAACTAATCAAAAAGCAGAAGAGGGAAGGAAAACAGTAAAGATGTAAAAGTTTTAAACAAAACTATTCCTGAATTTTACCTAACTTACATACGAAGAACACTACACACTTCAATTTTTTTTTTTTTTAACTCTGTTGCCCGGGCTGGAGTGTAGTGGTGGGATCACTGCTCACTGCAGCCTCGACCTCCCCGGGCTCAGTGATCCTCCCGCCTCAGCCTCCGGAGTAGCTGGGAACACAGGCGCCTGCCACCATACCCGGCTAATTTTTTTGTAGAGACGAGTTTTCACTATGTTGCCCAAGCTGATCTGGAACTCCTGGGCTCCAGTGATCCGCCCACTCCAGCCTCCCAAAGTGTTGGAATTATAGGGATGAGCCACCGCGCCCAGTGGCATCTCAACTTCCGAAGACAAGTTTCTTTTTGAAGTATACATGGAACTAAAAACAAAACAAAACAAAACAAAAAAAACTTTTGCCTTGCCGATTTTCAAGTAAGTTTCCAAAATTTGAACAGTCTGAGAGATAAATACTAGGGTCTAGCCACAGTACATTTTGCTAGACATCAATTAGAAATCAAAAATTGTGTTATGTTTAGAAGTTAAAAAGTTTGCGTATGCCGGGGCAGACGGATCACCTGAGGTCAGGAGTTCGAGACCAGCCTGACCAACATGGAGAAACCCCGTCTCTACTAAAAATACAAAATTAGCAGGGTGTGCTGGCGCACGCCTGTAATCCCAGCTACTTGGAAGTCTGAGGCAGGAGAATCGCTTGAACTCGGAGGCAGAGGTTGCGGTGAGCCGAGATTGTGCCATTGCACTCCAGCCTGGGCAAGAAGAGCAAAAGAGCGAAACTCCGTTTCAAAAAAAACAAGAAAGAAAAGAAAGAAAGAAAGAAAGAAAGAAAGAAAGAAAGAAAGAGAGAGAGAGAGAGAGAGGGAGGGAGGGAGGGAGGGAGGGAGGGAGGGAGGGAGGAAGGAAGGAAGAAAGAAAGAAAGAAAGAAAGAAAATGTGCGTATGGTTCCAAGAAGATATCTAAATGGTAATAAAAATTATATTCAAAAGAATGACATTGAAAATAATACTTATGAAATATGTTTCATGCAGTCCAAAATGCACTTGGATGCTTAAACTCTTAAATACATAATTAATAATAAAATAATATCTGAACATCAATAATCTGAGATCCATTGAAAGAAATTAGAAATTAGCAAATTTTATCCAAAGAAATCTTAGGGAAGGAAATGAAGAAGAAAATGGCTGATTTAATGCAATAAAATTGAAACATAAGATGGAGATAAGCAAAAAAAAAAAAAAAAAAAAAAAAAAAAAAAAAAAAAAAGCCAAAATTTAGTTTGGAAAAAAATAACTAATAAAGTTGCAAAATGCTTGGCTAAACTGATTGAGTTTATCCAAGAAGGCACAAGTAACTGATCTCTGATATAGAAAATGGAGAATGGGAGGTCTAACAAATAAAAAAGAAGATGCAGCAAGGCAAGAAGTGAGGATGAGCTCCACTAAGCTTCCAAGGCAGTGATAGAATTCCCCTAGGAATTCCTTAAAAAGTACTCAACTGTGGCTAGCATTCCTTTGCATTATTTAACCATAATTAATTATAATGCATAATTCCAATGCATTATTTAACCATAGTTGTTAATCACACAATGTGATTCTGCACCTGAGCTGATTATCTTTCCGTGCTCTGAATATAGTAACACCCTCACTTTCTTTTCAGTACCTCTTGCCTCATCATCGTCCTGGACACCTGGACAAGCCAGTCTGGCTTGACGTCGTCAGTTCGTTTTTATATGATTTCAAGGAAAATTGCCTTACTTAATATATTTAATTGCTTAGTTGTTTGCTTAATAAAGCCCAAGTTATTCCCATCTTGGCGACCATATCTGAGTCTTTGCTTTCACTTGTATTTGATCCTGGATTTCCTGGAATTTCCTTTTCTGTATGAATGAGGATGTTTACTTTACTGAAGTAGATCCCTAACAAGGGAACAATTCTGTGAGACACAAACACTCCTAGCAACAATTTTTAAGGAAAGCTGCCTTCAAAACAGGGCATCGATTGCAGGAAACATGATAGCATCACCTTGGCTTTTCTTGGGGGTAAAACACCAGTAAGACTCTGGTGGAATTACCTTTTTTTTTTTTTTTTTTTCAAATAAGTACACATTTTCCTCATTGTTTCAGGAAGGTGGCGGAGTATTTTTAGTGGGCATATAAAGAGAAAAAGTCTGATCAGGTTGGAACAACCAGGCTTCTTCCTGGAAGACAAAGTCAGGATATCCCATCTGATAAGGTGTTATATCCCTTTTGCAAAGGGAAACGTTATCGTAGTCGGCAGGATTCGAACCTGCGCGGGGAAACCCCAATGGATTTCTAGTCCATCGCCTTAACCACTCGGCCACGACTACACAAAGAATGCTTTGCCCATTAGCATAAGTCACTGTACTGAACTTTAGCTCTCTTGGAAAGGTCAAATTTTCTGCCAGAAATTGTATTTGCTGTCAATGTTTCTTATTCTTTGGCATTAGTTAGATGATTATCATGCTGTTGTTTCAAACTGACAAGTAACACTTTATCCTCAGACCTGGGAGGACCCCTTATTCTGACGTTCTGACAGAAGGAGACTAAGCAGGATGCATTCCCAGAGATCAAGCTTCCTGCTCCTTCAGGGGATGGGGATGCAGGAGACACCCGCAACAACTGGGACACGCTCTAACATTCGCTGCAAATTTCTGAGTTATAGCGACAATTTGAACAACTTCAAATGGCCATTGATGTTTGACTTTTAAAATAAATTTTGGAAGATCCATAGAATGGAAGATTCTGCAACTGATAAAAGGAATGAGGTGCACTTCTATAATGCTTATGTGAAATGTACTCCAGGATATACTTTTAGCAAAATAATGTTAGTCACTGACATGTATATAAGACCTCACATTTTGCAAAATACCCTCATTTATATATTTGGCCTCACTTAGTCTTTACATCATAAATAAGGAAATGAGGGGCTAAGATGAGAATGCAAACCTACACAGCACCTGAGAATTAGATTTAGATCAGTAACCTACACCTCTTAGATGATGTTCACTGCTCTTTGCTCATGGACTCTATTTGTGCCTTCAGCATTATTTCTAAGTGCTCTACAGGAGCAAAATCAACAAGATTTTAAACATGTTTCTCAGGTATCCATTTATGAAACTAAACCGGTAAGCAGTGTATGCCAACAGTAAGCCTTAAAAGGGCGAGGCAATTGTCATCATCCAATATTTGTCAGTAAGCCAAACTGTCATTTCTCTATGTACCAGGATGTTACCTTTTAAGGAGGAGTACTCCACAAATATGAAATATGCAACTGGGGGAAAATTAGCTGATCCTAACCATTTTGTAGTATCTGAAGCAAGAATCAACCTTATTAATTTACCTAGATTTATCCTGACATTTATGTGTTTTCATCTTTTTGCATTTTTCTGTGCTGGACTCTCCTTAAGATTTTTGGAAACCTGTGTTCTGAATTCCTCCCTTTCCCTGGGCTAGAGTGGCTGGAGGCTTTGGCTCTTGGGAATGGTCTCGCGTCCTTCACCAGAACTTACGGGAATCATGTTTGGCTGAAGAGTCGGAGACCTCTCCAGAGTCATCTTTTCCAGTTAGGATAGAAACGAGCCCCCCTCCTCACCTCGCAAGCCCGCGCCAGTCCAGTTTTAGCCGTTCTTTTGGAAGAGCAAGTCAGTTGAACGCCATCGAAGAGGCTCCTGATTTAGATATTAATTGTGCTTAAATGCAGATGACTCCCCACTCTCATGCGTTCCCTTATTTCCCGTTGCTTCTCCCATTGGCATTTACAGACTTGAGGTTGCTTGGACTCTCAATTCAATACTCCTTTTCTGCGGGTTCGTGAGAATTAGGTGTGAACGTGATGTCCGCGGATATCAGTGGCTAGTGGGCAAGCTCCAGCGCCCAGGAACTTTGAGTCGCTTGTCTAGGAGTCCTGTATTGAATTGCAACACTAAGTGCAATATTCTGGTTCTTGTTGTGTTCTGAAAGAGCTCTTTCACTCATGAGGAGAGACCTGCACGAGACTGTGAAGACCAACTGCTTCTCAGCGCTCCACGCATCCATTATGAGTTCACCGCAGGATTTTACCTGCAAAAATTTTGCGTAGATTAAGTCACGCTTATTGCCTCCTACTTTTGTCAGTGAACATTATGTCACAAGCATTTTCCCAGAACTATTACAGTCTTCCAGCATGTCGTTTCTAGTGGCTTGGTAATGACCTATTAGGCAGATGGAGCAATAATAATAATAAACAACTCTCATTTTAATATCTATTTTTCACTATCACAATTAGAAATAAAAATAAAGATTCCTGCATAGTATATGTCTTCCTTTGGTTAAGCTTATTTCCTGGCTGGGTGCAGTGGCTCACACCTGTAATCCCAGAACTTTGGGAGGCGGAGATGGAAGAATGGCTTGAGACCAGGGGTTTGAACAAGGAGTTTAAGACCAGGCTGGTCAACACAGTGAGGCGCCGCATTTCTATTTATAAAATATAAAACAAACAAACAAATAAAAAGATTATTTCTCTAGGAGAGCGGTTCTGAAACTTCAGTGGGCATCAGTACCAGCAGGATGACTTGTTTTTTGTTTGTTTGTTTGTTTTTTGAGATGGAGTCTCACTCTGTCTCCCAGGCTAGAGTGCAGTGGCGCGATCTTGGCTCACTGCAACCTCCGCCTCCCAGGTTCAAGAGATTCTCCTACCTCAGCCTCCCTAGTAGCTGGGACTACAGGCGCGTGCCGCCACGCCCGGCTAATTTTTTTGTATTTTTATTAGAGACGGGGTTCCATCATGTTAGCCAGGATGGTCTCGATCTCCTGACCTCATGATCCACCCGCCTTAGCCTCCCAAAGTGCTGGGATTACAGGCGTGAGCCTCCGCGACCGGAAGGATGGCTTGTTAAAACAGACTGCTAGACACCCTCCTCTTCCCCCGCGCCCCGCCCGCCCCCCACACGAACCACACCACTCCAGTTTCTGATTCTGAGATCTGAGTTCAAGCCCAAGAATTTGCATTTCTCCTAAGTTCCCAGGTGGTGCACAAGCTGCTGTAAGAGGACAAAACTTTGCGAAGACTGCCCAGGGACAAATAACTTGAAAATAAATTTACTGTTTCAAAGGTTACAAACCGTTTCTAACCTAAATTGAAGATATAGCAAATGCCCCAGTAATAAGACCAAATAATATTTGCAAGAGTCCAACGAAGGGAACACATTTCTTACTATTTTAGAGGGAAAAACAAATGTGGGCGCGCTTTCACTATCAGAGACATTGCCGGCCTCGGTCATGGAGGTCACTTTCCCTTTGTATCTGCGGGGCCGACTCACTTCCATTCCCAGAATTCCGAGACTTTCCCCCTAACTTTTGTCTAAAAAGGAATCTGATTCAAGTCTACCCCTTATTTTTCCACTCTGACAATACTGTAGTATCTGAAGCAAGAATCAACCTTATTAATTTAGCTAGATTTATCCTGACATTTACTTGTTTCCATCTTTTTGCGTTTTTCTGTGCTGGACTCTCCCTAAGATATTTGGAAACCTGTGTTCTGAGTTCTTCCTTTTCCCCGGGCTCGGGTGGCTGAAGGCCTTGGCTCTTGGGAATGGTCTCGCGTCCTTCACCAGAACTGACGGGAATTATATTTACCTGAAGAGTCAGAGACCTCTTCAGAGTCATCTTTTCCAGTTAGGACAGAAACAAGCTCCCTCCTCAGCTAGCACGCCCGCTCCAGTCCGGTTTTAGCCGTTCCTTCGGAAGAGTAAGTCAGTTGAATGTCATCGAAGAAGCTCCTGATTTAGATTTTAACTGTACGTAAACGCAGATGACCCCCCACTCTCGTGCCTTCATTTAATTCCCGTTGCTTCTCCCATGGGTATTCAGAGGCTTGAGGTTGCTTGGACTCTCAATTCAATACTCCCTTTCTGCGGGTTCGTGAGAATTAGGTGTGAACGTGGTGTCCGCGGATTTCAGCAGCTAGCGGGCAAGCTCCAGCGCCCAGAAACTTTGAGTCGCTTGTCTAGGAGTCCTGTGTTGAATTGCAACACTATGCACTATGTTCTGGTTATTGATGTGCTCTGAATGAGCTCTTTCGTTCGTGAGCAGAGGCCCTGACGAGACTGAAGACCAACTATTTCCGAGCGCTCCACTCAACCATTATAAGTTCACCCCAGCCGTCAGCGATGGCGTAGGTAGGTAGTCGTGGCCGAGTGGTTAAGGCGATGGACTTGAAATCCATTGGGGTTTCCCCGCGCAGGTTCGAATCCTGCCGACTACGGTTTTACCAGGTGCAGTTCCCGCCTTTCCTCAAAACTTACCCAAATTCTTGTACTCCATTTGCTGCTCTCCTACACAATCCTCCCACTGCATATTCAGATAATATCCTCTTTACTCAGTGAATGGAGACTACCTTATGTTGCCGTTACTTCAAAACTGGTATATATCCCTGTGATCACAGCCAGCAAGACTTCAGCCTCTCCTGCACCAAATAGCGCCTTGGTATACTCATAACTACTGTCAACTCAAAAGAAGTCAGGATTCACAAAAAGCTTTACCACTAACAGGTAATTTTCATTAAATACTTAGTACGTTCCAAGATATGAGTTAAGCACCAACAGCATATTTTTATCTGCATTTTACAGATGAAGAAACTACCCAATGCTGCACAATGAAATGATATTTTAACTGAGGACTTCCAGATGGGGTCGTGAATTCAAGTTTTGTAAATTCCACTGGGGGCACCCCCCAAATTATCAAGTTGTTAGCAGATTCAGGGTTAGATTTATTAGTACCCAAAACGGATAAATAGCAGGTCATATTTTTCAAGTACTTACTACACATCACCATCAAGGTCTTTACATGGCTTATAATTTGTAAATCCTCACAACATAGTCATTATACAGACTGGAAGGTCCACAGGCATATACATATGGCCAAGGTCTCACAGCGAGAGGGCAGTAAGTTGTAACTTGAATTCATCTCTTGATTTTGGCTCCAAGACCCCGGCACCCAACAGGCGTCTCAGTCTTCTACCTGTACTGGGAATTAACACCACCTACCTCCTATCATTCAGAGTTGGTTCACTATTCTGACTTCATCCTGTCTCTACTGGTAATGAGTCCACAAAGTGGTATGATTTAAGCCGCTGGGTTTAGCCTGGGGTGTAATATTGCTGCCCATGGGGTGTTTGACGCTTGAGTTATCTATCTATCTATCTATCCATCTATCTATCTATCTATCTATCGTAAATAAACTTTATTTATCTGTTTCTCAGAGATGACACTGCCAATAATCACAGATTTGCATACGATACTTTGATGCAGGGCGTACCGCTCATCAGTCTACGGGAGTTTGTCTGTTTTTGAGTAGGGTGTTTCTTAACAGTTTATAAAGAGCTTGCCAACATTAGACCATTTAAGCTACTGAACACTAAAGCCTGATAGCAAAAAATACTTTTTCAGCCAACAGCATTTGGATGCACAGTACGACTGGTTTGACAGAAAGGTAAAAGACTATCTTCGCCACAGAGATGGAGAGAAATTGTACTTATGCTGCATATATTAGAAGTAAGTGAGGTAAAAACAACAACGACAAAAAAAAAAAAAAGAAAAGAAAAACAACTCTACAAAGGAAAGAATTACAAAGTTGCCCAGATTTTGCATTCGTAGTAATTAAAATCTCTGCTCTCCTGCATAAAGACCCAAAGAGCAGATTCTGTTTATCAGCACTTCCTACTTCCTCCATCATGTTCAGGGGACAAAATGTTTCCGTGGACTTCACAAATTATTGAAAGAAACAATCCCTTCAGGACGGGCCCGATGGCTCACTCCTGTAATCCCAGTACTTTGGGAGATAGAAGCGGAAGGATAGCCTGAGCCCAGGAGTTCGAGACCATCCTGGGCATAACAGCGAAAACCCTGTCTCCCTCCAAAAAACAAACAAACAAAAATTTCGCTGCTGTGGTGGGGCGCACCTGTCGTCCTAGCTACCTGAGATCACCTGAGCCTGGGGAGGTCGAGGCTGTAGTGAGCTGTGATCCCGGAAAGTGGATTCTATTCCGCCTCCTTACCCAGAGGCAGATATATTGGGACTTGCATAGCTTCTAGGCCGTTTGACTAAGATCAAGTGTGCTATCGGGAGTTGTAGGAATTCATGGAATATATCAGGCCGAAAATTGATTTTGGTAATTTATGTAGAGAGCGTTTTCCCTGGGGAAAACAAAAGGTCCAGGAAGAGGATATATACATATATCTTCGAGCAGGTTCCACCGAGACTTGAACTCGGATCGCTGGATTCAGAGTCCAGAGTGCTAACCATTACACCATGGAACCCCTCTTGGTACGCTTCACCCAAATATTGCTCATGCTGGGTTATAGGCATTCTACTAAACGCATTTAATGTATCAAAGCAAAAATCCTTAGTTTATGCCCACTCAGAACACCCTTTCAAAGAAAACCCTGGGGGATCTATTTATTTATTTTTGCCGATTACATTGATCCATAAAGTCTCCCTTTCCCCTAACCCTCAATTAACTCAGAAACTTGGTGGTCCTGAGCCTTGCTTTCTTCATTAAGAAAAATTGAGCGACTTTTATACGTACCTGAACTGGACCGAACTTCTTCTATGCTTTCTGCAATTTAATGCTTAAAAGCTAGATTAAGTGGACGCTTCTAGTCCCCCATAAAAACGGGGAAATTAAGTCTTGGAGAACTCATGTCTTATCTGCAACTCTACTCAATTTCAGACACGGGATATTTTTCTCCACATAGGTGAGTTATCAGGTTTATTGCCTCTAGGAAAACAACCTTTAATATCTTGATTCCAGGGAATTCACAAAATAATTGAAGGTTCCGTGCGATCGACTGAGAATTATTTAAATTTGGCCTTCTCTCTATCAGGAAAACTAGTTGTAACAGTTAAGAAAAAAAATTACTCAAGTGAAATTAAGCATAAAGCTGCTAAAAAAAAAACTCTTTAAATTGAGGCTGCGTGATTCACTAACCTCAATATTGTAAATTGGAGGCAAATCTGCACCCACGCATGAAGCTATAATTCTGGTCAAACCGGTTCCCTGTGTCTCCCTGGTCTCGGAGAGGTTATGATGATACAATTTTGGGAGACTATAGACAGCCATTTCTAGGTCAGGTGGAGTCAGCTAGGTTAAGAACGAGGCTCTTAGCCGGGCGTGTTGGTGGGAGCCTGTAGTCCCAGCTACTCGGAAGGCTGAGGCAGGGGAATGGCGTGAATCCAAGAGGCGGAGCTTGCAGTGAGCTGAGATCGCGCCACTGCACTCCAGCCTGGGCGACATAGCGAGACTCAGTCTCAAAAAAAAAAAAAAAAAAAAAAAAAAAGAACGAGGCTCATTTTAAAGCAGGGTTTGATTGGAACCTTTACTGCAACTTCTACTCAGCATCATCCAGAGTTTCTCATAAGATAAATTGTATTTGAATTATATTTTCATAATTTGTTTTGAGGAAGGAAACATGTAAAAGTATGTCTAAGTAACAGTATTTATTTAAAGTCCCAGTGGATATTCTAAAGCCTGTAAAAATTGAACTCAAGATTTTTTTCTCCTAGGCTTTTCTTATTGCAGTTGCTCATTTGGAGGTAGTGTCCGGGATTTCCAAATTATAGCTGTTACATAAGTCATTCTCCATCCAGAATTTCTGGCTTCTAGGACATAAAGAGATGAAGAGGCCGGGCACGGTGGCTCACGCCTGTAATCCCAATACTTTGGGAGGCCGAGGCGGGCGGATCACGAGGTCAGGAATTCGAGACCAGCCTGACCAAAATGGTGAAACCCCGTCTCTACTAAAAACACAAAAATTAGCCGGGCGTGCTGGCGCACGCCTGTAATCCCAGCTACTCAGGAGGCTGAGACAGGAGAATCCCTTGAATCCAGGAGGCGGAGGTTGCAGTGAGCCGAGATAGTGTCACTGCACTCCAACCTGGGCAAAATCGCGCCGCTGCACTCCAGCCTGGGCAACAGAGCGAGACTCAATCTCAAAAAAAAAAAAAAGAGATGGAGAAAAAAAAAATCCAGGAGTTCATGGAAGTAAAAGGAGGAGCAGATAAAACCACAATTATAGTGTAATATTTTAGTGTAATATGCCTCTCTGAAAAACTAATAAAAGCATAAATGGAAAATAACTGTAAAGCAAAATAATGCAGTTCATATAACATACATATATAGAGAACAGTGCACATATCGACTTCAGGATTCAAACTTTTTTCAAACATACATCGAATTATCTCAAATTTGACATTTTACCGGACCATAAAGCAATGCTCCAAAAACATAACAGGGTTAGATACATGCTATTATTTCACAGCAATAAAACTGTGTCAGAAATCAAAACATAAAAATTAAAAATTGTATTTATTTGCAAAATGATAAAAACACTTCTAAATAATTCATGGTTTAAAGAAAAAATATCCATCAAAATTAGGACCTATTTTGAAATAAATGATAATAAAAATAGTACATATCAAAATATGTAGTATGCAGCTAGAAATGCACTAAGAAATCCTTAAATACTATAGTATATAAATAAAATAAGATTAGTGATCTAAGCATGTATTACATGAAATTAGTGACCAATCAATAATTTACTCCCAAGAGAATTTTAGAGAAAGAAATAATGAGGCAAAGAGCAGATATTAATGCATTATTAATGCAAACAACAGACATTAATACGAAATAGAGATGATCAACAACGTCAATAAAGTGGCCATCTTTTTATCTTTTTTGATTTTTATTGTGATAAAATACACAAAACATAAAAGTTATAACTTTAACCGTTTGTAAGTGTACAGTTAAGTGGCATTAAGTATGTTGCATTATTGTGCAGCCATCCCCACCATCTATCTCCAGAAATTTTTACATCTTCCCTATACCTGTTAACCAATAAGTCCCCATTTCCCCTGCATTTTTAGTAACAATAATATCAGGTTTTTGGAAAGAGATTGATAAACTCATTAAAAAATAATATGGAAGTGAAAAGGACTAAAGTAGCCTAACTCATCTTGAAAAAGGAAAGCAAAGTTAGCAGACTTACTTTACCAAACAGAAAGATAGAAAGGTAACATAATTTTTAAAAACATGACATTGCCCAAAGATAGACAATACCACGACGTAGAATCCAGTCTTTGAATAAATGGTGAATATCTAAAAGAAAAAAAAAGTGATCAGATAATTATCTACAAGGAAAAAAATTAAATTTACCTCTTTCACATTATCCTCTAAGCCATTTCCAGATTGACTGTAGATCTGAATATAAAAGTAAGCAAACAAAGCTTGTAGAATACAACATCGGGGAATATCTTTATGACTTTGACCCAAGGAAATATTTTCTAGACTTGATGCTAAAAGCGTTAGTCATAAAGGGCAATCCTTCCCGTCTAGATCTTCAAGTCCTTCAGTTCTGAGAATTTTTCTTATATTTCTTGGTAAAATTATCCTCCATTTTTCCTTTGTCTTGCTGGAACTCCCAGTAATGAGATGATATTGAATCTCTGGAATGGGTTGTTCAATTTTCTTTCCACTACTATTTTCCATCTTTGATGTTTTCCTACTGTTTTTGAAGTAGTTCTAAACTGTAACTTCCAAATTTTTCATTAAATGTTTTTCTTTTCCCCTGCTACTTTATTCTTTATTTCTAGGAGATCTTGTTTCATTATCATAAAAAGATAGTACCCCAAGTTACTATTTCCAGGTGAGATGAAGTGTGTTTTACATTTTTTCTCCTATCAAACACAACTATAAGTTATGGGCAGAATGCATGAAATAACTATTTGAAGACTCTGATAATAAAAGAGTAAACAAAAGAGTGTAAGGATGGAAAAAGAACACCAGAATTATCCTATATGTTCTCCCCAAATTGAGTATAGATGTAATGCAATTGCTATCAAAATTCCAGTAGAATTTTTTGGAGATAGAGAAAAGCTGATTCTAAACTTTATATGGATAGATGAAAGAATTAGAATAGCTAAATCAATTTTGAAAAAATGCAGTGAATAATCACATTACCTGATTTTCAGATTTAATACCAACTTCAGTAATCAAGATAGTAAAGTATTGGCAGAAATATAAACATGTAGATCAATTGATCAGAACAGAGATTCCAGAAATAAATTTACACAAATATGGCGAATTGATTTTTGACAAAGGTGCAAATAAAATAAATGAAGAAATTAAAATTGTTCAACAAATAATATTGGGACAATGGGCTATCCATATGCAAAGGAAAGAAAGAAAGGAGAGAAAAGGAGAGAAAGAAAGGAAGGAAAAAAAGTAAGGAAGGCGTGGAAGAAAGAAGTGAAGGAAAAGTGGAAGGAAGAAAGAAAAGATATCCTAACATAAATCTAACAATTTATACAAAAATTAACTAAAAAATTGATCATATATGCAAATGTAAACATAAAACTATAAAACTGTTAAAAGAAAACATAACAGAATATCCACATGACCTTGAGTTGGGTGATGAGTTCTTAGATATGGCACTTTCCAAAAAAGAAAAAAAAATACATTGGACTTAATCAACTTTTAACACATTTGCTCTGCAAAAGAAACTGTTAAGACATTGAAAAAAATAAAGACTGGCAGAAAATATTTGTAAGTCATGTATCTGATAGAGAAATTTTATCTAGAATATATAAAGAATCCTTAAAACTCAGCAATAAGAAAACAACCCAATAAAAATTGGGTAAAGGCATAAACACTTTACCAAACAGAGTATAAGGATGGCAAATAAGCACACAAAAAATGTTTGACATCATTAGCCATTATGAAATGCAACTTTTTTTTTCACAATTGCCCCAAACTGGAAACAAATGTCACACAACACAAATGTCCTTCAATGAGTGGATAAACTGTGGTACATCCGTGCAATGGAATTCTATTCAAGAGCAAAAAGGAATGAAATTTTGATATTTGTAACAACTTGGGAAAATCTTCATTTATTTCTTTTTTTTGAGACGGTGTCTTGCTCTGTAGCCCAGGTTGGAGTGCAGCAGCGCGATTTAGGCTCACTGCAAGCTCCGCCTCCCGGGTTCGCGCCATTTTCCTGGCTCAGCCTTCCGAGTAGCTGGGACTACAGGCGCCCGCCACCACGCCCGGCTAATTTTTTGTATTTTTAGTAGAGACAGGGTTTCATCGTGTTAGCCAGGATGGTCTCGATCTCCTGACCTCGTGATCCGTCCTCCTCGGCCTCCCAAGGTGCTGGGATTACAGGCGTGAGCCACCGCTCCCAGCCAACTTGGGTAAATCTTAAGGCATTATGCTAAGCAAAAGAAGCTGATCTCAAAAAGTTACATACTGTATGATTCCATTTCTACATTTTCCAAAAGGCCAAAATATACAAATGGAAAGAGTATTTATGATTGTCAGCTGCTATGTGTGGGATTAGGATGAGACTATAAAGGAACAGTGCTAGGGAGGCTTATGGACTGATAGAACTGGTGTGTATCCTGATATGGTAATGGGTATGTGTATATACATGTAAGTGCTTTTTAAAAGTCAATTTTACTTAATACTTTTTAAAAATACAGATAGCTCCCATTTGTGGCATAGACTGTACCTTCTCCATGGTTTCTGTGAGAAACACTTTCACCGAGCTCTTGAAAGAGTTTATTTTGAGCAGGGTTTGGAGGAGAGAAAACCCGGTGAGACCCTGGAGCACTGCACGTTGCCAGTGAAGGAGGATTACTGTGGTTACTAGCTTATTTACTTCGGGCAGCTCAGCGACATTTTGACAGCAAACACATACACCGCCAGGGCAGAATTAGAGAGGGGCTAACGATGATATAAGTGCTCCTGTTCGTTCCGCTTTACATTAACCAGAGGGGTGAAAGATGATACAAGTTCTCCTGTATTTTCCGTATTATATTAACCTGACCCCATTTTAGGGTAAAATTTCAAACGTAGTCGGCAGGATTCGAACCTGCGCGGGGAGACCCCAATGGGTTTCTAGTCCATCACCTTAACCACTCGGCCACGACTACAGACATGACAGCATGACTACAGACATGACAGCACAACTACAGACATGACAGAACTTCGGAAGCACTAAGATAAGTGTATCCACCACAGGAGCATCTTTATTTTGAACAAACCGGGTCAATTCAGAAACCAGCTCCCCTGGGGGCAAGTTTGGCTCTGTGCTGGTTGCTGGAGTCCTCGAAACTGAAAACAAATTTACTCACCACGGAGGTGGAGCCCGGCCTTAATCCTAGTTTTAAACCTGGGACCTTTTGCTAGACGATGGGACCTTCTGCTAGAACTTCCAGGAGACCAACCTCTCCTCACTGAATGACACTGTTGCTTAATGGATTTCAGAAAAGGAAATGCTCCCTCAGCTAAGCTGAGGGAGAGAAAAACGATACAGAAAACCTCTGGATCTTCTCACTTGGTGTCCCTAAGCCCCTAAATGTAAACCTAAAATATTTATCTCATTGTGTTTGGGAAATTGTTTTGCAAATGACAACGCGCTCTCACTTTCCAGACGGGTTAAGAAGAAATTTGCAAGTAAAGCCGGCCCGTGAGTTCTTTTCCTGGAAAATCCTAGATCCTAACAGACCCTAGTTACTTTCTAAAAAATTGAACACTTGGTTTAATTTTCTGAACAATGCAATGGTTGATCAAACCAATTTAACCAATAAAGCACATGTCCAGTTCTCCTTTTTACGTTTGTAACTCGCCAGTTCCTTTAGCAGAATGTCCAGATGCTCTATAGAAATGAAATGAAATGAAAAAAACAAAAACAAAAAACCAAAAAACAAAGAACTCTAAATGTGGATGCCAGATCCCAAGATGCATAGATGTACAGATCCCACTTTATGGTCAGAAAAATGTTAATCGACAAAATGAATTTGATGCATCTTGAGAAAGCTAATTGTTTGGTTTTAATATATTATATTTAACCGGAAGTAACAAAGTGCCTTTTACATAGCATTCTATTTAATTCATATATCACGGAGAAAGTTTTTTTCCAGAAAACTGAATCTTTTTCAAAATCAAATAATTTCCTTTTATCTGTACCTAGAGAAAGTTAATTATGTCATGACTGATAAACAGAATAAATGTGGTCATGGAAAGTAAGAATGCATCACACTTACTTTCTATATATAGATGTTTATATCGAACAAGAGCATTACTAATGTGTTTTTTATTGGCCATCTTTGGAAAACGTGCAGTCATTTGCTTTAAAAGATTGTATAATGTATTTTAAATCTTTATTTTCAGCTGGGCGCGGTGGCTCACACCTGTAATCCCAGCACTTTGGGAGGCCGAGGCGGATAGATCACCTGAGGTTAGGAGTTCCAGACCAGCCTGACCAATATGATGAAACCCTGTCTCTACTAAAAATACAAAAATTAGCTGGGCGTGGTGGCATATGCCTGTAATCCCAGCTACTCCGGAGGCTGAGACAGGAGGATTACTTGAACTCGGGAGGCGGAGATTGCAGTGAGCCGAGACTGAGCCATTGCACTCCAGCCACTTCAGCCTGGGCAACTAGAGTAAAATTCCTTCTCAAAAATAAATACATAAATAAATATTTATTTATTTTCTGCCTGTCCCTTTAGGACTATTTTTGGAGCAGGCCTCTGTCATGAGGGTTTCTGAAAAATTATTTGAAAGTCGCAATCTTTTGTTATGAATAAAAAGTTTATAAGAATTTTTAATCAAAATATATATGCAAAATAATGTTTAAAGTTCTATTAAATATTCTCAGGTGAGAAGGACAAAGAAGGCTTCATGAATTCTACAAACCTCTAAATGCTCATTAGAGGTAACATGCTCATTAGAGGAATTATTTCAGTAACTAACAAATTCAAAAAGCATATGATTGTGAAAGTTACTGAACAAGACAGTTGATCAAACCAAGGACTACTTAAGGAAAACATTCAACGACATCAAAGTCCTTGGATCTACATTTCGAGGGTTCATCTTTCTTGTGTCAATATGTGAAATAAATGTCTCTCTTTCTTTCTCTCTCTTTTTCTTTTCTTTCTTTTTTGAGACGGAATTTAGCTCTTGTTGCCCAGGCTGGAGTGCAATGGCATGATCTCGGCTCACCGCAACCTCCGTCTCCCGGGTTTAAGCGATTCTCCTGCCTCAGCCTCCGGAGTAGCTGAGATTACAGCCATGCGCCACCACGCCCCGCTAATTTTGTATTTTTAGTAGAGACAGGGTTTCTCTATGTTGATCAGGCTGGTCGCGAACTCCCAACTTCAGGTGATCCGCCCGCCTGGGCCTCCCAAATTGTTCGGATTAGAGGCGTGAGCCACCGCGCCCGGTCTTAATCTTAATTAATTAGAAAAATTTGCTGGGCGCGGTGGCTCACGCCTGTAATCCCACCATTGTGGGAGGCTGAGGTGGGCGAATCACCTGAGGACGGGAGTTCGAGAACAGCCTGACCAACAAGGAGAAACCCCATCTCTACTAAAAATACAAAAAAAATTACCTGGGCGTGGTAGCGCACGCCTGTAATCCCAGCTACTCGGGAGACTGAGGGAGGAGAATCGTTTAAACCCGCGAGGCGGACGGAGGTTGCGGTGAGCCGAGATCGTGCCACTGCACTCCAGCCTGGGCAACAAGAGCGAAACTCCTTCTAAAAAAAAAAAAAAGAAAGAAAGAAAGAAAAAGAAATCTTGCGTAATGATAGCTAACTCACACTTGGGGGTGTGGAGGGGAGGAGAAAGAACACTCATAATCCCACCTCCCCGAAACCAGCAATAGTAGCACATTGGTCTCTTTTCCTCCTCTCCCCATATTTTGAAGTCATATAGAATATAAAGTGTGCCAACATCCTCCAGCCAAAAATGTTCAGAAATACACCTGTAGTTGAATAAATTAGGTTTATTATTCCTTACAGCAAGCAAGAACACACACCATAAGGAAGCGTAGGGCACCTCGGTAAGATTATTATAAAGTATTAATACTTACAGGATCTACATATCTTGTGTTAGGTGATTTTAGGGGAAGTTTTAAAGAAGCAGAGATTGTTCTTGATTAGATGCTGTCTGAAAGCAGTGGGGAATTCTGTAATTAGATAGCTTAACAGATCTTATCTAGAAGGAGTAAAAACAGAGCTAGACTAGCTTCTTGGAAAACCTGTTCTCTGGGACTGTGCGTTTTCTTTTGGCTCCTATGTCCTCCCTCCCTTGGAAAGAGACTTCTTTGGAACACCCATCCCTCCTTCACTAAGGAGCAGAGCGTGAACTTTTTCTGAAGGAGAGACAGTCACAGAATCCTCCTTTTTCAGTTAGGCTCCTCTGGTCAGCTCTTCACAGACTCTGCCGGCTTTCCTGTTCAAATGCACTTTTGTTTTGGGGTTTTTTGGTCTGTTTGTTTTTTGAGACGAAGTCTCACTCTGTCGTCCAGTCTGGAGTGTGCAGTGGCGCGATCTCGGCTCACTGCAACTTCCATCTCCCGGGTTCAAGTGATTCTCGTGCCTCAGCCTCCTGAGTAGCTGGAATCACAGGCGCGCACCACCACGCCGAGCTAATGTTTTTGTATTTTTAGTGGAGATGGGGTTTCACCATGTTGGCCAGACTGGTCTCAAACTCCTGACCTCAAGTTATCCGCCCCCCTCGGCCTCCCACAGAGCTTTGATTACAGGCGTGAGCCACCACGCCCGGCCTCAACTGCACTTTTGAATACATAGTAATCCTTTGAGCTGGGAAGAAGCAGCCCAGGTTAATGCCATCAGAGTCATAGTCCCAAAGTTGATGAGAAATGAGAGTCAAACCACACTTAATTGGAAAGAAATTGGATTTTTAAAAATCTACAAGCAAAAGTGAATCCACTAAAAATTAGATAGCTCTAACTTATTTTCCTTTTTTTTTTGAAACGGAGTCTCGCGAGTCTCGCTCTGTTGCCAGGTTGGAGTGCACTGGCGATCTCGGCTCACTGAACCTCCGCCTCCTGGGTTCAAGCGATTCTTGTGCCTCAGCCTCCCTATTAGTGCCGGCCACCAAGCCCGGCTAATTTTTGTATTTTCAATAGAGACTGGGTTTCACCATGTTGGCCAGGATGGTCTCGATCTCCTGACCTCGTGATCCTCCCTCCTCGGCCTCCCAAAGTGTTGAGATTACAGGCGTGAGCCACCACGCCTGGCCTCAAATTTCATGTTAGTAAGAATTATGTCAAATGCCTCCCTTGTGCAGCGTAGAGACCACAGAGGGAAATTCTTTGATGTAATCTGTACCCTCCCTACCTCTTCCTTCACGTCAGAGAATGAGAGCCTTTCTGTGGGCTTCATAAAAGACTCAGTAAAAAGAAAAAGAGATTCGGAGGCTTATTGGCTGGTTTTCAATTCTGAAGAAGGAAGGGTGGTTCCTCTCCAAGGAACTAAGGTCTCCGTGGACAGTGTGGTCCGTGGAAGAAACCAAGTTCTGAGAAAGCGATGCCGGCCAGGAGGGGAGAGGGGAGTGGGAAGCGAGTGTGCCCCGAAACCCGTGATAAGTAACCTGGGCTTCGAGGCTCTAGGGATGCAAGAACTTTTCCCCCCAGCTCAATCTTCAGCTCCGGTTTAAAACTCCTTTCTGCGTTGCGTTTTTGCAAACAGTTCAGAGCTCGCATTTTGCTTTGTTTTGCTTCCTGCAAATTTCAGAATTAATTACAGTATTTTCTTTTCTGGATGCGATATAAAGTTGAGATGTCATCGGGCCAGAGAAGTTCCTCACTGTCTATAGTTAACTAGCGTATAGGGACGAATGAATGACCTTAAAGCTCTTAACCATTGGATTCGATCTCGCCGTGGAGGCATGGATTCCAACCCTCCAGTGACGGTCGTATTTGTTTCTGTCACATTGCACCAAGCCATCTTTGGGTCGCAGATCACCTGAGATTTCTTCTCTTCCCTCCACAATTCTCCTCCCGTTTCTCAGACCACAAATGGTCGCCAGTTTCACTTCGCCAAACTTGGATTCTCCCGCGCTTGAGCGTCACTTTCAACGACTTCATTCCTTTCTGTCCAGGACGACAAGAAGCCACTTAATTGACCGCCCCTAACGGAGCAAGTACCGCTGGGCCACACCGTCTCACTGAAAGGCGGAAAAGCAAAGAAAATGGCGTTTTTACATCTCAGTCCAAACAGCCGCTAAAAGAAAATTCCCAAGTTACAAAACCTGGGAGAGTTCTAAAGCCACCTGGACGCAGTAAATTTGTGCCACAATGTCATCGTTTGCTCTGTGAGCTTGTTGACAAAACTCACGAAACTCCTTCTTAAACATAAACAAAAACACAGATATGAAAAAGAACGAACAAGAAGGGCCTATCTTTCGAGAGAAAACTCTGGACTGGAGCTAGAGGAAAGGGACTTAGGGGGCTCGGCTATGTATTAAAAATACCATCCATTGTCAAATGTTGGAAGTTCCTCAGATTCCATTCTGTGAAATCAACTGTCCCAAGCATGGAGTTGGAGAGACCAGATTAAATGAGATATGGATTTTGATCCTTAGTCAAACTATTCCTTTTTTCCCCCCATGTATACATTTAATAACATGAAAGCTATGAAAGATGCAAAAACACAAAATGAACTTAGTATCCCTTTTACACCCTAATATTAGTGGGGGCAACGAACACACAACTAAAGCAATAAAATGTCTTTGGAAAACAGGAGGGGAAGGGCCCAAGCTTGATCTGAGAAACCCAGCAATTGCTAAAATAGCAGTGCAGCATTTACTGAAGTCTCTTCTGCCAGTGGCTCCCATATGTCCATACCTTGGAATGCTTTTGGCTGGTGCTTCAAGAACAGACCATGGACCTAGCCTCCTAGCTTCCCCCAAAGGAATTCCTGCAGAAGACTATGGGAAAAGCTTCTTTGTGATCTTCTTTGTTTGGAATGATGGAAAACATGAGAAGTGAAAGGTATCCTCTCATCCCCAGAACACCACCATAATAGCGAGGATAATGACTCAATAGAGTTTCTTTTTTTAATTGTATTTTTATGTTTTTCTAATAACCTTAACATGTACATGTTTTTTTTCTAATAAACTTAAGATGGAAGTTTCAAATTTGCATAATGCTTCATACTTTTTCAAAGCATTTTCACGTTATTTTATTTTTTATTTATTTGTTTGAGATGGAGTCTGGCTCTGTCACCCAAGATGGAGTGCAGTGGCGCCATCTCCGCTCACTGCAACCTCCGCCTCCCAGGTTCAAGCGATTCTCCTGCCTCAGCCTCCCAAGTAGCTGGAACTATAGGCATGCGCCACCATGCCCGGCTTATTTTTGTATTTTTAAGTAGAGATTGGGTTTCGCCATGTTGGCCAGGCTGGTCTCAAACTCCTGACCTCAGGTGATCCGCTCGCCTCAGCCTCCCAAAGTGCTGGGATTACACGCATGAGCCACAGCGCCTGGCCTCATGTATGGTATTTTAATCAGCCCATGCAATAGCCTTTTGACTTACAACAAAGAAAGCAGAAACCATAAGGAACTTGCCTTAGATCATACAGCCAGTTAGTGGGGCGAGCATCCACAGTGCATGGTTGGCCCAGCATTTCCAGCCCATCACTAAATACCTCTCTATCCTGTTGTCACCTTCTCGGACTTCTCACTCTCCATATCCAGGCTGCTTGTCAGTTCACAACGCAATCTAACTATATAGTTTTCAAAAGGAGAAAAATACAAATCCTTCTTTGACAAGTACATAAAGATGCAAAAATAATTGTGGCACTCTTCTTTATTGCTTGTTTATGGATGTCTTTCCCAGATGAAAACACCCTGCTGGGGAATAATCCTGCCGGAATAATTCCCCAGTCCTGCTGGGGAATAATCCATTGAACTGTTATTTCTTTGTACACAGAATATTCCTTAGTAATAGCAGGACCCTCACACCAGGAAATTATTTGCTAAATATTTCCCACTGTCTCACAGCTTGATCTGTCAATTTTTCCCAGACATAAAACATCTGGGCTGGTATGATAAAACACAGTACATTAAAAAAGATGTTCCCCAGATGTAGAAGAGGACAGCTGTCCTCAGGATCTGTCACGGGGCCAGCTGGGGGCTTTCGTATTTCCCCAAGACCCTTTTCCAGCTGCATCTCAGCATAGCTTTTATATGACTGGATAGCTGCATAAATCGCTAAAAAGATAGCCATGGAGAAATAGTGGTGACTCCAAGCTATATGGTCATGTGATGATTTTCAAGGCCTGCTCATAGAAAAATGGGATGGGATGATCCACTTCCCAGTGTTTTCACTCAGATGAAGGACTTCACAGGACTTCACACTTCTTCAGTGTAGAACTCATTCTCTTCTCCAGTGTGACAGACACACCACTGAGTCCTCAGCTTTAGGAAAAAAAATCCGTAGAAATCCTACTTATACAAGTTCTGTCTTGCAAAGAGTTACTGGCCCCAAATGTTTATTCGGGGAGGTAACTGGGAGAAAAGCTCATTCCATGCCGGGTTTAGAAAAATCTGAGTAAATACTCCGTAGTCATGCAAACTTACAAGTGAAAATGATGAGTGTTAAGTAGAAAACAACCAGAGACAACAACAGCAAAATCCCAACTCTGCGTTTCTTTTTCTTTTTTCTTTCTTTCTTTTCTTTTCTTTTCTTTCTTTTTTTTTTTTTTTTGAGACAGAGTCTCGCTCTATCACCCAGGTTGGGGGTGCAGTGGTGCAGTCTCGGCTCACTGAAACCTCTGCCTCCCTGGTTCAAGCGAATCTCCTGCCTCAGCCTCCTGAGCAGCTGGGTCTGCAGGCGCGCACCACCATGCCCGGCTAATTTTTGTATTTTCAGTAGAGATGGAGTTTCACCATGTTGGGCAGGCTGGTCTCGAACCCCTGACCTAGTGATCCGCCCACCTCGGCCTCCCAAAGTGCTGGGATTACAGGCGTGAGCCACCGTGCCCGGCTCCAGCTTTGTATTTCTTAAAATTCTCTACGGTGTTTAGGACATCCTGTCACTCTCAGGATCACCTTGCCACTTAGGTTTCTCTGCCCTTCCGGTGCCTGCAGAGTGCACTTGTATGTCCACGGGTTGCAGCTGGTAGTGTTTCGGATCTTCAGGGAATAGGATCTTTCACTGGGACCCCAGAAGAGCCATTTTGGCCCTTCTGATGATAGCGCTGTCCTCTGAGGCGCAGATCTTCCTGGGGTGCCTGCACCCTCTCTTCACCGCCCTCCAATAGCTTGACCTAGGAGACCATGTAGGGCACCTGCGGTTCCGAGGGGACGGTGCAGGGCAAGTCCACATCCTCAGAGCAAGCCACCTGCACCTCCCATGTTGCGGGCGCCAGGCTATAGGGTTTACTGGTTTATTATAAAGGATATCGCAAAGGATACAAATGAAGAGGCACGCAGGGCAAGGTATGGGAGAAGGGACGCCGAGCTTCCAAGCACTCTCTGGGCGTGCCACCCTCCAGAAACCTCCACATGTTCAGCTGTCCGGAAGCTCTCCAATTATTCTGGAGACGGAGTCTCGCTTTTTTTTTTTTTTTTTTTTTTTTTTGAGACGGAATCTCGCTAAATTATTCTTTATTTCTTGGCACAAGTGAAAATAGTTATTGAAAGGCTCAGTAACTCCTCCGTGTCAGGGATTGCGTATCCCTTGTGTTGTCTCATTTTTGTGTTTATTGAACTTTCACGGTGACTGGAGCAGAATGTTTTCAGGAGACTTATTATATGAATAGTCAAATTAATTAGCAACCTCAGGACAAAACGGGGGGAGCTCAAGCAGGCTCTGTGGCGCAATGGATAGCGCATTGGACTTCTAGCCTAAATCAAGAGATTCAAAGGTTGCGGGTTCGAGTCCCTCCAGAGTCGCATGTTGCATTTTGTGATCTGAGTGGATACCTGTACCAGTAATTTCTCCTTATATTAATTAATTGGACGTTTTTCCCAGTCAGCGAATCCCATTTTCCTGTAATTTATTTTCTGCTTGTAGTGTTAACATCTGAGGAGCTTCTTCAGAAACGTTGCCACATATAGACGTCTGCAGTCACTAGATGACCAAATCAAAGGGAAAATAATAAAAGTTGGATATTAAAATGAATACCAGTAACTGTTTCTTCCTTATGAAAAACAACTTTCTGGGGCAGATAAACTTATTGTTATCCCAGCCTCTGCTTGAGAATTGCTGGCAGATGTTCTAAACTGTGCCTGTAAGAATTCTGCAGCTTCCATTTGGAAACACGCCTGTTTTCTAGCTGGTGAAAACTCAAAACTCAAGTCTGCTCTTCATCTCATCCTGAACCTCAATAAGCGATCGTTGGTAGTGCAAATATTTCAGCTCTAAGAAATTAATTAAAATTAAATTCGCTTTTAAATGAAATATTGTGGATGAGGGTGTCCAGCACCGATTTTGATCCAAAACAAAGATCGGTAAAAGTCCTCCCCCACCCAATTGTACAAATAGAGCTGGAAAATGTCTCCTTTTCATCCTAGAACACTACTTCCTTAATTTCCTCCACTGGTGCCTAGTTTCAAGTATCCTGTGCATCTTCCCAGAAATTTTATATGTATGTTAACATTAATAATATGTAATATATTTCTGGGAAGATGCATATATATGCATATATGTATACACACATATATACATATATAGATGTATATCTCCACTCATCTTTGACTGAAGTGATATCATTTAACATATGTAGTGTTATTTCATTCTTTATATGAATTACATAATATGCCATAGCATGGATTGTATCATTATATTACAAACACGTCGCACCTTAAATCCAGATTGCCTGCCATCAGGTGGTCTGGCCCATTGTCACTGACAGTTCTTGGAAAAGGCTCTTCTGTTTGTGGAGGGTGAGAAATAGAGGAAAGATACCTTCTTGTCGACCACAGACCTGCTGTATTTCCAGCAATGCCTGTGCCTGGCATGCTCCCATGTGGAATAAAGAGAGAATTGATCAACCTGTGCCTTTGCTTGCTTAACAGAATAAATCCCCCAATAAAGCCCTTTTTAAAAACCATGCCAAGCCGGGCGCGGTGGCTCACGCCTGTAATCCCAGCACTTTGGGAGGCCAAGGCGGGTGGATGACGAGGTCAGGAGATCGAGACCATCCTGGCTAACACGGTGAAACCCCGTCTCTACTAAAAATACATTAAAAAAAAAAATTAGCCTGGCCTGGTAGCAGGCGCCTGTAGTCCCAGCTACTCGGGAGGCTGAGGCAGGAGAATGGCGTGCACCCGGGAGGCGGAGCTTGCAGTGAGCCGAGTTTGCACCACTACACTCCAGCCTGGGCGACAGAGAGAGACTCCGTCTCAAAAACAAACAAACAAAACAAACAAACAAAGAAACATGCCATTTGACATGGTGGATTTTCCCCCCACCTTGCACAACAATTTGGAAATGATGTACCATTTCACTAAGATCAGCTAATGTCATGACTCACCATATGTAGAATATTTATTATCCACTACATACTCCTCTTCTTATGATATAAATTACATCTAGTCAGGTCAGGCAATGAAAGGGGTTGTGATAGATTCGCAGCTTCTTACCCCTATTTATTCCTGTATAGAGTTCTCAGTAAATTATACTCTCTTACTCCAGCTGCAATGCCAACTTTATCATGTATTAAATTTACACATATGTGCAGATGATTTCTGAGCTCTCTGTTCTATGACATTTTGTTTATCCTTGCACCAACAATGCATGCTCTGAATGTCTTGAGACTTCTAATAAGTCATGATACTTAGTGTGGTAAATGCCACTATCTTTTCCTTCTTCAAAATTCTCTTGACTGATGTAATCACCCGGCTCACATTTTCTGTTTCTCTTCTCTCAAATATTACAAGCTGGCATTGTGTTTCCAAAACACTGGTATCTAAGAGCTGTATTATATATTTTTTCTATTTTTCTAATTTTTTTATAGCCGGGGGACAATTCTCCTAGCAATTCATTTTTCACGAGTGGAAGCAGAATTTTCATTTTCAAAAAATGCACCACGGGCCAGGCGAGGTTGCTCATGCTTGTAATCCCAGCACTTCGGGAGGCTAAGGCTATTGGATCACTTGAGCTCAGGAGACTAGCCTGGGCAACATGGTGAAACCATGTCTCCACTAAAAATTCAAAAATTAGTTGGGCATGATGGCACATGCCTATAATTCCAGTTACTTGGGAGGCTGAGGCATGAGAATTGCTTGAACCTGGGAGGCAGAGGTTGCAGTGAGCTGAGATTGTGCCACTGCACCACTCCAGCCTAGGCAACAAAGCAAGACTGTCACAAAGAAAAAAAAAAAAAAGCACCACAGAGATCACCAATTATTTTGAATATCTCATAGTATTTTGTTAAATTTTTTGATTACTTAATCTGACTATCTTAATCAATTGATTAATTTATTTTTATCTATATAGCCTATTCCCTATATCATTCTTTTTCATACGAAACCATTCTAATGAATTAAGTGTTTACATTTTATGATAATGTTTTCTAGAAGAATATGTAATGATATTTTGTGCATGTCTTTTTATATTCTATAAATTATATTTTAAGTACATATCATTCCATTTCTGACTTTTCCCACAATCATCATTATTTTATTTATCTAACATTTAAATGCCAAAATCAATACCTCATAGTATATATCTGTGATGATTAATTTTATGTGACACCTTGCATGGACCACAGGATACCCAGATTAAGCATTATTTCTGGGTATGTCTGTGAGGAGATTTCTGGATGAGATTAGCACTTTTTCCTCACCCTTTCTCAGATCTCTGCCAGTTAGGCCTAAATTGTCTAAATCAATTAATTGTCTAAATCAATTAATAATATCAGTTACGCATATTATTTAGGAAATTACAAGTCTGTAAATCCAAGAAGAAAAACAAATGTTAATTTCATTGGCATCTACCTAGGGTGACGTAAGAAATCAGGGGACAGTGAGGCTTATGTATTTCACAGCAAACCTTCTAGTAATACTGTACATTTTAAACTACTACAGGGATACTAAAGGAACTTCTAGTGAGACATACAGAATGCATTAGTTTTTATTTTTAATGTTGGGAGTACTTATAAAGATGTTACAAGGTAGGAAAAAACCCTCAGGGATAGTTCTCCAGGACAAGTAACAGTAGGGGTATCGCCCCTGTATAAGAAAAGGCATGGGGATAGTTTAATTACTTGAACCCGGGAGGATAGAGTCTTGAGCACTACCTTAAAAGGAGGTGTGACCTCCAGTGAAGGAGTGTGCCCATCTGTTACCAATAAATACCAGTTTACAGTGACTCTCGGAAAGGTTGTTACTGTGCTTTGTTAATGACCACTAAGGCAAGTCTTACCCAGAATATGCAGGATAATATGAACAATTGTTCGTTTTTCTGGTCGAGTTACATTTATCTCTTGTCAGAATTTTAATGCGAAAACGAAGAACAAAGTTTTACATTCTTAAAATGTGATTTCTTTCCGTTGTTGATTGCATTACACGCTGCATTCCATACATGGCCACTAGAAGGCAAAGGTCTTGAAGGTGGAGTTAGAAGAGCGGTCCTATTCATGCAAGGAATGTCTGCCCTTGTCTAGAATGATGTCATCACATTGATTGGCGTCAAGAGGGGACATCAGTCATATGGGCCTGTTGGCGCTGTGAGGCAACGGTCTCAAGAGTCCTCGAGAGAAAGAGAGGTGTTGCCCCTCCCTGGGGACAACCTGACACTAGGTGTGGAGCCAGTCGCGGGGATGGGCGACCGCCATGGGGCCAGGGGCGGAAGTGGGGATAGAGCACAGGGTATAAAAGACTCCTGCTACAGCTCCCCCTCTGCTGTCGGGTGCAGACACGAGGTAGCCTCCAGGTGACAACACGGGTGGTGAGAGCCGCCGCATGAATCCACACTGCGGCTGAAGGTCAAGAATTGGCGGTAGCCCATCGGTAGCCCAGAGACCCAAACTGTGTCCGATGTGAGTGAAGGTCACCCCAGATCAGTGCGTCAGTTCCGTTTTGGCGGCCAAATTTCTGACGATCCCATGTAAGAAATGCCACACCTGTCAATAGGAGCGACTCACGCGCTGGGTCTCTTTCTCGGATCGGGTCGCCACCCCAGTGCCGGGACTATGCTAAAGACTAGAGTCTCAGACTTGGAATTTCGAGGAAGGTGTTCCAAAACGCTGCGCTCCCTCCGGCGAGGGACAAGAGCAGGAGCCTGGCTTGCCTGGGTCCAAGGACAGTAGCTGGGAGGGGTGTGGCAGCCGCTTAGCTTGAAATCTTTCAGATACCCCACCGAAATATCATAAAGAGCACAAAGAACTTTTACGTAGGAACAAAATAGTGAATCTACAACACCTTAAACGCCTGATAACTTCACAATGCATGCCTAGGAAACCAAATAGCAGTCAAATGGAGTTAGTCCCCAGAGAAGAGGAAACGCAGAGGAATCTGATAGGGAGCAGGCTTCAGAAATATTGAGCTGCCTCTCTCTTCTAGAAGGAGAGAACCAACCCTGAGCTGAAATTTCTGCAAATAGAACTGAGATTATACCAGACAATGTCATGGCTGAAGGAGGGTAGGAAAGTTTATAAAGTGCTTGTGTTGCTGGGCACAGTGGCTCACACCTGTAACCCCAGCACTTTGGGAGGCTGAGGCGGATGGATCACCTGAGGTCAGGAGTTCGAGACCACTCTGGCTAACATAGTGAAACCCCGTTTCTACTAAAAACACAAAAATTAGCCGGCCGTGGTGGTACGCGCCTGTAGTCCCAGGTATTGGGAGCCCGAGGCAGGGGAATTGCTTGAACCCAGGAGGTGGAGATTGCAGTAAACTGAGATCATGCCACTGCACTCCAGCTTGGGCAACAGAAGGAGACTCCACTCCGTCTCTTTAAAAAAAAAAAAAAAAAAAAAAATGCTTGTGTTTGAATTGGTACTTCGTCTTCAAACATCAAGGCAATACCATTCATTACTTTTGTCCGTAAAAAGAAGTCTAAGTATTTCAGAGCTGTGGGCAAAAACCCTCCAGACCTGGGCTAGGTTTTGAAAGCCAAGAGAAGCATGATTGCAGAGGTGCCAGCCTCAGGCTTTTATTGAAACAACACAATAGAGAATCTTTGACATCTGAAGTCTACACAGTTACCCTGCCTTCTCTGCTCTCACAGGGGCCTATGCTACCAGTTCAGGAAAATGTGTCTCACTTATATCTGAACAGAAAATGAAGTATGCTGGGCCGGGCGCAGTGGCTCACTCCTGTAATCTCAGCATTTTGGGAAGTTGAGGCAAGAGGATCACCTGAGGTCAGGAGTTCAAGACCAGCCTGGCCAACATGGTGAAACCTGATTTCTACTAAAAATACAAAAGCTAGCCAGGTGTGGTGACGCACACCTGTAACCTCAGCTACTCAGAGGCTGAGGCAAGAGAATCACTTGAACCCAGGAGGTGGGGGTGGCCGTGAGCCAAGATGGTGCCATTGCACTCCAGCCTGGGCAACAGAGTGAGACTCCATCACACGCACACACAAAAGAAGTATGCTGGTATCCACGGATAGCTGCAATAAAAATAAATACAAAAATTGCAATCTGATCTTTCTATATACAAGTTTGCCCAAAAATATGGCTACAAAGAAGAATATAAAATAACATAATTCATGATTAATTTATAAAAAATTATAAGAAGGTATGAAAGGAAAATAAATATCAGGACCCCCAAAATCACTAAACCAAGGGAAAAGTCAAGCTGGGAACTATGTCAGGGAAACCTGCCTCCCGTTTTATTCCTGAATAAGATAGGTACAAAGATAAGAAGGTACATACCTTCCTCACAATTTGCCCACAAGGAAATTCCTTGTGGACAAAGAACAGAGAGAACTCAAAGTCTCCCTCTGAGGCTCACCTGAGACACGTGTAACTGATTGCTTCATCTGCCCTATTGTTTACGTAAAAATGCAGATTCACTGAGCCAGACTAAATTGTGTTTTCAGCGGAAGGCTTATCAAGGACTCAGAATAATGCAACCTTTTGTCTCTTACCGACTTTTAACCCCCTACTTTTAGTTGTCCTGCCTTATCAGACCGAACCAATATACATCTTACACATACTGATTGATGGCTCATTGTCAGAGGCATTGGAACCAGAGCCACTCCCTCTTGAATACCGGCTGGGTGAAATAAGGCTGAGACCTACTGGGCTGCATTCCCAGGAGGTTCAGGCATTCTTAGTTACAGGATGAGAGAGGAGGTCGCCACAAGTTACAGGTCACAAAGACCTCACAGATAAAAGGATGCGGTAAAGAAGCCGGCCAAAACCTACCAAAACCAACATGGCGAGGAGAGTGACCTCTGGCCGTTCTCACTGCTCATTATAGGCTAATTATAACTCATTAGCATTCAAAAAGATACTCCCACCAGCATCATGAGTTTACAGACACCATGGCAACCTCGGGAGGTTACCCTATGAGGTCTGTATGATCTGAGGAACCCTCAGTTCCGGGAATTGCCCACCCCTTTCCAGCAAAAGTCATGGAATAATCCACCCCTTGTTTAGCATATGATCAAGAAATTACTATAAGAATAAGCTGCAGAGCAGCCTATGCTGCTGCTCTGCCTATAGAGTGGCCATTATTCCTTTACTTTCTTTAAAAACTTGCTTTTTACTCTATGGACTCGCCCAGAATTCTTTCCTGCACGAGATCCAAGAACCCTCTCTTGGGTCTGGATTGGGACTCCTTTCCGGTAACATCATGTCTCCCTAAAATGTATAAAAGCAAGCTGTACGGCCGGGCACAGTAGCTCACACCTGTAATCCCAGCACTTTGGGAGGCTGAGGCGGGCAGATCACCTGAGATTGGGAGTTCGAGACCAGCCTGACGAACATGGAGAAATCCTGTCTCTACTAAAAATACAAAAAATAAAAAATTAGCCGGGCATGGTGGTGCATGCCTGTCATCCCAGCTACTTGGGAGGCTGAGGCAGGAGAATCACTTGAACTCAGGAGGCAGAGGTTGTGGTGAGCCGAGATCGCGCCATTGCACTCCAGCCTGGGCAACAAAAGTGAGACTCCTTCTCAAAAGAAAAAAAAAAGCAAGCTGTACTTCGACTACTTTGAGCACATGTCGTCAGGATCTCCTGAGGCTGGGTCACGGGTGTGTCCTTAATCTTGGCAAAATAAACTTTATAAATTGATCGAGACCTGTCTCAGATACTTTTGGGTTAAACAGAAGCAATAATGTCTATAAAGAAAAAAACACAAAGCAGAAACACAAGAATTCAGGAACTACATTGCCAGAAATAAATATTTCATGACAAGAAAAATAAAGACTGTGAAACAGAAAATTACGGAACTCATAGAGACAAAGGAAAAAAATATTCAGGATTGAAGACTAAAATTACAAAAAGCGCAAGGCGGGTACCACTGATAACATGTAAGTGGATAGTAAGAATAGATATGAAAAATAGAAGAACAACAAAAATGTAATCAAATTAATTATAAAAATAATTATAGATATAGAGCAGGTGTTGATGATCTACAGCTGTGGACCAAATCAAGACTACCGCCTATTCTTGTGTGGCCTTGAGCTAAGAATGTTTTTTCTATTTTTAAATGGCTCAAAAAATGAAAAGAATTTTATAACGTATAAAAATGATATAAAATTTTATTTTCAGTTTAAAATTCAAATTAAGCTTTATTTAAATAAAGGTTTTTGGAACACAGTTGTACTCATTCATGTGCTATTATATTATATGTTGCTGCTTTCATACTACCCTTCTCAGTGCCAGAGTTCAGTAGCTGCAGACCATATGGCCTGCAAAGCCTAAAATATTTACTATCTGATCTTTTACAGAAAAATTTTGCCAACTACTAATGCAGAATATAGGCAAGGGAGATTTTAAAAATACACGGATGTGTGGAGGGACTTGGTGGCTCACCTCTGTAATCCTAGCACTTTGAGAGGCCAAGGCAGGCAAATCACATGAGGCCAGGAGTTTGAGACCAGCCTGGCCGTAATGCTGAAACTCCTTCTCTACTAAAAATACAAAAATCAGCTGGGCATGATGGTGTACGCCAGTAATCCCAGCTATTTGGGAGGCTGAGGCAGGAGCATCGCTTGAACCCGGGAGGTGGAGGTTGCATGAGCCAAGATCTCGCCACTGCACTCCAGCCTGGGCGACAGAGTGAGACTCTGTCTCGAACAACAACAACAACAACAACAACAAACCCACATAAATGGAATTCCCCCCTCCAAGATAAGAATTATTGAAACAGAGCAGAATTTGCACTACATGATAAAATATTCATAATCTAAAAGAAAATTTGAATATATCTATTGAAAAATCACAAAGCATACCAGAGAAAATTGATCTCAAATAGGATAATTTCTAGTATTGTTATTTGACTTTGAAGATAAAAAAATATTTGGGTAGCAGCTACAAATGTCAAGTCAACACCAGGGGAAAGAAAATCGTATTGGCATCTGATTTCTCTACAACAGCATCAAATACCTAAAGACAGTAGAGCAACACCTACTATACACTTAAGGAAATATAGGGTGAATAAGGGGTTGTATATATTCAGATAAGCTGCATTTTTAAGTCAAATATTCAGGATAAACCACTTAAAAATGCAAGAGGTCAGGATATATTGATCACATAGACTTTCCTTCAATAAACAACTACACAAAGTATTCTAGGCAAACAAACAAACAAATAAAATGACTGGGGAAATTACAACAAAAGAATTAACATGGGGCACTGAATATATTAAACTGCAGATTACCAAAACACTGAGAAAGATAACAGTAACTAGAGAAAATGTAAATGGTATATGCTATGACAATATAGAGATGATATAACTAAAAATTTGAAGGAGTATGGAGCAATACTGCAGAATTTAAGTTCACTGTACAATCTCTAATAACTAAGATAAAAAGTATTATTTAAGAGTGACAAATATTCTGTGCCTATGATTATTTAACTGAACCAAAGCAAAGAGTGAGAGACACTAAAATTTGGTTGGAAATAAGATGGAAAGAAGGAAAGAAGAGAAAGCAATCCTATCCTATGAGTTAGTTCCAATAGAAACCTGAACAGCCACCCTTTAGAACAGAGCTCTGCTAAGAGCTGAAAACATTGTGAGTAATGTTAGTAGTCAATTGCAACAAAGGCAAATGCCTTTGAATGATTTCCCCTGGCTCTTGATGTGTGGATAGATGGATAGATGTTACCAATACTACTTAGTTTACTTGATAATAGGGAGTGCTAACTTTGAATTTCAAGTAACTGAAACATTATTCCCTCCAAAAGAATCTCATTCTTTTCATTAGTAGGCCTATACTAGAAAAAATGTTGCTCAATTCTATAGTTATATTTTAAATTTTGTTAACAGTGTTGTTTTCTCAGCTGAGCGTGGTGGCTCATACCTATAATCCCAGCACTGCGGGAGGGCAAGTCGGGTGGATCACCTGAGGTCAGGAGTTCAAGACCAGCTTGGCCAACATAGTGAAACCCTGTCTTTACAAAATACAAAAATAGAAAAATTAGCCTGTCTTGATGGTGGGTGCCTGTAATCTCAGCTACTCAGGAGGCTGAGGCAGGAGAATCACTTGAACCTGGGAGGTGGATGTTGCAGTGAGCTGAGATTGCGCCATTGCACTCCAGCCTGGCCGACAGAGTGAGACTCCATCTCAAAACAAACAAACAAACAAATGTTGTTTTTTCTCTTACAATATAAAACTTACAGAATACCGTTGAGTTTTCCTCTTGACCCATCTGATCTTTTTACAGAAAACATTGGCTGACTCATAACATAGATCATGTTGGACTAGGGTAATATGAAGTAGGGCAGGAATAGTTGAAATTGTCAGCTACTGGAATTTGATAACATTTCTAGGAACAAGAATATTTTACCTTTTAGAGGAGTTCGTTTGGGGGACTTGAATTCAAACTCCTGATATTTGACTCAAAGTTCTCATGGTATTACTTCTCTACATTGTTTCAAAGTAATATTCTGGGTATTCTATCTGAGAAACAAACAAATTTAATTAAGCAGGCAAAACTAAGCAAACAAAACACCACCAGATCACCAACCACACACAAAATAGGTAAAATTAGATACCCGACTGCCAATTGTTGCTTATAATATTTATATTGTCTTTCTTGGGAAATGAAAGCCTCTGAAAGCTAATAAATACTAGTATGAAAAATGACCAGTGCATGAACTTCTTTCACCTTAAGTCAGGAAACCATTTGTGATAGGCTGAATAGTGGCCCCTCACAGATGTCCACATGCTAATCCCAGAAACCTGTGAATACGTTACCTTACATGGCAAAAGAGATTTTGCAAAGTAATTAAGTTTAGGATCTTGAGATGAGAAAAGTATCCTGGATGATCCAGTTGGGCCCAATATAATAAAAGGGAAGTCAAGAGTGAGAGAGAGAGAAAAAGAATATGTGACGATGCAACCAGAGGATAGAGTGATGTATGGGCTTTGAAAATGGAGGACTAGCCTGGCACGGTGGCTCACACCTGTAATCCCAGCACTTTGGGAAGGCATGGCAGGCAGATTACGAGGTCAGGAGTTTGAGACCAGCCTGGCCAACATGGTGAAACCCCATCTCTACTAAAAATACAAAAAAATTAGCTGGGCGTGGTGGCAGGCACCTGTAATCCCAGCTACTTGGGAGGCTGAGGCAAGGAGAATCACTTGAACCTGGGAGGCAGAGGTTGCAATGAGCCGAGATCACACCATTGCACTCCAGCCTGGGCGGCAGTGTGAGACTCTGTCTCAAAAAAAAAAAAGGAAAGAAAGAAAGAAAGAAAAAAGAAAATGGAGGACTGGGCCTTGAATCAAGGGATACAGGTGGCCGCTAAGAGCTGGAAAAGGCAAGGAAACAGATTCTCTTTTGAAGCCTCCAGGAGGAACAAAATCCTGCTTGATCTTGGACTTCTGACTGTATGAGAATAAATTTGTGTTAAGTTACCAAGTTTGTGGTAATTTGTTGCAATAGCAAAGGAAACAAATAAATGACTTATTACTCAATAGTGATTATAAAACAAAGAGAGAGGTTCTTCCTAATCCAGGGTTTCCCAGTCTCAGCACTATTGACATTTTAGGCTAGATAATTCTGAGTTGGTTGCAGATGCTGTCCCATGCGCTGTAGAATGTTTAGCAGCATCCCTGATAACTAATCATTAGATGCAAGTAGCACCCTTCCTCAGTGTGACAACTGGAAATGTCTCTAGACTTTGGCAAAATCACTCCTAGTTGAGAACCACTGTTCTTGTTCTTCTGCCTCTCACATCTCTCTTATCTTAGAATATATCACATCGATCTCTTTACTTCACCCACCATACCACTAGGCCGGTAGAGTAAAGTGATGGGGAGAAGGTATGTGAGGAAGGAAAGAAAAAGGCCAGCAGGTGAAGAAAAAGAAGAAGGTCTGGTGAGGACAATGGAGACGGTAAGACATGCAGAATTATGGAAGAATTCTCAAAATGCCTGCCACTTACTCTCACAGAGAAGTTAAAGGACTGAAAATAGGAACTTATAGTCCTCTCCTTATCTATATTTTAAGACCTAGATTTTAAGACTGAGCTATTACTATTATTCCATGTAGAAATTTGTAAATATGTAATTTTTATTGAAAGGACAGAGGAAAGAAGAAAGAGGGAAAGGATTTCTAAACCACACTGGTCCAAAAAGAGCTGAAAGAAGGGCAATGTTCTAATGATAGCCTGCTTTATTCCAGCTGCGCTAACCCAACCTTTCTGGAAGCCAGGCATATGGCAAGATTTGCTGCTTTCTTGGCCTGCCCTGCTCAGGAATGTAGCCTTTTGCTTTCCTGTGGGCAAAGCTGAATTTATTGATTTGTTCATTCATTCATTCATTCTTTCATTTCACAAATATTTGTTGAATGCATAGCCAGGTTCTGATTCTGTAATTGGTACCAAAGATACAGAAGTAGAGCAGTGGAGGGAGACAGACAAATACATCAAACTAATTGGTGCCAACGCACTCTCATCAAAGGCCTCCAGGGATACACCTGGAGTTGAACAAGTTGGGTTTATTACATGTTGCAGTGAGGGAGAACACACACCGTGGAAACCACGGGTGTCTCACTAATAGGGTGTTAGAAAAAAAATTATAAAATTTAGACTTTGGCGGGGTGATTTGGGAGAGGGTTTAAGAAAGTAGGGCTTTGCCATGCTTTGGATACTGTCAGGAAGTGGGGGTAATTTTTTGTTGTTGTTGTTGAGATGGAGTCTTGTTCTCTCGCCCAGGCTGGAGTGCAGTGGCGCGATCTAGGCTCACTGCAAGCTCTGCCTCCCGGGCTCACGCCATTCTCCTACCTCAGCCTCCCCTTCTGCCCACTACTTCAAAAAATACAAAAAATTATCCGGGAGTGGTGCGGGCGCCTGTAGGTTCAGCTACTTGGGAGGGCGAGGCAGGAGAATGGCCTGAACCCAGGAGGCCAGGAAGCGGAGCTTGCAATGAGCTGAGATGGCTTTACTGCACTCCGGCCCAGGCGACAGAGCAAGACTCCGTCTCAAAAAAAAAAAAAAAAAAAAAAAAAGAAAAAGAAAAGAAAAGAGAAAAGAAAAGCTTATTTATTTGTTTATTGAGATGGAGTCTCGCTCTGTCGCCCAGGCTGGAGGGCAATGGTGCGATCTTGGCTCACTACAACCTCTGCCTCCTGGGTTCAAGCGATTCTCCTGCGTCACCCTCCCGAGTAACTGAGATTACAGGTGCCCACCACCAAGACCAGCTAATTTTTTTTTTTTTTTTAATTAGAAACCGGGTTTCGCCATGTTGGCCAGGCTGGTTTCAAACTCCTGACTTCAAGTGATCCACCCATCTCAGCCTCCCAAAGTGCTGGGGTTACAGGCGTGAGCCACTGAGCCCGGCCTAATGTTTTAAATAATAGAATTACTGATTCAAAAATAAATAGTCCTGGGTTAGGCAGTCCCAGGTCTGGCACAGCTCCTCATGGAACAACTCTCTTCCTGTCTTCCTCTTCTGCCACATTTGCTGTGGGGTTTCTGTCCCCATGGTCCCTCTTTACAGGTGCTCAAAGTGTCTCACGAATTAATGAATACTGAACGAACCATGAGCACTATTTCCTGAACTCTCAGGCCATTCTTGTCTTTGAATGAGTTGGGGCTCCAGACAAAATGCGAAGAGAAAATTAGAGGAGGACTTGTATTTTTATTTCCTCCTAGCTCTGAAGAACCTAGACATTCCATTTCTGAAAGTGTGGGAAAAATACCAAATGGGGCAACAGAGAACCTTCATCTTCTTTCCACATTTTTTAATTCTCTCGAGCATTCTCCTCAATTAGGCCAATCGTTCCTTAAAACGGTCTCCTCCTCCTGGTTCCTCTCTCCAAGATGGCAAGGGAGCCTGCAAATTCGGTCTCCAAGGATCCCTCTGCCCAGAGCAACGAACTCCCTTTGGCAATATAGGAATAATCTTCATTCTCCCTGCAATTGTGCACATTAATAGGCTGTTTAATGAAAGTACAGTGTGGAGGTTAAATTATCTGCTTGGTGCTAAAATGGCTTAGGTGATTGAGCCACAACCCTGGTAGTTTCTGAAACCATGGATTTCCTGCAGCTTTTCTTGGCGATCCAATTACTGATGGGATTACATTATTTAAAGAATGAACAAAGTTTTCGCAAAAGAACCTGGGTAGCTCAGTAGGTAGAACATCAGACTTTTAATCTGAGGGTCTAGGGTTCAAGTCCCTGTCCAGGCGTTGAGTGTAGTTTTGACTTCTGCCACATAGAGAAGTCAAAACAGAAAACTTCTGCCACATGCGGCAAAACAGCCGTACACTTTACTAGCTTTACTTACTTATACCCTCCAGAGACTAACTAAATCACATATTTGTAAGCAAATCTAGGATTATGGTAAAGATAACAAGTAACTTGCACTGGAGTTATTGGACAGCCACTTTCAAATTCCCTTACCTGGTGGGGGATAACAACCTCATTCTAGAGGGTGTTGCAGTTTGGGAGGACCCTAGTAGCATGTAGACTCTGAGAGTTGGTAGTACACAAAACCCTGCAAGAAACACTTATAAACTAAAATCCAGACAGACTTCGAAATTGTTAGTCATCCATTTTGCGCTTTCGTTACAAAACTACTGTCCTCACTTTAAGATATAATCTATTAAAAAAAAAAAAACCCAGAAATGGGCTTTTGTGCATTTTTTCTGTGTACAGCTCTATAGATTTTTATAAGACTTGAAATGGGTTTTGGACAAAAAGTCAAGGTTTTTACCCGGTTTATACTGTGAGCATAGTAAGTGCATATTCTTTATCACTGGTTCCTTCATTTTCACTAAGTCATATGTACCCTGGAGAAGAGGAGTAGAGCTAACGAGATTTCTATCAGAGAAACCCTGTATTTGAAAAGTTGTGGAAGTTTTCCCGCCTTCAAAGTGGACCTCAGAAATCCTTCAGTAGGCAGGGCAGCAGGAATCGTCAGTCCCTGGATGCACCTGACATAAAAATAAAGTATTCTTTTAGCAGAAACAGGTATTGAAAGGTCAAAAGTCTGCTGTTCCCCAGACTGAACCTCCAGCTCTCTCTTAGGTCCTAATTCAGCTGGTCAAAGGATGAGATCTGTAAGAAGAGTGAGAGCGGCCGGGCGCGGTGGCTCACGCCTGTAATCCCAGCACTTTGGGAGGCCGAGGTGGGCGGATCACGAGGTCAGGAGATCGAGACCATCCTGGCTAACACGGTGAAACCCCGTCTCTAATAAAAATACCAAAAAAAAAAAAAAAAAAAAAAAATAGCCGAGCGTGGTGGCGCGCGCTTGTAGTCCCAGCTACTTGGGAAGCTGAGGCAGGAGAATGGCGTGAACCCGGGAGGCGGAGCTTGCAGTGAGCCGAGATCGCGCCACTGCACTCCAGCCTGGGTGACAGAGCGAGACTCCGTCTCAAAAAAAAAAAAAAAAAAGAGAAAAAAGAAAAAAGAAAAGAAAAAGAAGAGTGAGAGGAATTCATGCTTTCAAAGACTTTCAGGGTCTCCCAAAGCGTGTCTCAATCACCTGGGGACTCATGTTTCTTCCTGAACTTGAGGAGATGTGTCCAATTTAGTAATGACTGGAGTGAACAAGGTTTCCTCTTCAGAGGAATTAAAAGATACAGAAAGAGGCCGGGTGCGGTGGCTCACCCCTGTAATCCCAGCACTTTGGGAGCCCGAGGTGGGCGGATCACTTGGGGTCAGGAGTTCAAGACCAGCCTGGCCAACACGGTGAAGCCCCATCTCTACTAAAAATGCAAAAATTAGCTGGGCGTCGTGGCACGCGCCTGTAGTCCTAGCTACTCAGGAGGCTGAGGCAGGAGAATTGCTTGAACCTGGGAGGTGGAGGTTGCAGTCAGCCAAGATCACGCCACTGGACTCCAACCTAGGTGACAGAGTGAGACTCAGCCTCAAATAAATAAATAAATAAAAATAAAAGATAGGGAAAGAAGAATGAAAGTTATAACTTACAAGACAGAGGATTTAAATCTGTTGTCCCCTTCGACATTTTTTCTGCACTTTCACAGTTGGGATTTCCTGGGTTATTTAGGGTTGGGTGGGGGTGGGAAGTGGAATGACTGCCCACTTCCAAAGGTTTTGCAGGCGTAGAAGACCACCTCCCATGTCTCTTGTGCTTCTCCCTTTTTAGCACACCCATCCTAGTGCTAACTTTTCCTTTCTCCTCTCCTTCACCTTTCCCTAGGCCCTTCTTCTTTTCCCTCTTGTCTTCTCTTTTCTTCTACCTTTCATTCTCTGTTACCTCTCATTTGCTACTTAAGTGTTTCCTTTCCCATCCATAAGGGCAAAGTTGAATGAATCACTTGGTAATGCACCACCTTGAACATCAGAGATTCCATATTAATACATGTCCTCTTCTAATACATTTCATCACATCTTAAGTTCCATCTCATTCAAAGGCAAGAATGACCTAGACGTTGAAAAAGTAATATTTGCTGCCACAGTCATATTCAGCCTTCAGTCATGCATGAGACATGGCTGAGCACCTTTGCAGAAGAAAAAAGGAAGCAATGAGGTAAGAACCAAGACAACAAGAGACTTCACAATGTTTCCCGCAATAATGTCAGTTTCTAAATAAATAAATAAATAAAAACCATGGAAAATGATGAAAGGCTAGATTTTGTCAAGTATGGGACAGGGCAGGAAACAGAAAGCAGTGGCTGTGATTTACCTAAACTGCATTGTTCTTCTCTCCTGGAGGATTCAGAGTTGGGGAAAACAGAATAATTTTGGAGTCCACAAGTGCCGTATTGAAAATGTTAGTATGGTTTCACCCATCGAGGTCTGTGTTGTAGGTCCAGCATGCATCTGCTGTGCAATCTGACTTTGCATAAGTTGCCAGGAAAACAGTCCTATGGATTCACATAAATTGGTTCAGCTCAACACAGAAGTACAATTTTATTCTTCATTCTTGATTTATTTTCCTTCTGTTTTCATCCATTTCCTCCATTCCCCTCCCTTTCATCCCACGAGTCTCCTGCATTTCTTTCTTCTCTGAATATTATGTACTAGCAACCTCTGGCCAAAGAATGAGATGGATGTGAGGGTGAGTATAGGCATAGCTCTGAGCATGTAAGGGTGAAAGCTATACAAAGGGAGATGGAACCCAAGTTAATTTTAAGATTTCATGAGTTTTCTGTAGCCTGGGAACACTAGATTCAGGTTTTTCTTCCTTCCCAAATTTTACATTCTCTGGCTTTTTCTGCTCAGGTAAGCGTTTGCCTTGTCAAAGTGAGTATTGTGGAAATTGCTTTATCAGTATTAACAGATGGTAGAAAAGAGATTTTAAAAATGCTACATGTAATGGGATATTTGACTGTTCAGGTGATTAATCTGTTAGTAGAATTTGAAAACTTAGGTTTAAATTCTGTGTTGTCAAAAATTTTATTTATATTATGCCACGTGGCATTATTGGGGGAGGCACAAATGTTTGGGTAAAAGAGACTTCTTGCAGTCTTTGTTTCACCTTGCCTTCTTTAGGAAGCACTGCATTTCCCTCATCCTGTATTCATTCTTACCCAGTGCTCCTCTTAAATTACTTACTACAGCTCTAGTATATTGCTCAAATTACAGTTATGCCACTAACTGAAAACAAGGTACCCCATATCTGAGAATCCCATTAAATTTAAACAAGTTGCCTTATACTCTTAGGGGAGTTACTAAACGTAAAATAGCAGACAAACAGGTATGCCTCACTTTAACCATCAGAACTATTGCTTTGCTTACATTCTCTATGCTTATAGCACACATTGCCTTGAAATAGTCCATGGTAGGCATGCACACTCCTTGCCAATGAGTAATAATTAAGATAAGATAATTAAGACTTTGTCACAATTAACTTGACAAAATGGGACCCAGTGGACCTCCCCTTTACCCCTGTCAATTAAAATAGTTAATACAGTATAATATAAATTAAAACAGGACTTTCAAGTATTGAGCCCATTGTATAAGCTCTGTTTAGAGAAGGGGTGATTATCCCTACAGTTTCTCATTGAACAGCCCAGGTTAGCTTGTTATTAAACTTGAAAAGCATGAATGCCTCCTAATGGAAGATTATTGCAACCTTAATTCCATGGTCCCACACATTAAAGTCCTTATACCAAATATTATTGTAATTACTGACTCCATCTAATTGCTAACTGGTATATACTCTGTAGTCATAGACTTGCCTACTATGTTTTGTTTAGTGGCTATTTCAATGCCTCAAAACTTCTCAGTTTGCCTGCATCTGTGAGGGAACACAGTACACCTTTACCTCCCTACCATGGGTTATCTCATGTGGCTTGCCATAGCACATAATCTTTGCTGGCAAGATCTTAACTGCATCCAATTTTCTCCAGAAATACAGGTGTGATATTACATTGATGACATTCTTCTCTGCGGAGACTTATTTGACACACACACTCATTCAAGACATACAAACATTTGGCCAAGTGCGGTGGGTCACACCTGTAATCCCAGCACTTTGCGAGGCGGAGGCGGGTGGATCACCTGAGGTCAGGAGTTGTAGACCAGCCTGGCCAACATGGTGAAACCCCGTCTCTACTAAAAATAAAAAAATTTGCTGCGCATGGTGGTGGACACCTGTGATCCCAGCTACTCAGGAGGCTGAGGCAGGAGAATCACTTGAACCCAGGAGGAGGGGTTTGCAGTGAGCCGAGATTGCACCATTGCACTCCAGCCTGGGTGACAAGAGTGAAACTCTGTCTCAAAAAAAAAAAGGCATACAAACATTCACAAAGGACCTCACAATAAAGGGATGGGCCATTGCCCCTCATGTGCAAAAGTAAAATTGTATAATTATCTCCTTTATTATTAGATGTTGAACTTTGACAAAATTATTACCACTTTCTAAGACACTCTTAAGAATAGTTGGATAGTCCTTTAGCATTATAAAATACAGACACCTCAAGCCACAGGCCAATCAACGTCTTGCTTTCTTACTCATCCTTCAGCCTAGCACTCGCACTTTGAAATATTTATAGTTAAAATACATTTCCAACAATATTAAACTATCTACACACATTAACTGCAAGACTATTTGAAACTGCAAAATACTGGAAACTACCTAAACTACCAAACATAGGATATTTATTGAATGAACTATTTTTTCACACATAATGGTGTAATATGAAGCTATAAAAAGTAATGAGGGCCAAGTGCAGTGGCTCATGCCTGCAATCGCAGCATTTTGGAAGGCCGTGGCAGGAGGACTGTTTGAGCACAGGAGTTTGAGACTAGCCTGGGTAAAATAGTGAGACCCTGTCTCTACAAAAAATAACAATAATAAATTAGCTAGGTATGGTGGCGTATGACTGTGGTCCCAGCCACTAGGGAGGCTCAGGTGGGAGGATTGCTTGAGCCCAAGCGGTCGAGGCTGCAGTGTGAGTTCCTTCAGTCACTTGGATTGCTGAGCCTTAGATTGGCTATATCTCTGTACTGGCAGATTTTGACTGTCTCAGTTGACTCAGTGGACTTTTTGTTAGACCTGGGCAACAGAAGCAACATGCATCCTGAAATATTAATGGCATCTACTGATGCCTGCTGAAGTCTCTTCATACCACAAACAACAGATCTTCTAAATGAGGGAGAGCAAGTAGGGAGTGATGGAAGAAAGATCTTGTAGAACTGCCAGAGAATGCATTTATTTTCACTCATCTTTGTTCATATGAAGAATCCTTAAGAAACAGTATAAGGAAAGAGTAAGACCTTAAAATATCCCATCCAACTGTGGTATTAAAGTTAAAAACATACACTGACCAGATTTACAACTGGATAAACAGAGGGACAGAACTAAGTGACCTGGTTAAAGGTGTCTCTGTCTCTGCTAACACCTCATTAACTCGATTTGAAACAGTGCATAACAACTTAAAGTTTCATGTGTTACAAAAAATTGTCAGAATCTTGGATATGGGCAATGGAAATGATTGGGTGTCTTTTCAGTGAAGTGTTGGGCATTGTCTAATGGACTTCCGGAAATTACTTGATTCTGAGTGTGTACTTTTGACCAAATTTTTATTTGTTAAACTGTTCGAGGACTCCACAGGAGAAAAGTTGACTTGTAGATAACTGATAGTAATGCAAATGACGTTAGACCATACCAACTCAAATAAATTTTGTCTAATAGAAATATAATTAATTTCCAGTAGAAAAGATAACCCCAGATATTACATTTTACTCTCCTGTACCCCAGATATTACATTTTACTGTCCTGTATAGATTATTATTATTATTTTATTATTATTATTATTTTTGAGACAGAGTTTCGCTCTGTCGCCCAAGCTGGAGTGCAGTGAGGCCATCTTGGCTCACTGCAACCTCTGCCTCCCAGATTCAAGCCATTCTCCTCCCTCAGCCTCCCGAGTAGCTGGGATGATTCAAACCATTCTCCTGCCTCAGCCTCCTGAGTAGCTGGGATTACCAGCGCGCGCCACCACGCCCGGCTAATGCGCGCGCCACCACGCCCGGCTAATTTTTGTGTTTTTAGTAGAGACGGTATTTCACCAGTTGGTCAAGCTGGTTTCGAACTCCTGACCTCGTGATCTGCCCGCCTCGGCCTTCCAAAGTGCTGGGATTACAGGCGTGAGCCACCGCGCCCGGCCTGTCCTGTATAGATTATTAATCAGTTTTCCACATATCATTTACCTATTAATTTCCCCAAGAATCCTAAAATACAAATTATCTTAAATTCACAGATGAAAGGAGAGGACAAAATAACCCAAGACATCGCCCAATTTGCAAGTGATGCAGCCTAAATGTAAACTTCACTACCCGCTCCAAAAGTTCAGCCCTTTCTGCCTCAAAGTCACTCCCGTGGGAGGCAGGCCTCAAACGATTCTCAACAACTAGCACGCTTGGAACACACTAAGGCAAAGAAAAACGCATTTCTTGCTCCCAACCAAACAATCGAGGAATGAAAATTCCCAGTTAGAGATCCTGGCGTGTTTCTAGAGCCAGCTGAAAACACTGTGAATCCTGGCGCGTTCGGTGATCTCTCTTCCCAGAGAGAAAGTGGCAGTGGACTTCCATCAGATGATCGCTTGCTGCGTGAACCCATTGATAAACCAATACGCCGGAATCCGACTTCAAATGACAAAACCAGGGCCAGGCGCGGTAGTCACGCCTGTAATCCCAGCACTTTGGGAGGCAGAGGTGTGCGGATCCTCTGAGGTTGGGAGTTCGAGACCAGCCTGACCAACATGGAGAAACCCCATCAATACTAAAAATACAAAATTAGCCGGGTGTGGTGGCGCATAGCTGTAATCCCAGCTACTCCAGAGCCTGAGGCAGGAGAATCGCTAGAACCCGGGAGGCGGGAGGGGGAGGTTGCAGTGAGCCGAGATCGCGCCATTGCGCTCCAGCCTGGGCAACAAGAGTGAAACTCCGTCTCAAAAATAATAATAATAATAAATAAATAATAAAAACAAAACCAGGAAGAGCTGCTTTCTAAGACTGGCCTTATTAAGGCCTGAGTCCCTCAATAAGATTGGTATTGTTTATGTTGTAATCAAAAGCAACTGCTTCGTCTCCCCGTCGGGGAATCGAACCCCGGTCTCCCGCGTGACAGACGGGGACACTCACCACTATACTAACGAGGAAGACTTAACAAAAAAAATCGTGAAAAGAAACTCAATTGAAATGGCATTTATACATTGGCTACTGAATTTGTTCTTGGCAGAGAATTCCTAAAAATATGCTAATCTTCATATTAAAAAGTTGTTATAAGATTCTATGAAACAGATTTCCCATGTTGCTTCGAAAATCTGAAAACGGCAGTTCTGCAAAAGATTATGACTTTGCTGAAAATAGTTCTAGGTCATGAATAGCAAAGAAATGTTCATTAATAGTAAGGAGTACAGTAAACTTAAAAAGCTTCCTCTGCTCGAAATATCCTCCTTTCTTCTTCAACTCAAGTTTATTCGTTACAGGTTTACCTCAAGGTCACCGTCCCCCAGGATTTTTTCTCGGACCAATGTGAGTTAGATGCCCTTCCTCTGCTTCTGTTTACCATGATAAAAATCGTACATATATGAATTTCTACATTTTCTTTCATAAAGGAAAGATCTTAAAGTCTAGGTTTTAGATTTTGCAGCGGTGACATTAAATGCGTGTTTATTTTTGCATAGCCGTTTAGTAGTAGAAATCCCATTCCCAGGAATGTGCCTCAGTGAAATTCCAGCTGAGCTCAATAAGTGGCTTCACAGAAATAAGATATTCATTGTACCAATTTGATGTAACAGGGAATTAAAGGCAACCTGATGTGCATCAGAAATCTGAGTGTGTACTGAGAGAAAATCAGCAAGTTTTCTAGCAGTGCCATAACATGTCGCAGACTGTGTGGCTTAAAACAATAAAAATTTGCTCTCAGTTCTGTTGTCTAGGAGTCTGAAATCAAAGTGTCTGCAGTCACCCTCTCTGAAGGCTCTAGGGAAGAATATTTCCTTGCCTCTTCCTAGCTTCTGGTGGCTCCTGGAAACCTCTAGTGTACCTTGGGTTGTAGCTGCGTAATTCCAATCTCTGTCTCTGTTGTTATGTGGCCTTTTCTCTGTGTCTCTGTATGCCTTCTCTTCTTATAAAGACACGCGTCATTGGATTTAAGCCTCACCCTAATCCAGTATGACCTCATCTTAACTAATTACATCAGCAAAGACCCTATTTTCAAATAAAGTCACATTTTGAGGTTCTGGATGGACACAAACTTGGGGGCAACATTATTTAATCCACTACAACTAAGAATGAAGAAGCGTTATATGCATGAGCTTAATTAACTACACCAAAGTAAACATTAAGAGCTGCAAAATTACTGACTAAAATTAGCTGTAGGTGAGAGTGAAGCGAGGTAGGGAGGAAGAATATGCAATCTTGCATTGTTATTGTTCAAAGTAAGGAAACAAAGAGATTGTCCAAAGAAACACAATAACCAAACCCTTAAATAATAATGTAATGATGAAGATAACTAATAGATTAAAAACTATAAACTTTCTAAAAATATCAGAAGAGGTAGAATGACAAAATAGCTTGTTTTCAAAATAGAAACTGAAAACCTAAATAAGTGGAAAACTATATCATGTTTACAGAAAAGAAGACTTAATATCTCAACTATATCATTTCTTCCCAAACTAATCTATTGATTCAGTGTAATTTCAACATAAATTCCAAAAGTGTTTTTCCAAGGACTTGATAAACTGGTTGTAAAATTATATGGAAGTGCATAGGAACTATAATAGCAAGAACACTTACTAAAAATAAGGAGAGAATTGCCAACAAACTTGCAGGACTTATTAGACATTCCAGAAATTCGTATATTAAAACAGGTACTGATATAAAATCTTGAGTTGACAAAATATGAAAAGAGTTCATTTAAAAAGCCCATACATATATAAACTCTGGTATATCGACAGAGGGTTATGCCAGATCAGAGGAGAGTTGGGGGTATTTAATAAATGAAGCCAGGAATGTAATATTCCTATAGAGGGGAAACATGAAATTGAGTAAAGATTAACATCGTGAGCCGGGCGCAGTGGTTCACGCCTGTAATCCCAGCACTCTGGAAGGCCGAGGAGCGTGGATCGCCTGAGGTCAGGAGTTCAAGACCAACTTGACCAACATAGTGAAATCCCATCTGTACTAAAAATACAAAAAATTAGCTGGGCGTGGTGGCTGGTGCCTGTAACCCCAGCTACTCAGGAGGCTGAGGCAGGAGAATCGCTTGAACCCAGGATGTGGAGGTTGCAGTGAGCCAAGATAATGTCGTTTCACTCCAGCCTGGGCAACAGGAGAGAAACTCCGTCTAAGAAAGAAAAAAAGATTAACACCATGAAGATCAAGGACATAAATGTCAAAAACAAAATTTACAATTTCTTAGTAGTATTTATACAAATCAATCAGGACCTTGTGTACACTAGTTAGGTAGTAAGATTGGGACATTTAATACAATAAATTGGCTACACTAGTGGTAGAGAAACTGATATGACAAATGGTACAGAGATTAGCAAGAACGGGAAATCACTAAAGGCCAAAAGCCTCCGCCACCTGGAAGAACCTGAAGCCACAGCAGGCTTACCCGTCAGGCACTTGACACATTAAGATGTAGCAGAAACCCAGGAGGGATGAGCAATACCCTGTTTCCACTTTTTCTTTTTCCCTTTCATCTCCATTCAGTGCCTAACATTGGTTAAGTCCAGCCAGAAGTCAGTTGACAAGGGAGTCTGGGAAACGCAGTTTACAACAACGTCATTGCAGTGTAGAGCACAAAAGAGCATGGGTGATGAATAAGTCTGAGCAAAAACAGCTAAGTGAAGTCTACCTCTTTTGCTACTCAACATCCAATCTCGGCATTTTACCAATATGTAACTCACATTTAAAAACTAATGCTTTCTGTACATGAAGAGATCCTTAAACTCCCCCAGAAAAGAGAAGCAAGTACCATCACACTTTCTGGAAGAGACAGCATTATTAGAGCCTAGGAATTGAAATTATCTGGCTTAAGGTTTAATCGTACTAGTCCTGTCCAGTGAGAGCTAAAGTGAAGGAGAACATGCAGCTGTTCCCATAGAGGGTGCCCAAAGCAGGCAGACAGTGGTGGAAATTATCTGACTTCTTTATTTCTTTTACTCTCCTATCACCCACCACTGCATTTTGTTGACTAAACTGAGCTGCAGATAAATGTGAAGTAGGCTTGGGAAATACAGTCTGAGTTCAGCCCCCTTTGATGTGGGAAAAAGGTGCAGGAGAAGGGTGAAGAAAGAATTTGAGAAGCAAGAGGCAGTGGTTACCACATATATGAGAATATGTATTGGAAGAAGTAAAGATTGGAAACACTGGTTAAACAAGACACAAAAATGCTCCAGGTTTAAGAAAACCTTGATATTTATGAAAGTAATTACAGATTAAATTGAAAACACAAGTTACACTGAGAAAGATTAAACTGCATTCAAATAATTGAATTGCAAGGAATGATTAGATAAGGAGGAAGATAAAAAAATGTAGCAAGACTTCCACATGTAAATAAATCAAATATATACACGAAATAATCAAATAGATAAATAAACTGACATTTAGAAGAAAATTCAAAGGTACAAATCCAAACATATGTAGATATGTTCAACCTCATTGTGATAAAGGAATACAAACCATCACTACAACAAGATACTATTAACCTCCACTTGATCAAATTAAAATGAAATGTGCAAAAATAACAGCAGTTGACTATTTGGATATGTAGTAGTATCCCTAATACATTGCCAAGAGAGGCATCCATTTTTACAGCCCTGGAAAATGGTTTGTCATTATCTCAAAAAGTTAAACATTTACAAAATGTAACAAATTAACAATTTGTCTTCTAGGAACACACACACACACACACTCAAAGTACTTATAACTCTGTACCATGCCACATGTGCATAATTGCTCATAGAACTGTTGACAATATTAAATATACCTGGAAACAACTCAGATGCTCATTGGTTGATGTGTGAAAGGCCTGATGCAAAGATTTTTGAAGTCTGCTCTCTGAAATGAGAAAATTTCCCATGGGGTATGCATAATATATGCATGACAATTATTCATGTATTAGCTGCTCTAATCCCACAAAAAATCCTCAATATTTTCTAAAATGTAGAAATAGTAGAAATCAACATTTTCTGACCCTTGAAAATTATAAAACTTTCTTTTAAAAACTAGGGCCGGCCGGACACGGTGGCTCATGCCTGTAATCCCAGCACTTTGGGAGGCCGAGGCAGGTGGATTACCTGACGTCAGGAATTCGAGACAAGCCTGACCAAAATGGAGAAAGCCTGTCTCTACTAAAAAATACAAAAATTGGCCGGGCATGGTGGCTGGTGCCTGTAATCCCAGATACTCGGGAAGCTGAGGCAGGAGAATCGCTTGAACCCGGGAGGTGGAGGTTGCAGTGAACCGAGATCACGCCATTGCACTCCAGCCTGGGCAATAGAGCAAAACTCCATCTCCAAACAAAAAAACAACAACAAAAAACTAGGGCCAAGGGGAAAATATAAACAAAAAGCATAAAATTTCTATACAACAAAGGCAATGAAAATCTTACGTAGCGGACTCCATACGATAACACTAAAGCAGTAATCAAAGGAAAACTTGTAGACTTAATAAAAAGGAAACGGCCGGGCGCGGTGGCTCACGCCTGTAATCCCAGCACTTTGGGAGGCCGAGGCGGGCGGATCACAAGGTCAGGAGATCGAGACCATCCTGGCTAAAACGGTGAAACCCCGTCTCTACTAAAAAAATACAAAAAACTAGGCGGGCGTGGTGGCGGGTGCCTGTAGTCCCACCTACTCGGGAGGCTGAGGCAGGAGAATGGCGTGAACCGAGGAGGCGGAGCTTGCAGTGAGCCAAGATAGCGCCAATGCACTCCAGCCTGGGCGACAGAGCGAGACTCAGTCTCAAAAAAAAAAAAAAAATAATAATAAAAATAAAAAGGAAACAATACTTCTACCAATAAAAAGGAAATAATATTAAAGCCAAAACTCTGTCTCAGAGAGTGACTTAGTTTGGGTTCCCAAGAAACAGATTACCTGAGACAGAGATTATGTGCACAAAATTTATTAGAGTACACAGAAGAAAATGTAGAAGAATGAGAGAAAAGCAGAATTGGAGAGATGAAAAAGTAAAACTGCAAAGCAGTTACAGCAGAGGCTTCAGCCAAGCCACAGGAGCTCTGGTAGGATGCCCTTCAGAACTGTCCCAAATTGAAGCAAAAATGTGGTCATTGGATACTGTTTGCCCCAGAGAGAGCGTCTAGTCCTGAGAGAGTGCAATCTTTGGCAGGGGCGCTGTTCCTTGAGGCGAAATGACACTTTAGCAGTCAACACTCCTTGAAGCTATGAGAATGGAGCTTTGATACTGTGGAGAGGGGTAGCCCTATCAGATATTAAAATATACTCTTCATGCATCTATAATTAAAGCACTATAGCATTCACAAATGAATAGAAAAACAGTCTAGTAATGTAATACAAAGTCCAGAAGTAAACAAAATCACATATGGGTATTTAATATTTGATAAAGCATATATTTCAAGCCATAGGTGCAAAGATGGACTTTTTGACAAGTAGTTCAGGAAAAATTTGTTAGCCAATTAGAGCTAAAATGAAATTCAGCCCTCACTCTTTATGCAAGAATAAATTCCAAATGAATCAGTGATCTAAGTGCAAACACTGAAACCTACAAGTATTAAAAAGAGTCATGTGTGAATTCCCTTGTAGCCTGGATATAGAAAGTTTCCTAATTATAACTTAAACTGTAGATATAATAAAAGAAAATTTAGTATCTTAAAGTACCTACAAATATGGTACAAAAAAATATGATAAACAGACTCTAAACAGAGTTAACAAATGGTGGGAATGGGTGCCGGGAGACTATTTGCAATGTGTATCACAGATAAAGAGTTAATATCCTTAATACAGAAACATTTTTCAACAATTGAAGAAAAAGGCCAAAACTTTATAGTCAAATGGGCAAAAAAAATTAACAGATAATTAATATATATATTTGCACATATGAAAATATGTTTAAATTCTGTAATAAAAAATTGCAAATTGAAACTATATGAAGATACTGTTTCTCTGCTATCAGCTTGGTAAAAATTTAAAAAGTATGTCAGTGCATACAGGAACAGGTAGTGTCATTGATTTCTGGTAAGGAAGCACATTGTTATCAATATAATCTTTATGAAGGGGAATTTGACTATGTCTAACAAAATTATATATACATTAATCATTTCACCCAAAAATCCCAAGTCTAACAATTTACCCTGAAAATCTACATCCAACAAAATGAAAATATACATCAGCATATTTACTCATTGCAGCATTGCTTGCAATTGCAAAATTTTTTAAACAACCTAAATGCTTAAGCATAAAAGAATGATTAGATTGTTACTTCCACACAATGGAGTACTTATGCAGCTGTACAAAAGATCTCTGTGAACTGACATGGAGAGATTTCAAAGATATATTGCTAAACAAAAAAAGTAAATCAAATCAGTATCTATATACTGTAAATCAATACATATACTATCTATAGATATGTACATATCTATAGATACTATATATACAATATGTATATATCTATAGGTACTATATATACAATATGTATATATCTATAGATACTATATATACAATATGTATATATCTATAGATACTGTATAGATATCAATATATATACAATATATAAAGCAAATCAATATCTATATACTGTAAATCAATATATATACAATATAGTATAATATTTTTCGTCTGAGAAAGAAGAGGACATTTTAAAAAGTATGTATCACCAGGCGTGGTGGCTCACACCTGTAATCCCAGCACTTTGGGAGGCCGAGGTGGGTGGATTGCGAGGTCAGGAGTTTGAGACCAGCCTCACCAACATGGTGAAACCCTGTCTCTACTAAAAATAGAAAAATTAGCCAGGGCTGGTGGCGCGCGCCTGTAGTCCCAGCTACTCGGGAGGCTGAGACAGGAGAATCGTTTGAACCCGGGCGGCAGAAGTTGCAGGAGCTGAGATCGCGCCATTGCACCCCAGCCTGGTCTAAAAATAAATAAACAAACAAATAAATAAATAAATAAGTATGTGTCTGCCTGCTTATTCAAAAGGAGGTGCAGGAAGGATAAAAAAGAAACTGGTAAAATGGATTACCTATAGGGGGTAGATGAGAATGAGTTGAAAAAGCTGGAGAAGGAAAGAAAAAGAAGCAATGAAGGGAAGTGATATTTCTTCGAGTATGTCTCTTTTGCACAGTTTAACTTTTAAAATGATGTTATGTTTTAAGTATGTACAAAAAATAAAATAGGCTGAACACAGTGGCTCATGCCTGTAATCCCAGCAATTTGGGAGGCCTAGGCGAGCGGATCTCCTGAGGTCAGAAGTTCAAAATTAGCATGGTCACCATGGTGAAACCCCGTCTCTATTAAAAATACAAAAATTAGCCTGGCATGGTGGCGCTCCTGTAATCCCAGCTACTTGGGAGGCTGAGACAGGAGAACCACTTGAACCTGGGAGGTGGATGTTGCAGGGAGCCAAGATCACGCCATTGCACTCTAGCCTGGGCAACAAGAGTGAAACTCCGTCTCAAAAAAATAAAATAAAATAAAAAAATAAACAAGGTCAGGGGAAAGAGTCAAAATGGACCTGATTACTTCAAATGAATCACATAACTGAAAAAGAAAGGGCGAGACCTTACAAAATGGATCCAAATGCAGTGTTTGGACTGAATATTGTCAGGCTCAAGACAAAAGGGACATGACAAAAAAAACTATCAACAACGTTGAACTCTTGGTACCTTTGTTTCATAGTGGCGTTGTTTAGCGTGCTGCCCACAGAAGCCATGCACTAGAAGCCCATGATCAGGGTCATTAACCATAATCCAAATCCCAGGATAATGACAGAAATAATGTAAACACAGAAAATACTATTTCAAAAAGTGTTTGGAAATGAGTTTTTCAACTGGGAACTGTTGCAAAGTGGTCAAATTTTCTGTGAAAGAAGAGCTGGTCTAAACTCCAAGGAACCACAGAGACAGGCTATGCAAAGGTCACTGCTCTTAAAGATTTTGGATTTTAATCAAGACTGCCCAAAGTGCTCCCCCATGCCTGGATTAATGAGCCATTTCAAGGGAGTTTTAAAATGGTCCATTTCCCAGTCATTCCATCACCAGTTTATTATTTTTATATCATGTCCTTTTCCTCTTCTCTTGAAATCTTGGGGATACGTTTCAAATAATATTGGGAAAGCATAATTTAGTGAAGAAAGCGATGCATTTGTCTGTTTCGGCCTTTGTGATATTTCCTTCTCCTCACAAAATGTTCCCAAATGGGATGGGTTTAGACCTAACTGAAGTAAAACTTCTGAAGTTCGCCTGAACAGGGACTTGAACCCTGGACCCTCAGATTAAAAGTCTGATGCTCTACCGACTGAGCTATCCAGGCTCTCTACACTGGGCTCTAACTCACTAAGAAGTGCTAATAAGGCTCATGATTTCAGTAATTATTAGGTTCTTCCAAGCGTTCTGGTCATATACCTGTGCCTCAGCACTGCAGCCGAGCTTTATTATATTGAACATTCATTTCAACCTCAAACTGTTTATTCGTTAAATATAAAATTATTGTGTAGTATTTATTACAGGGGAAATGACGAAGAAAATCGGGCTCAGAATAGAGTGGGACCCCTTCGGTAGTGAATAATCCCGCAGCTCATTATTGCGAACAGCAGCCCTTAGAGATCGTAGCTGGCTGGTAAAGGCGGCTTTAGAGCGGACGCCCAGGCTTCTTCATCAGCTTACCAGAAGGTTGGAGGCAGAAGGTACGCATTTCAACAATGACTTCGATAAGTGGGAAGAAACTTCAGAAGTATCAAACATTTGGGTAAAGAAAGATTGTTATGTCACAAGGGAAGCAGTTCAATTCCCGTTGTTTCCTCCGGTGTTTTCCTAGCTCTTTAAGAGATGAAGTTTCCTGGAATCGTAATGCCAGAGCAACACACAAGTGACACCCGCTTCTGTCTGGGGAATTACCTTCTTCAAAACACACGTCAAAATTTTATAATATCTTTTTCCCGGTCGCCCAACCTAGTCTTCATCTTTCGCTCTCTTTTTCTTCACCTCTTCCTCAGTCTTTCCCTTCTTCACACCGGTCTCTGCTCCTCTACCGCCTTATTTTTCAGACCTCCCATTTGCAGATTCACTCATTTCTCCGCTTATGCTTCCGTTCTTTGAAAGTGAACCACTAGGTTTCAGAAAGCACCAGGCAGTTAAAACAGAGTTTACTCCCTCGGTCACTGTAGGTCTTCAGTCATTCATGAGAGGTGTTAAAGCACCTCTAACAAGTGCAAGATGCAGTGTTTTGGAGGAAAAAAACAGGCACCTAGCAGAGGATGGTTTCGATCCATCGACCTCTGGGTTATGGGCCCAGCACGCTTCCGCTGCGCCACTCTGCTGTCCCCTTCAGCTGTTGTGCCTTATCTCCAAGTAACTTAAACATCTCCTAACACCGCTGTCCAGCTGCGTCAATATTTTTTTCTTCCTTATCCATTTATCTTCTCTAGTCTCTGTCTTTCATCCTCGAGTTGTCTCACGTTTCCTTCTCAACATAGTCACCTACAACTTGTTGTTTGCTCCTTTGCAACTTAAGAAAACCGATTGAAATCCTTTCTCAGGAACTTGATTTTCAAACCGTTAGGCTCTCATACACCGACTTCTAGGGTTGGATTTAGAATTCAGGGCTTGTTCGTTTGTTTGTTTGCTTGTTTGTTTGCTTGCTTGCTTGCTTCCCACGCCTTCCATAGTGCACTCACTGTCTGCATTTGGAACACCTTGACTCCTCCGTGTCCCTGGTAAGACAAGGGCACTGTGTGGTCCTGTGGCCCTGTCCTCGGCCAGGTTGGAGGGACTAAGGAGAAACTGAAGATGCAGCGAACGGAAGAGAAGGAAATGCATGTACTTCTGAAAATCGTTGCTCGCGGAATTGAGGCAGACGTGGAGACGACATGCCTACTCAAAGAAGATTCAGTTTTCCGTGTCCCCACCACAATGAAACTTCTTTCACAAAGATCATAATGGGTATTCCTAACTACAAGGAGAGCGTGTGTGTGTTGTCCACTTGGCCTTTGGACACTGGGTCGGAAAACTGAGGCTCAGATCGCTTTCTAGGTGCGTCTGTGGACCCGTTTTTGTCAGTCTTGGTTCTTCCAGCCAAGGAATTGCGCAAAGCTGTTTTAAAGATTCTGTGTATAATTTAAGCTCCCCAATGGGGTGAGCTTCATGGGCCTGAGATCTATGCAGTCGCACAATTTACCACCATCCCCCGAGCACCCCTACACACACACACCCAGTCCTACTCTTGGGGTTTAATGTTTTGTAATGACTCTCTTGAAGTTCTCAATAGTTTTATCCTTAAACTTATGTTTTGTAAGCTATAGCCAACATGACAATGTAGCATGCTTAGGCATGGGGGTCTGTTGGCTCCCAAGAGTTCTGCCGAAGAGTTGACTCCCAAGAGCTCTGCTTCCCCTGGATGGGTTTTCAGCAACGAATTTGCCCTGCTAACTGACATCCTTCCCCACTCTCTTTCCCGACCCCTCTTCCCCACCTGCCTCCAGCAGTAAAGCCCCCTAGGGGGTCTACAGAAGAGGGATTAAGTTCCTGCAGCCTAATCCCGGGATTTCTGGGGTGTGGCATAATGGCTGTCATTCCCGACACTGGCTGGCAGACTGGCAGAGCCCAGGTGAGTTAGGAGGGTGTCTTGGTGGGAGTGAGCCTGCAGCTCACACCCATATCAGTATATATTCATAATTATAACAGCATTGTCTTCCTGCTTTTTGAACAAGGGCTCCCTCATTTTAATTTTTCACTGGGCCCTGCAAAATATATAGCTGGTTCTGCTCCCCAAATTTCAGTGGTGTTTGGTTCTCTTTGCTGGGCTCCCCTCAGGCTTCTTTACTATCTTGTTCTCATACTTGAAAAATCAGACCCTGGGGGCCGGGCGCGGTGGCTCACGTCTGTAATCCCAGCACTTTGGGAGAACGAGGCGGATGGATCGCGAGGTCAGGAGTTCGAGACCAGCCTGACCAATACGGTGAATCCCCGTCTCTACTAAAAATACAAAAAAGTTAGCCAGGCATGGCTGAGATTGCGCATGGCTGTAATCTCAGCTACTAGGGAGGCTGAGGCAGGAGAATTGCTTGAAACCAGGAGGCGGAGTTTGCAGTGAGCCAAGTCACGCCGCTGCACTCCAGCCTGAGCGACAGAGCAAGACTCTGTCTCAAAAAAAAAAAAAAAGAAAAAGAAAAAAGAAAGAAACATCAGACCCTGGATTCTTAAAGATGGAGCTTGGAGTCCTCAAGGGAAGAATTTGGAGGCTTCATTTTGAAACCCCAATGCTTAATACTGCTATAAGTTTCTATTTTTACATTATCTAAATATTATAAAATTCAAGTCAGAAAAGATGCCAAACCATTTAAATTACTAACACATTTAGATAATATATCAACTAATCTCTAATAATTTAATTACTTATCAGACATTTTTTGAACAGTGACAAAGATTCTCTTCATGACCAAACTCTAGTCAGGTTCCTCTGAAGGCTCTTCTCAACAAAAGCTCTGACTTTTGGACTTAAATGTTTGTAGCTCTGCATTGCGCACTTTTAACAATAATCGTGTTAAGTCAGTTTAGCCAGAATCCCTCATCCTCTATTATCTGATCACCCTTCATATCTGATCAGGTTCCTCATCCTCCACCATGCTCCAGTGATGTAATCACCCTGGCCTGCCTTCAAGAATCCTATCAGGCCAGGTTAGCCAGAAACCCCCTTACCTGTGATGTTTCCTTTCAGTAATTTTCTATCCAGTGACCTCATCTCCCCACTCTGATCCTTGGCTATAAATTCCCGCTTTTCCTTGTTGTATGCAAAGTTGAGCCCGGTCTCTCTCACCTACTGCAAAATCCCTCTCTAATAAAGTTTTCCTTACTGTCTTTAACAATTGCCATGAATAATGTTTTCCTTAACACCAACACCATGTGTTTTGCTTTTTATATATAAATAACACATAATTTAATAAATTTGAGCTAAGAAAGATGCCAATGAAAATATTCATATTTTTATAAGTATTTTTTGTTTTTGTTTGTTTGTTTGTTTTTGAGACAGAGTTTTGCTCTTGTTGCCCAGGCTGGAGTGCAGTGGCACAATCTCGGCTCACTTCAACCTCCTCCTCCAAGGTTCAAGCGATTCTCCTGCCTCAGCTTCCTGAGTAGCTGGGATTACAGGCTCCCATGACCACGCCTAGCTAATTTTTGCAGTTTTGATTGAGATGGGGTTTCACCATATTGGCCAGGCTGGTCTCGAACTCCTGACCTCAGGTGATCTGCCTGCCTCGGCTTCTCAAAATGCTGGGATTGCAGGCGTGAGCCACCACGCCTGGGCGAGATTTAAAACACTATCTTCGCTGTACATTTTGGTATTCCTTTTTTTTTCTTTTCTTTTTATTTTTATTTTGAGACAGAGTCTGGCTCTGTCACCCAGGCTGGAGTGCAATGGCGTGATCTCAGCTCACTGCAACCTTCGTCTCCCTGGTTCATGCGATTCTCCTGCCTCAGCCTCCTGAGTAGCTGGGATCACAGGCACCAGCCACCAAGCGCGGCTAATTTTTTTTTTATATTTTTGGTAGAGATGGGGTTTCACCTTGTTGGCCAGGCTGGTCTCAAACTCCTGACCTCAGGTGATCCGCCCTTCTAGGCCTCCCAAAGTGTTGGGATTACAGGCGTGAACCACTGCACCTGTCCCATTTTGGCATTCTTGATGTGAAGGAGAAACACAGTTACTTTAATCGTTGTTAGAGGGTAGTGTTAAATATGATTTATACTATATGATAAGGGATTTTCTTTACACTATAAAAATTGGCTTTGATTGTTTATATATAAAATGAAAAACTATATGTATACAAGCAGCAGTTAGAATTGTGTTCACTTCGGCAGCACATATACACAAATTGGAACTATACAGAGAAGGTTAGCATGGCCCCTGTGCAGGATGACATGCAAATTTGCGAAGCATTCCACATTTTTTTTAAAAAAATAGGGTAACCAATGATACGGAAATAGCCTAGAACAGTGGTTCTCAAACTTTGCACATTAGAATCACACTTCAGGATCTTTAAAAATAGAGTCGTACCTTGGTATCAGTAGGAGATTGGTTTAGGATCTCCTACGGATACCAAAATCCATGCAAACTCAAGTTCCTTATGTAAAAGGAGGTAGTATTTGCTTATTGAAGGGGTGGCCTGCCCCTCCACACCTGTGGGTATATCTCAACAGGCGGGACGAGAGACTGAGAAAAGAAATAAGACACAGAGACAAAGTATAGAGAAACAACAGCGGGCCCAGGAGACCGGCACTCAGCATACGGAGGACCTGCACTGGTACCGGTCTCTGAGCTCCCTCAGTTTTTATTGATTATTATTTTCATTATCTCAGCAAAATGAATGAGGTAGTTGAGCAGGGTGATAATAAGGAGAAGATCAGCAAGAAAACATGTGAGCAAAAGAATCTATGTCATAATTAAGTTCAAGGGGAGTTTACTATGCCTGGATGTGCACGAAAGCCAGATTTATGTTTCTCTCCACCCAAACATCTCAGTGGAGTAAAGAATAACAAGGCAGCACTGCTGCCAACATGTGTCACCTCCCGCCATAGGGCGATTTTTCTCCCGTCTCAGAATTGAACAAATGTATAATCGGGTTTTATACCGAGACATTCAGTTCCCAGAGGCAGGCAGGAGACAGTGGACTTCCTCTATCTCAACTGCAAGAGGCTTTCCTCTTTTACTAATCCACCTCAGCACAGACCCTTTACGGGTGTCGGGCTGGGGGACGGTCAGATCTTTCTCATCACATGAAGCCATATTTCAAACTATCACATGGGGAGAAACCTTGCACAATACCCGGCTTTCCAGGGCAGAGGTCCCTGTGGCTTTCCGCAGTGCATTGTGCCCCTGGTTTATCGAGACTAGAGAATGGTGATGACTTTTACCAAGCATACTGCTTGTAAACATTTTGTTAACAAGGCACGTCCTGCACAGCTTTAGATCCCTTAAACCTTGATTCCATATAACACATGTTTTTGTGAGCTCAAGGTTGGGGCAAAGCATCTCAGGGCAAAGCAATTGTTCAGGGTACAGGTCAAAATGGAGTTTCTTATGTCTTCCTTTTCTAGTTAGACACAGTAACAGTCTGATCTCTCTTTTCCCTACACTTATGACCTATGCACATCCTCCTGTATACATTAAATTATCTCTAGATTACTTATAATACCTAAAATACAATGTCCATGCTATGTGAATAATTGTTATATTGTATTGATTAGGGAATAATGACAAGAATATAAGAATCTGTAATGTTCAGTATAGACGCAATCATCCTTTTTTTTAAAAAATATTTTTTTGATCCACAATGGTTTAATCAACAGATGTAAAACCCACAGACATGGAGGGCTAACTGTACTAATTTTTGTAGGCTTCTACCCCCCTCCCCCCAGACAAACTGATTTCATAGGATTTGGTTGCCGGTGGGCATCAGAGTTTTTATTCCATTGACCCCTAGCTTACAAGACAATTATGTGACTTTTGCACAGACAGCTGCCATCACAAACTGCCTTTTTTATGGTATAAAGGGTCTCTTCAGGAGCTCTTAAAATGACTTCTTTCAAGTGCATTGATAGAGTTTGTAGAAAATATATTGCTACTGCTGTCTACCCTAAAAGACATCTTTACAAGTGAAAGCTTCAAAAATTTCCCCGAAAAGATTAATATGGAGTTAGTTACTTGAATCAAATTCTGGGCTCTTTAATAACCTTGAGAATATCTCTGGTCTGCTAGATTTTGACCATCTCAACTGACTGGCACATTGTATTGAGCCTAAGAAATACCTTATTTGGACTTTGTGGATTTTGGAGTCCCTTTACACTACATAATACAGCTGACATTTTAAATAAAAATAATCAAGTAGGGAGATATAGAAGAAAGATTTAGAACAAAAGTAAAATAATACATTCATTTTTATTCATGTTGGAAATATAAAGAGTCCATTAGAAAGAATGTAAACCAAGGAAAGCATAAAAGATTTTTAAATGTTCCGCCCGACGTCAAATATTAAAATTAAATATCTACACACCTAGTTGTATAAATTGGCAAACTGAAGACCAAGGTCAGAACTAAATAACCTCCAAAGAAACAAACAAACAAACAACAAGACTCCATCTCCTTTAACAATCTCCCATGTTTACTTCAAAGCAACTTTTATAACATGTCATATGTGTCAGAAAGAATTGTCAGACTTAAAAATCGACAACAGAAATTACTGGGTCCTTCCTTTCAGTGACGTGCTTGGCATTGTCTGGCAGACCCTCTAGCAAGTGTCTGATTTTTTTAGAGCTATGCATCTTTGACTTTCTATTCACTAGGCTAAGCTCTGTGATGGTAGAAGTTAAGTTATAGAAAAGTGATAATAACGCAAGTGATTCATGTTTACATTAACCCTAAGATTTTACTCAGTTGAGATACAATTTTCAGCCTTTCTATTGTGTGTTGTTTGTTCTTCAAATTCATCTTTGAAGGGGTTTTCTCAGTTGACTTAGTAATTAGTGAGATATATGAAATCTTAAACACTACATTCATGTTATATTTGTATGAAAGTCAGGTTTTCGGCTTTTCATGTGACTGACAACACCAGTACATTTTGGGAGCTCAAAAGAGGACGAAAGAAGTCCTGACAGGGAAGTCAAATGCTGGATGACGAGCACATGATGGGGTGTGAGGTATAAGTTTGAAAGATTTTAATTGTCAGAGAAAAAGGTACTCCGAGCACATTTTCTGAAGTGTTTGGAAGGTAGGACACCTTGGTCCAGAAATGGCGATGGAGCAGAGAATTTGAGTTGTTGCAAATCGGTAAAAATGCCCGAGGCAGTAAATAGAAATATGAAGCTGAATGGTCTCTTGAGTAACTGCTCAAATTCTTTTTAATCCCCAAAAGATTTTTTAAGTTTTTTTTTTTTTTTTTTGAGACGTAGTCTTGCCCTGTGGCCCAGGCTGGAGTGCAATGGCGCGATCTCGGCTCACTGTAGCCTCTGCCTCCCGGGTTCCTGTGATTCTCCTGCCTCAGCCTCCCGAGTAGACTAGCTGGAATTACAGGCGCACGCCACCACACTTGGCTAATTTTCGTAATTTTGTAGAGACAGGGTTTCACCATGTTAACTAGGCTGGTCTCGAACTCTTGACCTCAGGTGATTCGCCAGCCTCAGCCCCCCAAAGTGCTGGGATTACAGGCGTGAGCCACCGCGCCCGGCCAATACCCAAAGAATTTTGAAGAATTTTCCCTACATTTGCAGATGAAGAAAAGTTTCACAAATGATCTAAATAATATAAAACACCACACATTTTACTTTCGGAAGTGATGGAGCTGGAATTTAAACACATATATCTGATTCAAGAGGCTTATGTTTGCTACTATTGCACATTGCCTTTAAAACAATGCTGTGTTTGGCCGGGCGCGGCGGCTCACGCCTGTAATCCCAGCATTTTGGATCCAGACGCGACGGGATCACTGGAGACCAGGCTGCTCAAGGTGGTGAATCCCCGTCGGGTTTTAGCTGGGCGTGGTGGTGGCACCCTGTAATCTCAGCTACTCGAGAGGCTGAGACAAGAGAATCACTTGAACCCTGGAGGCGGAGGTTGCAGTGAGCCGAGATCGCACCACTACCCTACAGCCTGAACGACAGAGCGACACTGTCTCAAAATAATAATAATAAACAACAGTTAAATATGAACAGGGAGGTGGGCTCCAGGCTGGCCTCCATCTCTGGCACACCCAGGAAGGGGGCCATGACTGTTGTAACACATCAGCCGCATTTGAGACTTCAAGAGCCCTTGGACCCTTCTTGCAGTTGAACTTATCTGGCTCAAGCAGGAACTAACACCACAAGGGACTTTCCACCCCAAGAAGGCAAGAGGAGTATAGTTTGCTCCAGTTTTGCTTGCCCCAAAAGTAACCTTTTGCTCATTATAATAGTAAAAAACATACCCTTGGGTGGAGATTTAAGATGTTAATGAGACATGCAATGGATGTACTAGCATGTATAGCCACAGCGCATGTGCACCCAGAGGATCACCCAAAACATGCTTACTAGTCACACCTCCTCCTGCCTGCCACTTTTTGAATAAACATATAAGACTCCCGGCCGGGTGCGGTGGCTCACGCCTGTAATCCCAGCACTTTGGGAGGCCGAGGCGGGCGGATCACAAGGCCAGGAATTGGAGACTAGCCTGGCCAAGATGGTGAAACCCCGTCTCTATTACAAATACAAAAATTAGCCGTGTGTGGTGGCGCTTTCCAGTAGTCCCAGCTATTCCGGAGGCTGAGGCAGGAGAATTGCTTGAGCCTGGCAGGCGGAGGTTACAGTGAGCCGAGATTGCACCACTGCACTCCAAATAAATAAATAAATAAAATAAAAATAAAATTAAAAAAGAATCCCAAAAAGGGGATTGCCCCAGTGCCAGCTGGCGCTGTCTCATCTTCAAGAAGCCTGCTCTGACTCAGCTTTCAGTGTACTTTCGTTTTTGCAATAAACTGCCTTAAGGTGTTATCTTCGTTGTTGTTTGTCTCTTGCTTAAATTCTTTTAACCAAAAAACAAGAACGGAGGACTTTGCACTTCCCGGTAACATTTGAAGTTCTCCATTTGAAGACCAAAAACAAAAACAACAGCAACAAAAAACAATTCACCCCTGATCGTTGGGTACATAAAATAGGATCTTGCAATAGCTGTTTGCCAGTACATTCGAGTATGTTTGGATTGTCTTCTGCGTGTATGTTCGTTGTTTCATTTCTGTAGGAAATGAAGTTTCTGAAAGCTGCTAATTTGGGGCAGTAATTGAAAACATTACTACGGAACAGAATGGAAAGTAAATATTGGATGTATGTCTCCCACCTTAACAAAACGAGGGATTTGTAAAAAAAAAAAAAAAAAAAAAAAAAAAAAAAAAAAATATATATATATATATATATATATATATTACTCGGTAGAGTTTTAAATCAAGACGAAGATCTCTCTGTTCATCCATCATGGTCTTATATTTCTCTTACATGCGTCCCGTAATAACCTACATCCTGTCCCTTCACTTCACATCCCTTCTCCCATCACCAAAGAAAGAATCAAAGGGGGTCTAGATAAGCGAGGGAGAGGAAGAACGGGGAAACATGGAAAGAAGAAAGGCGGGAGGGGGTGGGGGGAAGTGGTGGTGGTGGTTTGACCTTGAGGAAGGAAACCAGACGATTGTGCAATAATACTCCAGCCTATCGCATACCCTCGCAGAAACCATTAAGATGCTGAAAATAATTATACAGGGAATACGTAAGTCCCACTCACGGGCTTGTTAAGTTAAAATGTGGTCGGAAGCATTGGGGAAAGCTCCTGAAAGGTGGTAGTTGCAAAATGGTTTTGGTAAAATCTACATCTCAAGCCCTTTTCTCCTGTTTTTGTTTGTTTTAGACACGATCTCGCGCTGTCGCCCTGGCTGGAGTGCAGTTGCGCGATCATACAGCTCACTGAAGCTTCGCGCTCCTGGGCTCAAGTGATCAAGCCATTCTCCTACCCAGGTAGCTGGGACTACAGGCGCGCGCCACCAAGCACCGCTCATTTTTTCTATAGACGGGGTGGAACTCCTGGGCTCAAACAATCCTCCCCGCTTAGTCCCCTAATCCTAGTGGTTTTTTGCTTTTTTTTTTTTTTTTTTTTTTCCTCTTGGCTTTTTGAGAGGGAGTCTTGCTTGGTCGCCTGGGCTGGAGTGCAATGGCATGATCTCGGCTCACTGCAACCTCCGCCTCCCGGGTTTAAGCGATTCTCCTGCCTCAGCCTCTCAAGTAACTGGGATTACGAGCACCCACAACTACTCCCAGCTAATTCTTGTATTTTTAGTAGAAATGGGGTTTCGCCATGTTGGCCAGGCTGGTCTCGAACTCCTGACCTCAGGTGATCCACCTGTCTTGGCCTCCCAAAGTGCTGAGATTACAGGTGTAAACCACGGCACCCAGTCCCCCAATCCTAGGATTAAAGGGGCAAAATAGCTGTGTCAGAAGTGGGATTCGAACCCACGCCTCCATGCGGAGACCAGAAGCCCCAAACCTGGGAAGTAGCAACTTGAGTCTGGCGCCTTAGACCACTCGGCCATCCTGACACGCACTGTTACTCCTTAAGTTTCATTATGTAACTCGTAGTCAGCAGACGCTGACTCCGACAAAGGAGGAAAAGACCTCGGATGGGTGGCGTACGCTCCTGGTTTTCACAACGGTATTTATTATTTTGCCCGGTGCTATTCTAAATGATGCTAAACATAGCATCATCAAAATACCTTATGTTGCTATCTTTCGGGTTAATTCAGAAATGAAACAATAGGGAAAGTGGCAAATACTCAGAACAGTGCTTCCTAAGTTACCATCTGGCTCCGTAACAGTTTCCTGGCTAGAGGGACCCTCAAAGCTCAGTATTCAGCGTCCTAAGCAGGTGCTTTGTAGAGAGAAACAAAAGTCATGCAATATTTTTATTTTTACTTTTCCGGTTCCCCCACCTAGCCCAAAATACACTGTGAATACTTTGAAGCAGAAATAAAATCAGTAACAGAAAAATGAACTGCCCCAATTCAAAAGAATGGTTGGAAAAGATGAAGGTGGAGAATGGAGAAAAATAATTAATAATTTTATCATTTTAAGAGGTTCCTGGAGCAAGAAAGGGTGGTAGGTGCTTGTGAATGTGCAGAGGTGAGAAGAGTGAAAAAGTGGAATTAATCATGGAGGCGGGTAAGAAAGGAAGAAGAGGCGTCAGGTTTGGAGAGGTAAATTAATCAAACTATCCATGGCTCATTTTTGTTATCGGTCAATGAAATCTTTCTCTTTCTCTCTCTCTTTTTCCTTTACTGTTATGTTGTTTTTCTTTGTCATGCCCACCATACAGCCCTTTCCTCTCTCCCAACATACAGGCACCCTCTCTAAAATATTTAAAATTATTATTTTTGAGACAGAGTCTGACTCTGTCACCCAGGCTGGAGTGCAGTGGCGCGATCTCGGCTCGTTGCAGCCTCCACCTCTTGGGTTCAAGCGATTCTTGTGCCTCAGCCTCCCGAGTAGCTGGGACTACAGGCGCGCGCTACCATGCCTGGCTGATTTTTTTTGTATTTTTAGAAGAGACAGGGTTTCACCACGTTGGCCAGGCTGGTCTCGAACTCCTGACCTCAAGTGATCCGCCCGTCTAGGCCTCCCAAAGGGGCGGGACTACAGGCGTGAGCCACCGCGCCCGGCCTATTATTATTATTATTATTATTGTTTGAGATGGAGTTTTACTCTGTCTCCTATGCTGGAGCGCAGTGGCGCCATCTTGGCTCACTGCAACTTCTGCCTCCCAGGTTCAAGCGATTCTCCTGCCTCAGCCTTCAAGTAGTTGGGATTACAGGCGCGTCCCACCACGCCCAGCTAATTTTTGTGTTTTTGGTAGAGATGGGGTTTCGCTATATTGGCCAGGCTGGTCTCGAACTCCAGACCTCAAGTGATTCTCCCACCTCGGCCTCCCAAAGTGCTGGGATTACAGTCGTGAGCCACCGCGCCCGGACAAAATTATAATAAACTATCCTTGAAAAATACGTTGTTGATTTGCGTGATTTAAATCCTAACTTCTGGCCGGGCGTGGTGGCTCACGCCTGTAATCCCAGCACTTTGGGAGGCCAAGGCGGGCGGATCACGAGGTCAGGAGATCAAGACCATCCTGGCTAACACGGTGAAACCTGTCTCTACTAAAAATACAAAAAATTAGCCGGGCGTGATGGTGGGTGCTTGTAGTCCCAGCTACTCCGGAGGCTGAGGCAGGAGAATGGCGTGAACTCGTGAGGTGGAGGTTGCAGTGAGCCGAGATTGCGCCATGGGACTCCAGCCTGGGCAAGGGAGCAAGACTCCATCTCAAAAAAAAAAAAAAAAATAAATCCTAACTTCTTTTCTTTTACTCAACACGGTTTGAAAAATCCACTCATCCTGCTACATGTACACCTGCTTGGTCACTTGTGGCTGCTGCATAGTATGAAAACCATAGGCAGTATACCTGATGGACATCTAGGTTGCCTCTAACAATCTGCTACCTCAAAATGCTAGAAGGACTGTACTTGGCAAGGTCAATCATGGAGCTGAGCTGGAATTTCACTGAGGTGGATTCCTAGAAGTGGAATTGCTGGGTAATAATTTAAAAGTTATACAGGAGGATAACCCAGGTAATGTTAATATTGCAAAAAAAACCTAAGACCCTGATTTTCAGCCCAAGATTTCAATCTATGTATACTTCATATAATGCAATTTTTATCTTCAAAAACAAGAGACAGAAAGGATATCCAAATCAGATAATTCTGAGAAGCAATCTCAGAAGAAGCTTTAAACTTAGTTTCTTTTTAACAGGATGATTATTTCTTTTGTTATTGATGACCCAAACTTGTTTTCAGCAGTGTCATAATCTTGAGGGTTCTTTCCTCTTAGGTTTTAGAGGTAACCTAGGAAATCTTTTGGTAGAAGTTTGTAACAGATTATTTTACGTGTGCAGAAAAGCAGTGAAGATTTTAGTCACTGATCAGTTGACTGATCAGTTGAACGGCTAAGGAAAAGAACTGGGTGTTACCGTCGTTGCTAGAGCGGTGTGAGTTTACGACAGTTGCTGGTCAGATCAATGTCCGACTCCCCTTTCAGAGAGACAGACGATATACAGGAATCTGGAACATTCCTACAGGGCTCTCTGAGAACGGAGACCTTTTTCTCGTGCCTTTTTTCTTTTCTTTTCTTTTTTTGTTTGTTTAATTTTTATGTTAGCGGATTCACAGACCAATAGATGGAAATCCGCTGCTTACTTTCTCGCAGGAGAAAATGATCTCCAACAGTGCTGCGGGACTGCGTCCAAATGGCACTGAAAATATCCCAGGATTCTGTAAATGTGGGGTTTTCCTTTGTCGATTGGTTTGATGTAAGAGAGATGCCTCTCTCTTTGCGAGACCCTGTTTGGCGAACATCGGTTGGGGAGGGAAATCTTGGAGGTAGAAACGGCTGAACTATTGTGGCATTCCTTGGCGAAACTTTCGGTACAAATCTGGTAGGGAAAAACAAAAGATCAGGCTGTGTCAGAAGTGGGATTCGAACCCACGCCTCCATACGGAGACCAGAAGACCCGAACACAGGAAGCAGTAAGCTTGAGTCTGGCGCCTTAGACCACTCGGCCATCCTGACACTGTGACAAAAATCCTTGAAACTATACATGATGAGTAATCACGGCTTACGGCTCGCCTTCTGGCTGAATCCCAGCCGCAAAAGTTCTCTCTGGAATTTGCCCGACTAAACAGGAGCTCCGAACTCACTGATTACAGAATGGAAAGGTAGAAGAATACAACTGTTAGTGCGGAATTGAATAATTCTTACAGTACTGGAGACCAAGATGGGAATTGAGGAACAAGATATGAAGGAGACGTTTCCACGTCACCTCTCCCCTTCCTCCAGTAACTCCCCGCTCTCGGCCCTGCCCTCTCCCTCTGACCCAGGCCTCCTGACTCGCATAGACCTCTGCTTACGACCCTGACCCTGTGGGGTCACTTTGCTCTTTGTGACTTAAGTCCTGATGCAGTAGCTCCAACTTGATGCTGCCCCAGGGCCAGTGGGAACTTTTCTGGACAAGAGGAGGCCATAGCAACAGAGTGGGGCTGTTCTGTACATGGATTTCTAGGCATTCCCCCTTCTCCTCAGACTATCCGAACTGTGATTTCACCACCGGAAGTCATCCTTACATGTTTCATTTCGTTACACAGTTCAGTAAACATCACTGTCTTCTGCCCTGTAGGGTCGCCTATGCTCTATAGTGATAATCCTGTCTCTCCTCTCTCTAGAGCTCTCAGATGCTTTTCTGCAAATATTACCCACTGTGGGAGGCAACAGCTATTTCTTTTTTGAGACGAAGTCTCGCTCTTGTCCCCCAGTCTGGAGTGCAATGGCGCGATCTCGGCTCACTGCAACCTCCGCCTCCTGGGTTCAAGCGATTCTCCTGCCTCAGCCTCCCGAGTAGCTGGGATTACAGGTGCGTACCACCACGCCCAGCTAATTTTTTGTATTTTAAGTAGAGACGGGGTTTAAACATGTTGGCCAGGCTGGTCTCGAACTCCTGACCTCAGGTGATCCACCCGCCTTGGCCTGCCAAAGTGCTGGGATTACAGGGGTAAGCCGCCGCGCCCGGCCGGCAACAGTTATTTCTAAAGATAAGAGTGTACATTTTATGACTGAAAAATACGTTTCTAGGACTGTGAAAATGAAATCATCAAAAAAAAAAAAAAAAGAAAAGAAAGAAAAAGAAAAAGAACCTTGTTGCAATGGTTTTTCTAGGATTGAACTGTGAAAGAGAGAAACAATTTAAAATTCTAGTAGCAAGGAGTGCCACTGAGTTTCTATAATTAAACTATAAGGGCCTAAACGGATGGTACACAAATTTGAAGAATCTCGCTCTATTGCCCAGGCTGGAGTGCAGCGGCGCAACCTCGGCTCACCGCAACTTCCGCCTCCCAGGTTCAAGCAATTATCTTGCCTCAGCCTCCCGAGTAGCTGGGATTACAGGCGCCTGCCACCATGCCCTGCTAATTTTTGTATTTTTAGTAGAGATGGGGCTTCACCACGTTGGCCAGGCTGGTCTCAAGAGATCCGCCCACCTCGGCCTCCCAAAGTGCTGGGATTACAGGCGTGAGCCACCGCGCCTGGCCTGGAGAGTTATCATTTTTAAATTTGTAATTTCCTCATCTGTTACTCTAAAATTAAACGGGAAACATCTCTTTTTAAAATTGGATTACTGTTTGTAGATTTTAATCTTTTCAATGCAACTATACTTTTCCTATATACTAAGTGCAATTCAATCATATGCAAAATTGGCAGTATATATTTTAATATATGCACATGTTGAATATTTGCACTAGTAGTTCCCTATTCCTGTTGAAGTCTATGTATACATTTTCTGTGGAAATGAAAACCTCTAAATGTAGGTTAAAAATATTTGAGATAGACCGGGTGGGGTGGCTCACGCCTGTAATCCCAGCACTTTGGGAGGCCGAGGTGGGTGGATCACCTGAGGTCAGGAGTTCAAGACCAGCCTGGCCAACATGGTGAATCCCCATCTCTACTTAAAAAATACAAAAAATTAGCTGGGCATGGTGGTACGCACCTGTAATCCCAGCTACTCGGGAGGCTGAGACAGGAGAATCGCTTGAACCCAGGAGGCGGAGGTTGCAGTGAGCCAAGATCGTGCCATTGCACTCCAGACTGGGGAGCAAGAGCGAGACTTCGTGTCAAAAAAAAAAAAAAAAAAATTGGGATACCTGACAGTGAATAATATAAAAATGTAATGTGAATCTGAAATTGCAACTGAAATATGTCTTAATCCAATTGTCTTTTATACACTGCTTCTTGTGAGGCACAGTATAGTCAATGTTTCATGAACTTCTGGGCAGTATATTTTCTAAAAACCTCCTTAATATTTATTTTATTTTCTCTAATCTTTCTTTACAAGTTAGGAAGAAATTGAATCTGAAGTGATAGGGGCTTCTGAGTGGTTAGGGTTCAGCCATAAAAAAATACTTGAGACAGACGGTATTTTCCAAAGATGGCCACACCAACATATCTCATCACACGTTGTCTTATTTTAATACAATTTTGACACATTTCCTTGAGGGGTGGGGGTCTACATTCCCTTCCCTTGAATCTGGATAGGCCTGTAACCATGATGGAAGTGATACACCAAGACTTCCAATGTTAGGTCATAAAACGTGGTAGAGGCTTCCACCAGCTTTCTCTCAAGACATCTGCCCTCAGAACTCAGTCATGGCGCTCTGAGAAGGCCTAAACTAGGACATAGGAGCAGAACACATGGAGAAAAATTAAGGCCTCCGGTCCATAGCCAGCAGCAACTGCCAGGCATGTGAGTGAATGATTCTTCAGATTATTTCTAGCCACCAGCTTCCCTCCATTTTTTGGGACAGGGTCTTGCTCTGTCACCGAGGCTGGAGTGCAATGGTATGCACATGGCTCAGTGCAGCCTCACCCTCCTGGGCTCAAGCAGTTCTCCCACCTTAGTCTCCTGAGTAGCTGGAACTACAGGCATGCACCACCATGCCCAGCTAATTTTTAAAAAATTTTTGAAGAGATGGGGTTTTGCCATGTTGGCCAGGCTGGTCTTGAATTCTGGGCTTAAAGGATCCTTCCACCTTGGCCTCCCAAAGTGCTGGGATTACAAGTGTGAGCCACCATGCCCAGCCTTCAGCAACCAGCCTTATAGTCTTCCAGTTGAGTCCTAAGAAATCATGGAGCAGAGACAAGCTGTCCCCACTGTTTTCTGCTCACATTCCTGACCAACACATCTGTGAGAGAGAATAAATGATAATTGTTGTTTAAGTTAAGCCATTGCATTTTAGTATGATTTGTTATGTAACAATAGTTAGGTATGTATCAGTCTTGGTGCAATCAGGAGAGAGAAATTACACAGTTATTTGAACATAGAAGTGACCTCACCTGGGGCTGAAACAAAGCACTAAAAGAAGTGCCCTCTACCTCTCACCCCACCCCTGGCTAAGATCCAGACCTTGTTGGGGAGAGCATGGCTGTGACTCACGGAATAGCAGAGAAATGCTCATGGTGCTATGCCAGCAGAATTTGCTTGAAATCTGTCCTCTGGAATTTTTTGGAAATTAATCTTCAAGGGTTTCTTGAAAAGCTCTTCGTGGAGAGGTCTCTCACTGAGGGCACTCTACTACAAAACACTCAAAGAAGATGCCAGGGAAAATTAGTTGTTGCTGGGTGCTGCAGGAGACTGATGCAGGGGAAAGGCATGCGTGATGTAGGAGCTAGGCACTGGGGAAGCAGCAGGCCAAGTAATACATGGGAAGAAAGAAGCAAAACTCACTTTCTTCCGCAATGTCTCTCCACTGCCCTCTACTGACAAAGCTTCAATGCCAATTGGCAAAAGAAAACCAAGGACTCAAGATTCATTTCCACGAAGCAGGCAAAAAGGGTGAATTTGGAGCTGAGAGGCAATAAATCCTGAATGGGTACAAGCAAATGCAGATTTTCTTACTTAAAAATGGGATACTGCCATAATTAATAAATTCTGAACCATGTGACTTTGGGACTTGACAGCAAGTGGAAACTGAAAAGACCTTGAGGAGAATATGAGTAAAAACACCTGAAGACAACTGCTGCCTGTCACTAAGTCCCAAAGTCAGTGATGCTTAATGGAGAGTGTGGAAAATGTTACTAGAAGCTGGAAGAAACCGGACTTTTGTTATCTAGAGACAGAAAGTTTAGCAACACTGTTGTGAAAATGTGGAAAGTAGGCCGGACGCGGTGGCTCACACCTGTAATCCCAGCACTTTTGGAGGCCTAGGTGGGTGGATCACCTAAGGTCAGGAGTTTGAGACCAGCCTGGTTAACATGGTGAAACCCCGTCTCTACTAAAAATACAAAATTAGCTGGGTGTGGTGTCACATGCCTGTAATCCCAGCTACTCAGGAGGCTGAGGCAGGAGAATCGCTTGAACCTGATGGGGGTGAGGAGCGAGGTTGCAGTGAGCCAAGATCACACCATTGCACTCCAGCCTGGGCAACAAGAGTGAAACTCTGTCTCAAAAAAAGAAAAGAAAAGAAAGAAAATGTGGAAAGTAGAAAATATACCTAATGAATTTGAAAGAAAGAAAGAGTGGAAAGTAGAAAATATACCTAATGAATTAAAGAAAGAAAGAAAGAAAGAAAAAAGAAAAGAAAGAAAGAAAGAAAGAAAGAAAGAAAGAAAGAAAGAAAGAAAGAAAGAAAGAAAGAAAGAAAAAGAAAAAAGAAAGAAAGAGGCTGGGAGCTGTGGCTCACGCCTGTAGTCCCAGCACTTTGGGAGGTCAAAGTGGGCAGATCACGAGGTCAGGAGATCGAGACCATCCTGGCTAACATGGTGAAACCCCGTCTGTACTAAAAATACAAAAAAAAATTAGCCTGGCATGGTGGCGGGCACCTGTAGTCCCCGCTACTTGGGAGGCTGAGGCAGGAGAATGGCATGAACCCGGGAGGTGAAGCTTGCAGTGAGCCGAGATCAAGCCACTGCACTCCAGCCTAGGTGACAGAGTGAGACTCCATATCAAAAAAAAAAAAAAAAAAAAAGAAAGAAAGAAAGAAAATGTGGAAAGTAGAAAATATACCTAACGATTTTGCTTATTTAGCTAAGGTTATTTCCAGGCAATATATTGAAGATGCCACCTGGCTTTTTCTAGCTGCCTATAGTAAAATAAGAGAGCAGGGAGATAAACTAAAGAAAGAATACTTTAGGACTTGTTGGATATTCAAAAATAAAACTGCTTCTCATTACCAGCCTGTCAAGATGACAGATAATGCTGTAATTAAGAAAAGGCTTTGATTCTGCTGAGAGAAAGAGAGAAGAAAAGAAAAGGCTTCTGCCACGGCACATTAGCTGGAAAAAAAAAAAAAGTCTTCTAGGAAAACATCAGACCCAAGGCATTGTCAGCAAAACATGGTCTAAAGATGAAGCCAAGGGCATGACTTTATTGCTCTATTCTTTTGTTCTGTACCTTTCATTCTGTATGCACTGATAACTTTGAGTTCTTTGTTGTTCTTCTGGAGGATGATTAGAACTTCCATGTCTTTCCATATGTTTGTTGTTTATGTGATATAAGTGTGAGGAGTCGGAACCAACTACAGACTGCTTGGGCTAACAATTTTTCTCTATTCTGTACAAGTTGCCCCTTACATGCAAGCATGGCCTGGAGTGGGGTGGGATATAAATTTGGGGTTTAGATATCTACAGAAAGCAGAGAGCTAGGCATACTTTCCTCCACCATAATCATGTGCTGGAGGCTCCATCAGCCTCCTCTTTGGATGGTAAAGTACTTATTTCTCTTTATTTACCTAAGCAGGTTATAAAGACAGTCTCTTTCCCATACAAGTGAGCTTCATGGCCCAATTGCTCTTCTGTTCTGACTTTTCTTGGAACTGAGATAAAATGCCTCATTTATAGAATCCCTGACATTCTTGCCAATGAACTTCCCTAACCACTTTACTTTCCAAGCTCTTTGAACCCAGTTTCAGTTATTTTATTTATTTATTTATTTATTTATTTATTTATTTATTTAGAGACAGGGTCTCACTCTGTTGCCCAGGCTGGAGTACAGTGGCACAATCTCCACTCATTTCAACCTCTGCCTCCTGGGTTCAAGCAATTGTCCAGCCTCAACCTCTCGAGTAGCTGGGAGTACAGGCATGTGCCACCATGCTTGGCTAACTTTTGTATTTTTGTATTTTTTTGAGACAGAGTTTCACTCTTGTTGCCCAGGCTAGAGTGCAATGGTGAGATCTTGGCTCACTGCAACCTCTGCCTCCCGGGTTCAAGCGATTCTCCTTACAGGTGCCTGCCACTAAGCCTGGCTAATTTTTTGTATTTTTAGTAGAGACAGGGTTTCACCATAGTGGCCAGGCTGGTCTTGAACTCCTTGCCTCAAGTGATCCTCCCGCCTGGATCTCCCAAAGTGCTGCAATTACAGGTGTGAGCCACCACGCCTCACCCTAGTTTCAGTTATTTATGCCTGGCTAGAAATGCATCTATGTCTCCTCGGCTCCTGCGGCCCCCTTTTCATCCTACAAAGAAGGAGGCAAAAGTACTTGTTCCACAAAATTTTACCTATTAGGTATTTCAAAGGTCAACACAGTTAGTATTACAATAGCCTCATCAGGCATTAGCTGTAAGGACAAATGCTATGAATTTTAGTTGAGTCTTGTTTATCAGGCACTGGCCACCAAAATTTACAAAATCAGAATCTTCTTTTTGCTTTTTATGTAAACTCTTAGTCCAACAGAACCAGTTAGCTGTCTACTGATCCAAGGTAGTACTAATGTATGTAGATATTGTCAGTGGATACATTCTGTTTTGGCGTAAATAACTATGAGGCATAAGACTGTAAAGCACAGCCACTCAAAGCGTGGTCTGCAACCCAGTGCTAATTTATAAATGTTAGTTAATAGTCTGGTCTGTTTCAAGATATGGAGCTTATGCCAGAAGGCAAATAACTATATCACTAAGCATCTTTATTTCCATTGACTGATTATAGTAGGAATAGTTTCTTAGTGAAGGCAGCAGTGCATTTAATTATACTTTGGTGCAAGCTTGTCTTTTTGTAGACCAGTAACTTGTGTTCCCTGCACAGTTTTGCACACCACTAGTATTAGAGGGATATTCCAACACTTGTATGGAAGTCAACATTTTTTTTTTTTTTAGGACGGAGTCTCGCTCAGTTGCCAGGCTGAAGTACAGTGGCGAGATCGTGGCTCACTGCAGCCTCTGCCTCCCGGGTTCAAGCAATTCTCCTCCCTCAGCCTCCCGAGTGGCTAGGACTACAGGTGCATGCCACCACGCCCAGCTAATTTTTGTATTTTTAGTAGGGACAGGGTTTCACCATGTTGGCCAGGATGGTCTCCATCTCTTGACCTCGTGATCCACCCTCCTTGGCCTCCCAAAGTGCTGGGATTACAAGCGTGAGTCACTGTGCCTGTCCCAGCATATGTATTTTTAAAAGAGAATTCATTCTATTGGTATAATTAGAAAAATATTTATGAAATATTATTTATATAGTTCATGAAGTCTCCAAGAAAAACAAACTGGGATAACAAAGCCAGAAAATATCACTGCAGCCTTATCAGGCTATTTAGAATGAACCAAGCTATTGCTTAAAGCCAGAAGCTGCATCGCATTCTTCCCCAGGCCAGATGCCTCCTCACCCTTTTTTGACAGAAGGTGAGCCTTCTATATACTAGTCTCACTGAGATGCATCTATTGGGAAGAACCTAGACTTCCTCCGTCATAGCAGTTTATGGCAAACCTATTCATACTCTTCCTTGCAGTGGTGGTGCTCCCAATGTGAGAAAATAAAAAATATCTTGAGGTAAATATTATTTTTTATCAGCTACTCAGGCTTCAACTTATCCTATCATTCAAAGTTTATGAAGCATCGGTCGGGTGCGGTGGTTTACGCCTGTAATCCCAGCAATTTGGGAGGCTGAGGCGGGTAGATCACCTGACGTCAGGAGCTCGAGACAGCCTGGCCAACATGACGAAACCCTGTCTCTACTAAAAATACAAAAATTAGCTGGGCATGGTGGTGGGCACCTGTAATCCCAGCTACACTGGAGGCTGAGGCAAGAGAACCGCTTGAATCCGGGAGGCAAAGGTTGCAGTGGGCAGAGATCGCCCCACTGCATTCCAGCCTGGGCAACAGAGCAAGATTCTGTCTCAAAAAAAAAAAAAAAAAAAAAGTACAGAAATTCATCACCCAACAAACTCCTGGAAGATATCACTATAATTATAAGAACAATCAGATAATGCAGATTATTCTGCATTTGCACTTCCAGATCCATTATCTGCCTTTCTTCTCCCTGGAAAGAAATCACTTGGCCCCTGGCTCCCGTTTGGATTCAGCCAATGGAAGACAGCAGCAGGAGATAAGAGGGCACAAAGAAGAGAGGCAGATGCATGTACAGTATTTCTCCTACTTGCTCCCTGACAGCCTGTGTTCCTCCCATGGGCACAGCTCCTAGTGGGTGGTTCCTCTCCCGTTGCTGGAACTCTTGCCAAATTCTGGCAATTCTGCCCCTTCTCTTTTCCCTTAATGCCTAGGAATAGTGAAGATTCCCACTGTTCTGATCCCTGAAGATTTCCTCACATCTTCTTGGTTCCCTTAATTCTATAAAGAAGCCCTCCAATAATCTTTCCTCAATCCACCTGATGAATATAACCAGATTTACCCAAGCCCACTTCTGATCCTTACTCTCCTGACCGCAGTGTGGGGAGGCGCTTCAAAGATGGAGCCTAGGCCGGGCGCGGTGGCTCACGCCTGTAATCCCAGCACTTTGGAAGGCCGAGGCGGGCGGATCACGAGATCAGGAGATCGAGATCATCCTGGCTAACACAGTGAAACCCTGTCTCTACTAAAAAATACAAAAAATTAGAGGGGCGTGGTGGCGAGCGCCTATAGTCCCAGCTACTCGGGAGGCTGAGGCAGGGGAATGGCGTGAACCCGGGAGGCGGAGCTTGCAGTGAGCTGAGATCGCGCCGCTGTACTCCAGCCTGGACGACAGAGCGAGACTCCGTCTCAAAAAAAAAAAAAAAAAAAAGAAAGATGGAGTCTATAAGAGCATCAAGGTCCACGGCCTGAATAGTAACTTCCCTGCATTTGTGATTTTCCCTCTTAAAGATAACTCTGAAATTAGAAATCAATATAACGGGTGCTCTGAAAACATTCATTAAAACATTCTAATTAGGCAAAGGTATATACTACAATAGAAGTAGGATTTTTTTTTTTTAAGATGGAGTTTCACTCTTGTCACCCAGACTGGAGTGCAATGGTGTAATCTCAGCTCACTGCAACCTCTGCCTCCCAGGTTCAAGCAATTCTGTCACAGCCTGCTGAGTAGCTAGGATTACAGGAGCACGCCACCGCGTCCGGCTAATTTTTTGTATTTTTTTTTTTTTTTTTTTTTTTGAGACGGAGTCTCGCTCTGTCCCCAGGCTGGAGTGCAGTGGCAATCTCAGCTCACTGCAACCTCCGCCTCCCGAGTTCAAGCGATTCTCCTGCCTCAGTCTCCCGAGTAGCCGGGATTACAGGCACGCGCCACCATACCCAGCTAATTTTTGTATTTTAGTAGAGACGAGGTTTCACCATGTTGGCCAGGATGGTCTCCATCTCTTGACCTCGTGATCCGCTCGCCTCGGCCTCCCAAAGTGCTAGGATTACAGGCATGAGCCACCACCCGGCCATTTTTTGTATTTTCAGTAGAGACAGGGTTTCACCATGTTGGCCAGGCTGGTCTCGAACTCCTGACCTCAGGTGATCCTCCCGCCTTGGCCTCCCAAAGTGTTGGGGTTATAAGCGTGAGCCACTGCTTCCTACCGGAAGTAGAAATTAATAACAATAAAAACAATAAAGTTAATTGTTTAATTTAGTGTCACAGAGTCAAAGGGACAGATCCTACATTTACTAAATCCTGAATTATTCAGCTCCTCAAATCACATTTATTTGAAGGTTAAACCAAATACAAAGAAATATTACTTTTGCATATTTTTTTATAATTTAGAAAGTATTGCAATATAATCATTTGACTTATAGATAAATTCAAAAGTCAACCAATAGCCATCAGTATGCTGATTTATTTCCTTCTAAGATTTTGCTCTGCAAATACACTGAGAATGAAATTGTGATCATTCATAAAGTTTTGTCCTCTGCTTTGTTCACTCAATGGTAGTTCATGAACTTTCTCTGTATTATTAAATGCCGGTTTCTTCTAAAAACCTGTAAGAGCTGCATGATATTCCATATGGATATGGTATGGTAAGATAAGCTTGCACCAAAGTATAATTAAATGCACTGCTGCCTTTACTGAGGAACTCTTCCTACAATCAGTGAGTCAATGGAACTAAAGATGATTAGTGATATAGTTGATTTGCCTTCTGGCACAAGCTCCATATACAATATATACCTATACACATACACATATATGTACCTACATATACCTATATATAGTATATAGTATATAATGTGGTGTTCATAAGTTGAAAAGTGGTTCATTACCTATTTTCTAAAATCCAGATTCACAGCCAGAGACTTGAGCCTGGGAGATGGCAGTGGAGTCAGGGCATCTTTGGGAATGTGGCTAACAAATTTGGTAGAGGAAATGTGTATAGGAACAGGCTACCTATCCACTCCTAATTCCCGCCCCTTCAGCATTCTCCCTTTCATCTTTATTATTTTTCCTTTATGTCTCTGTTTTCTCACCACTGTCCCCTTCCCTCCACCCCCTAACTTATGAGTCTTCTCTAATTCTGAAGGAGCCCAAGTTGAGAAAAGCTCTGTAAAAGAGGCCATACCTAATTTTATCAAGAACTGAAGGTCTGTTTTATCTTTTGGCTCCAGACACCCTCCATGTAAGTTCCCTGGTGCAAGCCTCTGCTGACTTGTGGAAAATGAAGTGAGAAGTAAGAGATATTAAGGCTGGTACTTTTCCAGAATTTCAGTCCTTGCAGGCCCTCGCGTAGCTGCCAAAACACTTGCGATATAATAGTGTGTTTGCAGGTTAACTATTGTGTCACAAGTGCCTTATGTGGTAGAGATTTGAATGCATGCCCTGCCTACTCTTAACTACTGTGTACTCCTTGAGATAAAGAAGTGACATCCACAGTACCTTTCCCATGATTGCTCATGCTTTACTGAATACTGTATTAAATGAATACCTTTAAGAATCAGAAGTCTTAATCTCAGCAGACAAGGAAAGAAAAAGAGCCTACTGAGATACCTTAAGAGCATTAAAAAAACACACCAAAAAAAAAATTAGGTTCAAGCGATTCCTCTGAACATAATAGACCTGTGTTTCACTGAGGTTATACTTTTCTTTAGGCACTAGAAATCAGGAGGCGAACACTGTACCTAAACATAAAACGACATTCTCAAAAACTGCCCTGCACAGGCTTGTTGGGACTTCACGATCCTTCTTGGACCTGCATCCCCCTCTTCTCTGGTACTCGGGTGATGACAAGGAGCTTCAGGAGAAAGGGTCCCTTCTACCCAGGCAAGTTTAGGATTTTGGAAAATAGAAACAAACAACTGGCTCCTCTGGGAGGCGAACCATTGATTCTAAGAAGTTCAGGATGGAGAACAGTGATAAAATTGACCTTGCATTCTCTCCGCTCTCACTCTCTGCCGCGTTAATATGCCCTTCCATTTCTTGTTTTGTTTTCCTATTGTTTGCGTTTATACCACTTCCGGTCACACGGGCATTGTTTTGCCGGTATGACTTTGGGGGATGAAGGTGGGGATGCGGAATATGTGATTGTTTTACCCTTTAAGACCTTTGGGACAGCTGGCTGGATTGCTCTTAAACAGCAGATTTCACAGCCTGTCTTCTGGAAGGGAGAGCTGCGTCCTCGGGATAAGACAGGCGCATAGAGCCTGGATTCCCCGCTTCCCAACCAGTGGCTCGCATTTTTTTCTGAGTTGTTTTAATGTTACTTGTATTTGTCAGTAGTCGAGGACTTTTTAAGTTTTTATTTATTTTATTTTTTTAAGGGATATTGTTTCTTTATGAGCACAGGGCCCCCGACTTGGGACAGGAGACTTCAGATTTATGGTTTAGTTTACTTTTCTACCCCGGTCTGCTTGTCCGAGCCGAATCTCAAATAGCTTTTCTCATGCCCCTCCCGGCCCCTTTCCCCTTGTGGAAGAGAACAAATTTCTGGTTTCTTTGCTACAGCGCCGTTGGATGGAGCTCTTTTATTTGGATTTCGGTGTCGCTCAGTGGAGAAGTAGAAACATGGCAAGGATTTACTCCCTGGGTGGAGGATCCAAAATGATACAATCTTAAAGACGACTGGAGCAGGCGGAGCCTCTCTTGGGCTTCTGTCCCCGGGAGGTGCTTCACTGCCCCTTTCTTTACTGTCTCACCCTTACCCTCACCTGTCAGTGTGGCTCTTTTGATTTATGATTTGGGGGAATTTGAGACAGATGAAGGCACTTTTCCCCCAAGGCGCTAAGAACTGAAGTTCAGAATACCTGGGCATTAAGCAGAGTGAAAAGTACTGCAGACAGTGGGGCGTGGCTAACAATGGCCGAAAGCTAATTGGAGGGGAGGCTAAAATTATTAGAGAATGCAGGGATCTGTGTTGTTTGACCATAAGCCAGAAAATCGGAAGAGGGAGAAAAATGAAAAATCAGCAACAAAACTGGGTCGAGAGTGAAAATAGCTTTAGTAAGAGGAATTAAGTTCAATTCTATCGTGGCCCTGTAGCTCAGCGGTTGGAGCGCTGGTCTCGTAAACCTAGGGGTCGTGAGTTCAAATCTCACCAGGGCCTAACAGACTGCCCTTTGGGTTCTGGTGTTTACCTACACTTCTTGTGTCTTATTTTTATGTTTTTTTGAGACAAAGTCTCGCTCACGTCACCCAGGCTGGAGTGCAGTGGCGCCATCTCGGCTCTATACAACCTCCGCCTTCCGGGTTCAAGCGATTTTTTCCCGCCTCAGCCTCCCGAGTAGATGGGACTACAGGCCTGCACCACCAAGCCCGGCTAATTTTTGTGTTTTAGGGTAGAGACAAGGTTTCGCCATGTTGGCCAGACTGGTTTGGAACTCCTGATCTCAAGTGATCTGCCCGCCTCGCCCTCCCAAAGTGCTGGGACTACAGGCGTCAACCACCGCGCCCTGCCGAAGGGTGCGTTTATTAGATGCCAAAACCTAAAACTGGAAATTATTCAAATCGATAAGCACCCATTTTAGCCCACCTTCTCAGAATACAGGAATGTACTGGTAGCAAAAGTAGGAAATGCTAGAAATACACTCTGGTTCCAAAATGGCAGAAGCAAGCTGGCTTCACTGCTTCCTACTGAAAACCAAAACTAAATACACAGCACCAAAATTATCACCAAACGTAAGGAATTCTAAAATTAAAATTCCTCATAACAGATGGAAATGAAACTGCTGTGCTATCTGAACTGTTGATGATACACGAAATTCAGCTGTGGGAATCTTTGAAGATCTACCAATACAAGAATTAGTGGCAATATAAACCAGCTAATAAATGTCTCTTTCTGATAAACTAATTTGTATCAAATCTCAGTCACCTGCAACCTAAGGAGTCCCCACTAATTTAGTCATTGTAGGCCTAAAGAAACCACATTATAATTATCGATTTTATGATGCTTATTTAATGGACTGTAAGCTCCCTGATAGCAGGCATCATATCTTATTTAATATTGTATCTCAGAGCCTTGCAGAGTATGAACCCTGGTCTCTGCTAAGTAACAGTTTCTTGAATGAAGCACAGCTAAAGAAATACAACCAGGCTGGGCACGGTGGCTCAAGCCTGTAATTTCAGGCCAAGGTAGAATCATTTTAGTCTAGGAGTTTAAGGTTGCAGTGAGCTATGGTCACGCCCCTGGGTGACAGAGCTGAGACCCTGTTGAAAGAAAGAAAAAAAAAGAAAGAAAGAGACAATCAGAATGTAATGAGTTTGTAAATACCGCAGGAGGTAGAAAATTTACCTGAAGCCTGAGAAATCAAAGTCAGCAAATATAGAACAAAGAAAACAACACAGCAAGCCCTGATAAAGATTCTACCTAAATGTAAAGTGACCAATCCTCCTGGTCTCAATTTATGCGTTAGAATCGGAATTGAGCTGCCTGCAAAATTGAACACCCAAAGATAACATCTGAGTGGCTCACATAAATTGTTAAAATCAGTAATCTATATCAGAGACTAAAATGATGGAGTTTCTCTCCACCACATTTGTTCTAAATACTGAATAACATAATAATGTCCACAAGCCACAAATACACTCCTCAAAATGGTAATTTGGATTCTTGAAATAATCCAACACTTTTTGTTGTACTAAGTTTGGAAAATCTACTTTAAATTGCTTAAGAATCAGGACAGGCACAGATTATTCATTTCCACTAAAATCCGCCAGAGCAGCTTTTAGTTGCTTGCACATTAGGACTATCATTCCTTTCTGAAAGCCCTCAGGGTACTTTATGTTTCCATGACTTCATAGATACTGCTTTCTCTGCATGCAATAATAATTTCATCCCTTCTTCTAGCTAAGTCCTACTAATTCAGATTTCAAATAATGTATCACTTTGCCCTCAATCTAGGTGAGAGATGCTTTTTCATAGCACCATTTGCACTCCTTTATTATATTTGAATAATATCTAGTAAATAATAATGTATTTTTTCTTTTCTTTTTTTAGAGGAAGTCTCACTCTTGTCACCCAGGCTGGAGTGCAGTGGCGCGATCTTGGCTCACTGCAACCTCCGCCCCCCGGGTTCAAGCTATTCTCCTGCCTCAGCCTCCCAAGTAGCAGGGATTACAGGTGCCCGCCACTATGCCTGGGTATTTTCTGTATTTTTAGTAGAGATGGGCTTTCAGCATTTTGACCAGGCTGGTCTCGAACTCCTAACCTCAGGTGATCTGCCCGCCTTGCCTTCCCAAAGTGCTGAGATTACAGCGCCTGGCCTCTTTCTGTATTTTTGAAACCACTTTTGCAAAGATTATAACAGTGGGAAAAGTATGACCATAAAAGAGATCTGACCTGACTCCATCTTGGCCTTTGCCTCCAAGCTGCCCTTATTATTCCTGGGTGTAGGTGGAACTAACTTTGGGAGGAATTTAATTTTTAACTATCATTTAAAAGCCGTAGCTTCTGAATTTTCAGGGGGCCTGATTTGAGTAACAGTAAAACTCCAATCTCCCATTTAGCTGGCTTTATGTGTATTAAACTCTTTCTCCATTGCCATTCCCCGTCTTGATAAATCAGCTCCACCTGGGCAGCTGGCAGGACGAACCTTTTGGGCAATTACATTTAGAAGTTTGGTAACCATGAGGATGTGTCTCCATTTTGTTTATCTATTTGTTTTTTCTAAATTCTGGGGTGACCTAAAAGGTATCTCAGTTTTGTTTTTGTTTGTTTGTTTGTTTGTCTGAGACAGAGTCTCACTGTGTCACACAGGCTGGAATGTCGTGGGGGAATCTCGGCTCACCGCAGCCACCACCTCCCCTGTTCAAGAGGTTCTTGTGCCTCAGCCTCCTGAGTAGCTGGACTACAGGCGTGTGCCACCACATCCAGCTAATTTCTGTATTTTTAGTAGAGACTGGGTTTCGCCATGTTGGCCAGACTGGTCTTGAACTCCTGGCGTCAAGCGATCTGCCTACCTCATCCTCTCAAAGTGCTAGGATTACAGGCATGAGCCACAGAGCCCAGCCAAGGTATCGGTTTTGATGGATTGAAAGTACTTGTTTTTCATGGAACATGGCTTTCTTTATAAATATTTACAAATATTTCTATTGAAGTTTTATTTCCTTTTCCACTGAAGTTATTCTCAACTTCAGACACACGTTACCTGATTTTGCTTAGTTATCCATTATCTTTCAATAAAATTTATAACTTTTTATATGTTTGTCTTTTTTCTTTGAATTATTTGAAATTTTCACTAACCTTTTCTTGCCACTCGGTTTTTTGGGGAAGGACCACAAACTCCTTTACTTGCTGTTTCTAATTTGTTAATTCTGCTACTGTTATAGCACACTCTTTTCTTTGCTCTTCAATCTCTGCTTTCACTCAATTCTGTTATCTTCTATAGGGGGAAATAAAACTTTTTCCTTGACTTTCTTAGGTTTAGTGAGTGGAGTCTTGGAAATTAAACTGACAAAAAACAATAATAGGAGAAAAGGCATACAAACTTTGTTTGATGCTATTATTTTAATTTTAATGTGTACACAGGGATCTCACAGAAAAGAAAGTAAAAACCCAAAGAAGTGTTTAGGCTTGAGAACTTATGCACTATTTAACAAAGGGTGATAAATTCTGGAGAACTGACAAGACAAATGAAAAGCATTTAGGCTTTTAGGTAAGGTAAGGTAAATATACAGATGGGGGGAAGATGTTAATGGAAATAAGGTTTGTTTAAGCAGATTGTAGATGATGCATTTCCAATGATAACAGTTGTCTCCTCTTCCCAGTATGTGAGAGGGGAGAGGGAAGACCTTCACAAAAGTAAATTTATGCTCTGCTCTTAGACAGAAAGGGGGAAGGTAGAGAGCATTTCTGGCATCTGGTGTTTCACTCAGTTGCCTTCAGCTAAAAATAATTCTTATGCTATAGTAGCATATTTTGAGATGCCATATTTTGATCCCCTTCACTTGTCTTTTTTTTTTTTCTTTTCTTAAGACAAGGTCTCCCTGTCACCCAGGCTGGAGTGCAATGGTGTGATGATAGCTCACTGGAGCCTCGAACTCCTGGACTCAAGCCATCCTCTCACCTCAGCTTCCCCAGTAGCTGAAACTATAGGTGCATGACACCACACCTGGGTAATTTTTAAAATTTTTTGTAGAGACGGGGTCTCAGTAGGATGCCCATGCTGATCCCAAACTCCTGTCCTCAAGTGATCCTTCCTCCTCAGCCTCCCAAAGTGTTGGGATTACAGGCGTGAGCCACAGCACAAAGCCCCCTTCATTTGTCTTTGAACTCATTTTCTTTGCATCCAGAGCATAAGCATATGACAAAGAATTCACCAACCAAGTTCATCCACATCAGGTTTTGATTCAGAAATTGTGGACATAGGCCGGACGCAGTGGCTCATGCCTGTAATCCCAGCCACCAAGGCAGGTGGATCACCTGAGGTTTGGAATTTGAGACCAGCCTGGCCAACATAGTGAAACCCCATCTCTACTAAAAATACAAAATTAGCTGGGTGTAGTGGCTCACGCCTGTAGTCCCAGCTACTCGGGAGGCTGAGACAGGAGAATCTCTCTTGAACCCGCGAGGTGGAGGTTGCAGTGAGCTGAGACTGCGCCTCCAGCCTGGGGCAACAGAGTGAGACTCCATCTAAAAAAAAAAAAAAAGAAAAGAAAGAAGGAAGGAAACGAAAGAAGGGAGGAAAGGAAAGAAAGGAAGGAAGAAAGAAAAGAAATGAAATTGTGGACATAAAGAAGCAGACAGTACAAGGCATCCATTCTGGTGGTGGTAGTAGCCAATATGTTCATTTTCCTGTAAAAGCCATGAACTATTGCCTTGTAGTGGCAACAGTGTGAGCAGTTCTGTAGTGTGATTTTGGGTGTTGTTTCTAGCTGTATAGTCTACAAGCCTGGTGTTCTGGCTTACTCAGGTGTTCTATGAACTACTTTATAATCTTTAGTGAATGCCTTATGTACTTCTAGTAGAGCTGGTTTAGCCATTTCAAAGTGACTGTCATACCGGAAGAACTCTAACTTGCCAGTTTTAAATTGTTCTTCTAGCTTAGGTGAAATTGTTGGTCTGAGTGTTTGGAGTGGTGATTCCATACGGGTCTGCAGTAACTCAGTTATTGCCTCCAAGCAGGAAATAATTTGTCCGAGGGGCATAAGGTAGAGTAAGAGACCAAGGCAAGTTTTAGAGCTTGGAAGAAGGCCAAGCATGCAACTTGAGAGATCCGTGTGCTCTTTGGCCCTTGCCTTGGGGTTTTATACATTGGCATGGTTCCGGGGTTTCTGTTTCTCCTCTTTTGATTTTTCCCTTAAGGTGGGCTATCTGCATGCTCAGTGGCCTGCCAGCCCTTGGGAGGGGCCACATGCATTGTGTGTTTACTGAAGTTGTGCACATGCTCATTTGAGGTGTTTTCTCTTAGCAGTCTAGTGTTTCTAGTGTTCCTAGAGGAAGGTCAGACACTGGTTAAACGCCATCATTTTGCCTCTTAGTGCACATGCTTGACCCCCTCGCCCAGCTCCCGAGACCTTACTGGGAAGCTGCTGATCACCAACACCAAATGTTTTCTATCTATTGGGAGACTGCCTCTACTGGGAGACTGCCTTTCCCTGGTGCTGGCTATGACTAATTATTATTTTATTTTATTTATTATTTGTTTATTTATTTATTTTTTTGAGACAGAGTCTCGCTCTGTCGCCCAGGCTGGAGTGCAGTGGCGTGATCTCGGCTCACTGCAAGCTCTGCCTCCCGGGTTCAGGCCATTCTCTCGCCTCAGCCTCCCAAGTAGCTGGGACTACAGGCACCTGCCACCACACCCTGCTAATTTAGTTTTTGTATTTTTAGTAGAGACGGGGTTTCACCGTGTTAGCCAGGATGGTCTCGATCTCCTGACCTGGTGATCTGTCTGCCTCGGCCTCCCAAAGTGCTGGGATTACAGGCGTGAGCCACAGCGCCCAGCTGACCAATTATTATTCCAGAGAGACAGTTTAACAACTCCCTGATCATCACCTGCTGGTGACCTGACATTCTTGGGGCAGGGGATTGGGGCAGCTAGGCAGACATGCCATGCTCATGTCTGCCTAGTGCCTACTCTAACATGAGGTTGTCAGAAATAATTAGCCTTAGGACCATATCCTTCCACTAACCCTATCTTTTCCGATCACCAGCCTCACCTTCCTTCTGGAGAGAGAAAGGTGTAGTGGATTTAGTGTTCTTACGGTCTGTGATGGCAAATTATGTGTGTTAACTTGATTGGGGTAAGGAACACCCAAAAAAGCTGATAAAATGTCATTTCTGGATGTCTGTGAGAGTGTTTTTGAAAGAGATTAGCATTTCAATCAGCAGACTGAGTAAAGCAGATCCACCCTCACCAGTGTGCCTGGACATCATTCAATCCATTAAAGGCCTGAAAAGAACAAAAAGTGAAGGAAGGGATAATGCTCTGTCTTCTTGAGTTGGGACATGCATGTTCTCCTGTCATTGGAGCTCCTGGCTTTGGGATCTTCAGACTGTAGGATTACACTAGAGCCTCCCTTCTTGTCCTAGGACATTGGACTCAGACTGAATTACACCACTGGTTTTACAGGCTCTCCAGCTTGCAGACAGCAGATCATGGGACTTCTTGACCTTTGTAACCTCACAAGCTAATTTTCAGAATAAATCTACTCTCATATATCTAGTATCTATCTATCTATCTACCTGTCTATCTATTTGCTATTCGTCTGGTTTCTCGGAGAATCCTGACTAATACTTGGCTTTCTATATGACGCTAATTACTCCACAGTGATGAGAGGGAGCTTTAGTGTGACTTTCTGGGCATCTTTGTGGCAACTGACCCCTATTTCCACATTATTTTATTTTTTTCTTTGTGTCTTGCCAAGCCTTGATTATTTCTTGGAGATCACTCATTCTGGGTAGACTCCAAAATCACTCCCAGAGACTCTCCTAACTGTATCCTACAGAGAGGAGATGCCAAAATAGTGAAGTTTGACAGCTCTATCTTGTGACAAGTACCCCTTTTTAGTGTAGCAGGAGAGGGGTTTCTAGTATAGAGAGATACTGTGCAACTTTTTCCTGGTCTGCATTCCTCCACTCCTCCCCCTACCCCCTCACCCCCTGCCCTACACAGTGTACATACCACCTGTGAACCTGAAATATCTGAGACAGGTCTCAATCAACTTAGAAAGCTTATTTTGCCAAGGTTCAGAAAATGCCTGTGACACAGCCTCAGAAGGTCCTGATGACATGTGCCCAAAGTGGTCAGGGTACAGCTTGCTTTTATACATTTTAGGTAGACATGAGACATTAATCAATATGTGTAAGATGTACATTGGTTTGGTCTGGAAAGGGACAACTTGAAGGAGTTGAGCGGAGGGGGTTTCCAGGTCATAGGTAGATAAGAGACAAACAGTTGCATTCTTTTGAGTCCTTGATCAAGGACTCAATTCACTGAATACACAATTTACCTGGGGGCAGCAAATTGTCATTTATGCCTTAGTCTCACTCAGGGAAACTGCATTTTTACATAAACAATAGGGCAGAGGAAGCAATCAGATATGCATTTGTCCCAGGTGAGCAGAGGGATGACTTTCTGTCTCACATCTGTGAAGATAAGCTATCAATTTACATTGCCAGGATAAAATTCAACAGAACTGTTTTAGGGTAAAGATCTTGAGGCCCACAAGGAATTTTTTTGTGGGAAAACTGTGAGGGAGGTATGTAGCTTTTTCATCTTTGTAGTTATCTTATTTGGGATTAAAATAGGAGGCAGGTTTGCCTGACGCATTTCCCAGCTTGACTTTTCCCTTTGTCTTAGTGGTTCTGGGGTCCTGAGATTTATTTTCATTCCAAGCACCAAAGTGGAGAATTTTTTTATTTTTTATTTTTTATTTTTTTGAGACAGAGTTTCACTCTTGTTGCCCAGGCTGGAGTGCAATGGCACAATCTCAGCTCACTGTAACCTCTGCCTCCTAGCTTCAAGCAATTCTGCTGCCTCAACCTCCAAAGTAGCTGGGATTACAGGCATGTGCCACCATGCCCCACTATTTTTTTATACTTTTTGTAGAGATAGCGTTTCACTATGTTGGCCAGGCCGGTCTCGAACTCCTGACCTCAGGTGATCCACCCGCCTCGGCCTCCCAAAGTGCTGAGATTATAGGCGTGAGCCACCGTGCCTGGCCATGGTGACTTTTAATCTCCTCTTCTCTCAGTGATTAATTTTCTCTGGTTGTTTGATGAGATTCCTAGGAAAAAAGTTCAAGACAATTGCATTCATTTTGGAAGAACTTCCTTCAGTCATGTATGGGGAACTTCAGATACAGCCCCTCCCTGCACTTGCTCTTGGAGGGGAGAAACAAGGGAAGGCCAGAGAGACCCTAATTTTGAGGCCGCTTCTAAGAGCCTTCCAGTTTCCTTTAAGTCTAAGAACTCAGCATGCCCAAGCACCATACTTTGGGGTATCCTTTTCTAATCCCCAACATATACATACAATTTGAAAGAATCACCCAAAGAATGAACTATTAAGGGCAACAATCTAGAATAAAAATTCTGAGAATTGGCCGGGTGCAGTGGCTCACGCCTGTAATCCCAGCACTTTGGGAGGCCGAGGCAGGCAGATCACGAGGTCAGGAGATCGAGACCAGCCTGGCTAACACAGTGAAACCCCATCTCTACTAAAAATACAAAAATTAGCCGGGTGTGGTGGCACACGCCTGTAGTCCCAGCTACTTGGGAGGCTGAGGCAAGAGAATCGCTTGAACCCGGGAGGTGGAAGTTGCAGTGAGCCGGGATCGCGCCACTGCACTCCACCCTGGGTGACAGAGTGAGACTCTGTCTCAAAAAAAAAAAAAAAAAAGTTCTGAAGAATTGACATATATTTCAAGGTTCTCAGGTGATACATTGATTCTATAAATGAATGCATTTAAGCATTCATTAGACAAAAAACTGAAAACAAGCCCTAATATCCTCCAATTTGGGCTGGGCACTGTGGCTCATGCCTATAATCCCAGCACTTTGGGAAGCTGAGGTGGGTGGATCACCAGAAGTCAGGAGTTCGACATCAGCCTGACCAACATGGTGAAACCTCGTCTCTACTAGAAATAGAAAAATTAGCCAGGCGTAGTGGCCAGTGCCTGTAATCCCAGCTATTCGAGAGGCTGAGGCAGGAGAATCGCTTGAACCTGGGAGGCGGAAATTGCAGTGAGCCGAGATTGCACCATTGTACTCCAGCCTGGGTGACAGAGTGTGAAAAACAAAAAACAAAAACAAAAAAAACTTTGTACACCCTGAAATGTTTAAAATACTATTTCAACATTTTCACTTTATTAATATATCCTTAAATATTTGTGATGAGGAATACACCAAAAGGTAAACACCATTTTTCTCAGGTTGTAAAAAGGTTTATCACTTTTCTCAAATGGCAAAGGAGGCACCGCCATGTCTGATTCTGGAACAAAATGATTAGAGCACTGAGTCTTGGACCCTTGAGAATCATCTTTTTTTAAATAATTTTTTTTTAAAAAAATTCCCTGCCATTGTTGCACAGAGCATAATATTTTTGAGAGGGAATTTGAGTATATTACCTATGGTTGCTGTTTGAGATGAGTTTAAATAGGACATATCAGTTGCTACCAGATCTCTATCTCCTTGAAAAGTAAAGACTTTGTAATTTTTCTATATTTGTATAACTATTGCAAAAACAGCATGTTTACCTTCATGTTTTTGTTCCCCTACTTAAAACATATATATACATATTTTTTGACAAGATCTTATTCTGTGGCCCAGGCTGGAAGCCTGGAGTGCAGTGGCACAATTACAGCGCACAACAGCCTCGACCTCCCAGGCTCATGTGATCCTCCCACCTTAGTCTCCTGAGTAGCTAGGACCACAGGTGACTGCCACCACACCCGGCTAATTAAAACTTTTTTTTTTTTTTTGCAGAGATGGGGTCTCACCATACCAGGCTAGTCTTCAACTCCTGGCCTCAAACAATCCTCCTGCCTCAGCCTCCTAAAGTGTTGGGATTACAGGCTGAGCCACCCCACCCGGCATCCCAAAACTGGCCAAAACGTAATATTAACTACTACTCCCAAAACTACTTTTTTTTTTTTTTTTTGAGGTGGAGATCGGCTCTTGTTGCCCAGGCTGGAGTGCAATGGCACGATCTCGGCTCACCGCAATCTCTGCCTTCCAGGTTCAAGCGATTCTTCTGCCTTAGCCTCCCGAGTAGCTGGGATTATAGGCATGCGCCACCACACCCAGCTAATTTTGTAGTTTTAGTAGAGATGGGGTTTCTCCATGTTGGTCAGGCTGGTCTTGAACTCCCGACCTCAGGTGATCCGCCCACCTCAGCCTCCCAAAGTGCTGGGATTACAGGCGTGAGCCACCCCCTCCTTGGCCTCCCCAAACTACTTCTAATCACTCATAATGACATTATCAATAGTATCATGATTTCTATCAGTCAGGATCTCAAGAGAATACAGATGTCTTATTCTAATTGCAATAATTTTAGAAGGATTTAATAAAGGGACTGTTTAATAAAGGTGTCTAGTAAGGGTATGGGCAGGCTGGGGGAAGGAGAAAGAAGAGGGCAGTACTCTAGGGTTACTGATAGCAGAGTGGTCTACACCCCTAGACCTGAAGGAGAGAGGAAAAAACCATTACTGAAATTTGGAGGAAAGGTCCACTTTGATGAACTAGCCAGAGTTGACCCACAGAAAGAGATTCAGATAAATACTCTAGCCTCTTTCTCCAATCTCATTCTGATCTTATGCTGTGCTCCCACTAATGAAATTCAACTTGAGGCCGGGCATGGTAGCTCACACCTATTATCCCAGCACTTTGGGAGGCCGAGGTGGGTGGATCACAAGTCAGGAGTTTGAGACCAGCCTGGTCAACACAGTGAAACCCCGTCTGTGCTAAAAATACAAAAATTAGCCGGGCATAGTGGCACGTGCCTGTAGTCCCAGCTACTTGGGAGGTTGAGGCAGGAGAATCACTTGAACCTGGAAGGCAGAGGTTGCAGGGAGCTGAGATTGCCACTGCACTCCAGCCTGGACAATGGAGCGAGACTCCGTCTCAAAAAAAAAAAAAAAAAAATTCAACTTGAAGCCAGAGGCCCGGGGTGTCTATTGGTGTAGATCGTAACAGGTCAGTTTTCTATGGCACAGTGGGTAGAGAACTGAAGACAGTCACTTTTTTAACATCAACAATTCAAAACATTCAGCTTTCCATCCACCTTTTTCTCCGATCATAATTTTGTGCTTATAAATCCTATATTATGTCACTGACTGGCCTCCTGATAAGAGTTGTTTAATATCCAGTGACATACTGTGAGTCCTATAAGTTTTCATCCCTTAAGAACAATAATTCCCCAAATGCTGGTTCTTCATATCTAGATCTGGTTTTGGAACATAAAATCATTAGTATTGTTATGAGGTTTATAGAACTCACTGAGAACAGTGCCTGACCCTTGTGTCTTAGTACTTTAGGGCTATATTAACAAAATACCTTTGACTGGATAATTTGTAAAGAATATAATTTTTTTTTATAGTTCTGGAGACAGGGAAGTCCAAGATCAAGGCTCCAGTAGATACGGTATCTGGTGAGGGATGCTCTCTCTGCTTCAAAGGTGATGCCTTTTGCTGCATCCTCACAGGGCAGAAGATATGAGAGGGCCAGGCAGCCCTCTGAAGCCTCTTTTACGTAGGCAGTAATCCCATTCAGGAGGCCAGAACCCTCAGGACTTAATTACTTTCCAAAAGGCCCCACCTCCTAATATCACAATGGAGGTTAAGTTTCAATATAATTTTGGAGAAACACAAACACTCAAACCGTAGCACTATGGTAAGCTCTACTGTTATGAGCTACTGTTATTTAGATGGAGCAATCTCTAGAGGTTCAGGCAGAGCTTTGTTGCTCCCTCTGGGACTGTGTAGTGAGAATGTAGGAGCTTCTCTGGTGAGGTGGTCATCTACCAAGGAGCCTGTGTTGCTTCTCCCTGCTCCTCACCTTAAGGTGTTATTTTAAACACATGAAATGATCTCAAAACAGCTATGTAATAGACATCAAGATATGGAAGCATCCCCTTTTTTTTAAAAGTATGGAGAAACTTAGTCGCTGGTCCGTTACTCTCAGTCCTATTTGTTAAGTGTTCCGTGGTCAGGAATAGGCACGCTATTCCTTTTACACAATTCTTCTGGTTGACAGAAATTATTCTATAAAAGCCAACAGACTTCATATCTTGTGTGTATGTGTACTTTGGCAGCTGCCTTTTCCCCCAGACCAAAATCGAACAATCAAGCAACAAAGTTGGCCTTAAAATTGAGGCCCCAGAGATGAGGTTACTGAGCGGGTATATGTCACAGAGCCAAACTTTCTGCAATGAATTGGAAAAGAACATCAAGACAGAGGGAGGAGCGCTGGGGGTGAACACCGCCTTGACCTTTGTAACCTGCTGCACAAATAAGGAGTGGTTGCTGTGCCAGTTTTCCCTGAAGAGGTGCCTGACCAGCTGGCTCTGTGAATTCGAATACAGTTTTCAGGCAGGCTCTGGGAGAGTTTTGGGGAATCCCGAAAGACAGCCCAGAGATGCTGGACTGCGAATGCAGGCGCGCTGCAGGCGAGGCTGGGAGGGCCGCCAGGAGCGCTGCGGGTATCGGGAGACACGCAGAGGGAGGGGCAGGCGGCGGGCTCCGCTTCTTCGCGTCCTGGCTCTGAAAGCAACCACAGGCCAGCGGGGCGGTGCTAGGTGAAGCTACGAAGAAGCCAAATAGCTCGCGTCTTCTACAAAAACCGTGTTCTTGCTAGAACGTTGGCAAGGAGAAGCCGGAGTCTCTCCTTTTTCTCCTCGGCTTTTCTCGGGCTTTCTGAAAAGAGCACCTGCATATTCCCAGGAAATTTTGGCTCCTGATGGCATGGGGGAGGATCACATTCATCTTCCAGGAGAGATGGAGATATCTTGATCAAATTGTGTTTTATGCAAGAGGCGAGGGGCTGCGAAGGGAGGATCTCGGGCAGCTCAGCGCGCTGCCGCTCCGGCGCGAGGCCGGGGTCGAGCGCTTCAGTAGCTCATGGCTCTGTAGAGTGCGCATGGCCAAGCAAAGGAAAGCATGCTCCAGTGGCGCAATCGGTTAGCGCGCGGTACTTATACAACAGTATATGTGCGGGTGATGCCGAGGTTGTGAGTTCGAGCCTCACCTGGAGCATGTTTTCTTCCAATTGCGATTTCAGACATTTCACGATAATGCATTTTTCCCTTATCTTTAAAGTAAAAAGCTAAAATGGATAAATTTTCCATGGTGAGCCCATAAAAATTCCTTTGATCAAGGAGGGATATTTGGCAGATTTCAGAGAAGGGAAGAAATCCAGCAAGACCCAAATTGAACTCATCCAGCAAACTCATTTCTCCTCAGTCAGAAGGCCTCACAGCCAGGCTGTACAGCTTCAATGAAGCTTCCTCCCTCCCTTGCTCCTCCACTTAAAAACTATTCTTCAGCTCTTTGGGGACTGAGCAAGGAGGTGGAAAAACTGGGTTTTATTCTCTGTGATTTGTGTAGCTGTCACCGGGGTTCATCAATGTGCAGAAAGTGCTCCCAGGTACCTTAGCTTTGATATCTACAAGGTTGGCAGTGAAGTTGTTGAACTCCACCTGTGAAACCTAAATGTGTTCTGTGTAGAGCTCCACTGTCTACTTTACAAAAACCTGACTAGAAAACAAGAAATGCTAATTTTCCCCCAGCAGTGAAACATCAGACATAAGTGGCTGGGTATGTATTTCTTCCTAATTTCATCAAAAAGTAAACAAACTGCCTTGTTTGGAAAAACACATTCATCTTGATGCTGGTGTCTGAAATACATGATTCCAGGTGGCTGTGCTTTTATCCAGTCTTTCCTGGATTTCATTTGGTCTTGTAGAATCTTCCTCCTGTTCCTTAAATATGGATATTCCCCCAGTTCTGTCCTCAGCTTTCCACACATGTAGTGATATACGCATTCTGTGTTAGTCATGATTCTCCAGAGAAACAGAACCACTAGGATATATAAAGGTAAATAAGAGGAATTATGAGAATTGGTTCACAGGATTGTGGAGGCGAGAAATCTCACAATATGCTGCCTGCAAGCTAGAGAATCAGGAAAAACAGTGGTGTGATTTAGGTCTGCATCCCAAAGCCTGAGGAAGCAGTGGGCCAGGGAGAAGGGAGACTCCTCTGGAGTCCCAGATTTTGAAGGCCTGAGAACCTGGAGGGAGCTCTGATGTGGGAAAGCAAAAATATCACCCCTGCATCTTTTAAGTCCTTGATGGTGGCACTAATCTCTACAATCCCTTCAGAAATGTAGTATTGCTTTTGATTTACTATTTTCCTAGGTAGAGGTAGTTCTAATGCCTTCCAGTTGTTCTTTCCCACTTTAATAGCCCTCATTCCATAGGTCAGGGAACTAATGTGAGGATTCTGCCAGATGCCAACTATGTCCATTCCAATTATGCTTTCTGAAACTGGGGAAATAACCACAGGATGGGTTCAGGGACTTACTGGACCCACTGTGAGTCAGACCTGAGCTAAAACTTCACTGGTCACCTGACTTCTATAAGCCCCTACTCTGACTGGAGTACCACAGTGATCTGGGGTCTCCTGGAATCAATGTCAGCTCAGAACTATAGTCCCTAATGAGTCTGATTATTTCCTTGCTCCCAGTGCTCAGTTACTCTGTTAAAAGATGGTAGATCCCTTTGAGGAAGGCTGGGAAAAAGATTAATAGTATAAATTTTTGGTAGCGTACCAGGTCCTTCCTCAAGAAGACCCGACTGCCACTCCATTCAAAGGGTTCTGAGTCTATAAACTGGCTCAAGTCTGGTGTAGCAAGCTGAAAGAGTGAGGGTCGTGATCAACTCAGTATACCACTGGAGGCTATATGAGCAAACAGCAAACTGTTCTCATAAATGCAGAATGTTGGCAAGCTGACAGCTGTGTCTGCCACCCAGAGGAATGCTGAGGGCAGTCACACCCCAAGCACAGTGTTTCTTGTGATAAGGCACATCTGAAGCCTGTTAGCAATAATGTGAACCTGTGACTCATCAAGCAGCTGACCAGTCGTTACCTCCTCCTCCCTGCTCTTTCTACCCAATAAATACGAAGGGCTGTAGAAGCTCAGGGCTGCCTTTGCTCACTAGAAGCAAGGAGCTCTCTTCTTCTTCCCTGGATCCCTTCTTTACAACAGTTTCTTTTGTTTTAAGTTTTCATTTCTGTGTTCATCCTCCTTAGTTCAGTCCCGTAGTAACCGTGCAAACTGTGGCAGTCTGGGAACTGAGAAGCCATGACTCTCTGTTTTTATCAAGTTAGACTTTTTTTCACTTGATCTGGTAGTTTTCTGTTTATACAGATCAAGTAGTTGATTGTCTTACTTGATAATTTGCCCTAGTAACAACTTAATAACTGATGTGTCTCATTCCTAAATTGCATAAATATTGTGAAATTGCTCTGACAAATTAGAAGTGCACCATTGGCATATTTATCTTCCCTTTTATGCATGATGGTAAAATAAAAACATCATTCTGCTAGGAAAAAAAAAAAGAATTTAGTGTCCTTCCTATCTATTTCACTTCTGAGAACACCATGATCAACTAGCCAAAGCCATAGGTCTATGAGAGTCAGACTATTCTAATTGCTGCTTTGACTCCTCAGTTCATCAGGGTCACTACACTCACCTTTCCTTTGATGACTGAGTGTTTTAGATTTACTATTTTTCTAGATAGAGGCAGCTCTAATGGCTTCCATTTGGTCTTTCCCACCATAGCAGCCCTCACCCTACCAGTCATGGAGCCAATGTGAGGGTTCTGCCAGCTGCTAAGTGTGTCTATGCCAATTATGCATTCTGGCACTGGGGAAATGACCATAAGATGAGTCCAGGGACCCACTGTAAGTCGGATCTGAGCTAAAACTCCATTAATTACCTGGCCTCCGTATGCCCCTACTTTAACTGGAGGACCACAATGACGATTTGGGTCCCCTGGAATCAACATCAGCTCAGAGCCAATGTCCAGTAGCCCCCAAAATGTCTGATCATTTTCCTTTCCCCAATGCACAGTTGCCCTGGTAAAAGGCGAGGGGTCTTCTTGAGGAAGGATGGGAGAAAGATTCACTGCATAATTTGTCAGTAATGTAGTGGGGTCCTTCCTCGAGGGGACCTTCATTCAAAAGGTTCTGGGTCTGTAAACTGGCTCAAGTCTGGAAATTGATTGAGGGGCCATGATTCTGGTTTTTATAATTCAAATTAATCTTTTGTCCATTCGACTTAGAAGTTTTCTGCTTGTATAAATTAAATAGGAATGCAGTAGGCTTCCTATCAATTTCACTTCTAGGAACACTGTGATTAATTAGCCAATGCCAGAGCTCTACACAAGTCAGACTATTCTGATTGCTGCTTTGACTCTGCTGTCCATTATGGTAGCAATGTCCACCTTGCCTTTGATAGTTGAGTGCTGCCACTTGGCCCCTGCCACCTCAGGATCCAATTATTCCCATTGTATTTAAGTTTTGTAGTCGAGTGACTGTAGTTCCCACTGTTAGATCCGACATACAGAGAAGAGCAATTATAGGGCTCTTCAAAGATGCAGGTGCTACCCTCACAAATCTATTTTGCAAAGCATGGTCAAGGGTGGATCTTCTGGACCTTCCCAGCTGGGATGAGTAGGTCTAAAGTGACTAATTCACTCCACCATCCCAATCTCCCTAAGCCTTTGGATCCCTTTCTCTACATTAAATCAAGAGAGATCAGGCATTTCCAGCTTGCTCACAGTGGACCATCTTTGAACCCATATTTCAGCTAACCAAGCAGATAAACTATTAGAACCCTTTTTTTTTTTTTTAGCTCCCTGAGCTGCAACATTAAATGTAGAGTCCCTACTTAGTGGACCCAAGTCAATCAATTCCACCTGATCCAACTCTATGTTCCTTCCACCATCATCCTATACCTTTAAATATCCATCCCCATGCCTGTTCTCCAGATTTCTGTTTATATAAATTAGATAACTCAAACAGTTCTTTACAAGTGTAGTGCACCTCCTCATGGGTCACACTCTCAATCTCACCTCCAGGGGCCTACCAGGACTTTAGTCTAGTTATAGGTCCAGAAGCAAACAGGGGTGTTGGGGGTTCTCCTGAGGAGAATCAACATTATTTTGCCTGGCAACTGCTTCAGGGGAGGCCACCTATTGCCTCAGGCAGCTCAGGGTTTATTTCCTCAGACAAAAGTGGAAAGGCTGATGGCAGCATGGGTCGGGGAGGGGATGTTGCCACTACTGGGGCTGGAGAAGCTGTTCTTTCTGGCAAAATAGGTTCATCAGAGTTTACAAACTCAGTGCCCCCGGCTTCATCAGAGTTTACAAACTCAGTGCCCCCAGCTTCATCAGGGTCTTCTTACACATCCCCAATTTCAGGGTCCCATTCTTTT